>NC_000013.11:95646918-95949948 GCF_000001405.40 Homo sapiens | reverse complement strand
ACCACATGCCTCTAAACAGCAGTTTATATGTTTTCTCCAGCTTGTATAGTGGATTAGAACTTGATTTCTAAGATGTTGATTTTATAATTTAATTTTTATAAGCCATTTTATTTTCCTTATATCCAAGCCTTTAAATTGAGAGGGGAGGTGGAGAGGGCTTCATTTACTGCTGATAATTAAAATAAATATTCATCTCTCTTAAGTGGTTTATGGAGAGTAATTTTCATACAATTTTACGTTGGGATATGAAAAACAAACACAAGTGAAAGGAATTGTTTTTGAGAGAAGGCTTAATGTAAAAGGCTACACAAGTATAAAATTGTTGCACATAATGTATTCCTTAATTTAGAGAATATTAAACTAGCTCCTCTATTTAATCAGAAATATAGAAAATTCTATGTATATTTTTATTTATCACGATATAGTAAAAATCTGGCTTTGAAAATGATTTCAGTGTTAATATAGCTTTCACAAGTGTCTGCGTTCTTTTCTAGTGGATTAATGACTTAGAAAATGATGATTTGTATATTACATGGCCTACAAGTTGCCAGAAACTTCTGAAGCCAGTATTTCCTGGAAGTGTACCTTCCATAAGGCGCAATTTTCATAATTTGGTGAGTTTTATATTTTGATTATACATATATATCTTATAAAGATATCAGCATTCTTTCTGGATTATCCTTCTGTCAATGAATAGGCATCTGAGTTGTAAGGAAGTTAAGTATTTGCCTGAAGCAGCAAGCTTAGGTGGCATGGCTGACTGGGTATCAACAACTAGCCATGTCACTGTATTAGTCCGTTCTCATGCTGCTAATAAAGACATACCTGAGACTGGGTAATTTATAAAGGAAAGAGGTATAATTGACTCCCCAGCATGGCTGGGGAGGCCTCAGGAAACTTACAGTCATGGCAGAAGGGGAAGCAAACGTGCTTCTTCACATAGTGGCAGGAAGGAGAAGTATGAGCAAAAGGGGAAAGCCCCTTATAAAACCATCAGATGTCCTGAGAAGTCACTATCACAAGAATAGCATAGAGGCAACTGCCTCCATGATTTAATTACCTCCTACTGGGTCCCTCCTACGGCACATGGGGATTATGAGAACTACAATTGAAGATGAGATTTGAGTGGGCACACAGCCAAACCATATTAGTCACATGTTCTGCCTCTTACTCTTTAGCCCTTATGTCATTTTATAATAACCATATTAATGTTACTTTTACATTTTTTCAAAAGAATTTATGACAGAACTTTTTCTTCTTTATTAAAAAGAACTAATGATTAAAGTGTAGTAATTTTAGGGAAAGATACATAAATACCACTTTATCATCTATGCATATAATTTTATTAGCCCAATAATATCTAAACATTAATATTGGAACTTTGAAAGTTGGAGAAAATACCTACGGCTGTTTTTTCACATAGGAAATGAATAAGATATTTTTTGCAGCAGTCTTGATAAAGCAGTTATGTTAATGCTATTTTTTTTTGGTCAAAATTCAATCTCTATTTCCTTTTGAAAAAATTTATCATAGAAAATCTAATGAACATTTAGAATAAGGTATTTCAATTCAGGCAAAATAAAATATACTGGGCTTCCAAAAAGAAGATGAGTAGCCTGATGTTAAATTCCATGTATAATTATGTTTGGATGTGCAGCTTTTAGAAATCCTTCATAAATTGTGAAATCCTTTATATGTGTGTGTGTGTGTGTGTGTGTGTGTGTGTGTGTATTCCTTAGAATTGCTAGAATTTCTTTAAAAATTACACATTGAATTTCATACTTTCAGTCACAAAAATTAGTCTAAACTTGAATTTCATGAAGATTCTAAGGTGTTGAAATAGTGATATATACTATCTTTCTTTTAGGTTCTGTTTATTGATCCGGCCCAAGAATATACCTTGGATTTTATAAAACTTGCTGATGTTTTCTATTCTCACGAAGTTCCTCTTAGGTAATTGTCATTTTATAGCATTAAACTGTCAACTAAAGGAAATTCAATGTTATTCATATTGTGTTACACAGAGTATTAATAGGGCATTCAAAGCGATGGTTAGCTCTAGTGCCTGACATAACACAGCTGCACGTTGTGAAGTATTATATACCTTTATGTTAGACTCTGTTTATCAAATCTGTCTGGTAATGTTGTTTATTACCTTTCTGAGAGAATAATCTGATCACTCTGGAAACTTATAGAAAGGTCCAGCTTCATATGCTTGTAATCCCAGCACTTTGGGATTTGGGAGGCCGAATCAGGCAGATCACGAGGTCAGGGGTTCAAGACCAGCCTGGCCAATATGATGAAACCCCGTCTCTACTAAAAATTCAAAAATTAGCAAGGCGTGGTGGTGCGCACCTATAGTCCCAGCTACCTGGAGGCTGAGGCAGGAGAATCACTTGAACCTGGGAGGCGGAGGTTTCAGTGAGCCTGGATTGTGCCACTGCACTCCAGCCTGGGTGACAGAGCGAGACTCTTGTCTCAAAAAAAATAAAAATAAAAAGAGTATATTTACCCTTTTTGTACAAAAGAACATGGCCATTTGATAATGTTAGCACTAGAGGGAGAGAGAGTGATATTTTATAGGAATCCAGTAGCTATGTGGATTTTGGTGAATAGGCATTACATTCAAACTTTTGAAGTGATAAAATTCTCCTTTTCTCTGTCTATTAATACATTCTCTCCATCTAGATATTGTAGTCTAATAACGTTTCTAAATAATGGTTTATTGTGATTCAAGAGGTAATTATAACAGTCCTTGTTCATCTTCTTTTTCCAGAATTGGTTTTGTGTTCATTCTTAATACAGATGATGAAGTTGATGGAGCAAATGATGCTGGAGTTGCTCTCTGGCGAGCTTTCAACTATATTGCAGAAGAATTTGATATATCAGAAGCATTTATTTCTATAGTACACGTGAGTTTATGCACTAAATGTGATTTGTTTAGAAGGTAAAATTCTTGCATTACTATATTATGATTTCTTTAGAATGTATAATTTTTGCATTACATTTATTGTAACATTTCAAAGTTTATAAACTGTCATGGAGATTAATACAGATGATGAATTTGTTTTCTGTAACTCCCTTCTGAAGTACATATTATCCTCACATTATAAATTAGGCAACTGAGGTTCTACCAAGATATTTGAATTTACTAAGGTTTACTCAGCCAATAAAGTAATTTAAATTTTATATGTAACTTTAGAGGAAAACATATTAATAGAAAATGATTATTTAAGAAAAAATTCTTGAACTAGGCTTTGATTAAAGAGATCATTGCAGGCTGGGCACAGTGGCTCATGCCTATAATCCCAGCATTTTAGGAGGCCAAGGCAGGAGGATCGCTTGAGACCAGCAGCTCGAGACCAGCATAGGCAACACAGTGAGACCCTGTCTCTACCAAAAAAAAAATAAAAAATTCCAGGTGCAGCGGCACATGCCTGTAGTCATAGTTACTCAGGAGACTGATGTGGGAGGATCATTTGGGCCCAGAAGGTTGAGGCTGCAATGAGCCAAGATCGAGCCACTGCACTCCAGCCCAGGCAATGGAGAGAGCCTGTCTCATGGAAAAACAAAAAATCATTGCAGAGTTAAATATTCTGAATGACATAGCATATAAACACTTCCTAGAGACTTTCAAAGAAGGGGGAAGTCATTTATTGACAGCAAACTGTGTGAAAGAGGTAAGGTTGATACAGAATCTGACAAAGAGATCATATAACAGATGATAGAAATTGGTAAGAACCTGATTAAGGAAGAACAAGAGATAGTAAGATTATTTCGTAATTGAGGTTTTGAAATTCTGTTATGGATCATTGTGGAAATATATATGTATTAAAGAGCTATATTGTTGTTATTAAGAAAAGTCAAGTCATAGCTTATAAAATAACTTATAAAATAAGTCATAGCTTATAAAATAGAAGTTTTTTTTCATTTTTATATTCATTGGGCTTTAGCTTGTCAATCAATATTATATCAAGGAATGACTCTTCTTCCAACTGAGAAAGGAATTTCCAAAGTAGTGCAAATTTCCTACCCTACTTCTGTAACTCCCAGGAAAATCATTAAATACCTTATTAATTCACTGAGCTAGAGTATAGAAACTACACTTCAGTGATTTGGCAGGGGTACAGTTTGCTCTATAAAATAGTGCCATGGAATATGCATCAATATTATGTCTCAGCTTATTTGTTTTACTAACTTACTGGTGTAAGAGTTTATAAGGGACATAGTCAATTTGAGTTACATCTTTTATTAAGATTCAAGATTCAGCCATTTTATTGTAAAGGATCATTATGATATTCAAAACTTAGAAACCTGAAGATATTCAGAAATTATCTTTACCTAAGTTATCTTAATTATCAATATTGAATCTCTGTTTTGTAAGTGTTTTTTATCAGACATTAATTTACATGTGATGGCATTAATCTACAGTGTTCAGCACAATACTGTTAATATATAATCTCCTGGAAAAACAAATTATACTTGAAACCACAGGGTTTAATACAAAGCAGCATAAAAGTAAGTATTAAATTTGTGGCACAGCCTGCAAGTTGTGCTAAACAATTAGAAGGAGAGGGAGAAGGAGAAATAATTTGAACAAGGCATAGTTTTTAGGAAAATACATGAATTATAAAATCTTTTAAAAGTGTTTGCCTGTTTTCAGTGAGCTAATTACCTTATCTCAATTAAGTAATTTGAAGCTATTTAGCACTATAAAGAGAGAAGAATATAAGACCAAAATAATAATAAAATATATGGAAGTTATTGAAATGTGATAACAAATAGCAAATATTAAAGTTAATCCAACCATATCTGTGACCATATTAAGTGTGAGGAAATTAAACTTTAGCATACTAGCAGAAAAGATATAAAAAGACAGAAAGTTATACACAAGGTGACTATCACAAATGAAATCTAAGGTAGCCATAAAATATTAGGGGAAATAAACTTTAAGAAAAAGTACTAAAGTTGTATGTAGCTTCAAAATATACAATACAAAATTTGATAGCAAGGGAGATAAATGGACAGTTTCACTATAATAGTAGTAGGTTATTTCAACATTTTTTAATAGGTGAAGCAGATTAAAAATCAGTAAAAATATATAAGATTTTAACAATACACTTAAGATTAATTTTAAAGGCAAATATAATATCCAACAATCAGAGAATGAGATGATTTTGCATTCAAAACAGAAGAGGAAAATATGTCTTTTAGTTAGAAAAGGAGTTAAAAGAACTAGTTAACCATTCAGAAATGAGTAACTGATTTTTAAAAAGTAGATGGAAAGTAATAAGAATATACATTAATGAACTAGGAAATAATACAATTATGGGATCAAGAATATAAAAGTTGATATTCTGAAAAAACAAATAAAATTGACAAACTATCATAGAGGTTAGGTTCCAGATGAGCACACCAGGTATAAACTTCCAGACTCTTAAGGCCTGGGCTCAGAGATGGGTACATCATTACTTTCAGTTTATTCCGTTGTATTCTGTTTATCAAAGAGTCACAGATTCAGATTCATATACCCACTTCTCAATGGAAGGAGTGTTGAAGAATTTGGAGACCATGTTTTAAAACTAGCACAGCAAATTCTACCAAATATTCAAATGTTTGAAGAAATAATAATTTCAGTCTTTAAAATATCTTTTAGAGAATAGAAAAAGAGGAAATATTACCTAAATTAGTCTATGAATCTAATATAATCTGATGTCAAAGCCTGACAAGAAGAGAAAAGGAAAAATTATAGGCTGTTCTTTGTTGAGAATATGTATGCCAAAGTCCTAAATAAAATATTAACAAAAGAAATCCAGCAGGTATATAAAAAGTAAATTATCATGACAAGGTGAGATTATCTAATGAATAAAAGAAAGTATTTGCAAATTCAAAGAATCTCTAAATATAATTCACCATGTTAATATATTATTCAAGAATATGCACAAGAAACATTTGAAAAAATTCAAAGCTTTTTTATGATTAAAAAACTCATAAAGAAACAAAATGTTTAGCGAACTATTATGTAAGGGAATTTTGTTAATTGATGACAGCACATCTTAGCAGTAAAATGATAGAAAGCATTGTTTTTAAAAATGGAAAAAGATAAGGTACCCACTGTCAACACTTCAAGTATAATCCTCAAGTTCCAGTCAATGCAATAAGATAAGTAAAGGAAATACTCATTTAAAATATTTAAAAGAAACAAATTTTTATTTAAAATTCCAGACTTGCCTACAGAGGAGACTCAAAAGAATCCATTGATTGTGAGATTTGACACAGGAGGTTAGTAAAGTAACTGGATATGAGATCAGTATACTAATATCAGTTGCTTTTCTCTCTTCTAACAACAAATATTTATTAATTATTTTCATCAGTTTTATTAAATGCCTACTACATACCACACCCTGTTTTAGGTGCTTGGATAAATTAATAACATATATAGCCAACAATCCTTATCCTCATGAGAGTACTTTCTGTAATGACTCCTACATTTACAATGACAAGAGCAAGCAAATAAAAGATACTTAGGAAACCTGGGGGCTGGGGGGAAGGTCAGTTTTGTGGAGAAAATTTGGAATTATAGCCATGAAAGTTTACCTAAATGAATGAAAAGCTCTACCATGTTTATCAATAGAAATATTTCACTTCATAATTATATTGTTTTCTGCAAGTGATTTCTAAATTCATTGCATTTCCGACCAAAGTGGAATTTTGGGGATTTTTGTGAAATGTGATGTTTTATTTTAAAATTTATATGGAAGAATGAAGACTCAAAATGGGTGAGACTTTGAAGGATAAAGTGATGGGACTTGTCATACCAGGTAATAAGATGTATAAAGTTTGTGGTATTGGTTCAGGGAAAGACATATCTATCAAAAGAACGTGGGGGTCCCAAAACTTAAGAATACAGAAGTGACATTACAGTAAATGGGAGTGGACTTACAACAACTGTGGTTCAACAGTGGCTATACCAATGCAAGTAAATAAGACTTTACACCTTGTGTAAAAATCATTTGAGTTAGCTTAAAAATGTAAGTGTGGAAAACAAAACTTTAAAACATTTAGAAGTTAGGACCTCAAGGTAAGGGTTTCCTAGATAAAACTTAAAAAGCTCTAAGTCTGCAGGAAAATACTGATAATTTCAGCTAAATTACAAATGAAAACCAGTGCCCATTAAAATATGTCATTAAAAAATAGGGAAAAATGTTATAAGCAGGAGAAGTATTTACAATACATATGGCCAATAAAATATTTATATTCCATGAGATGTAAACATTTTCTACAATTCAAAAAGAAAAATACCAATGACCCAAGAGGAGAAATGCATAAAATAACTTTTAAAATAGAAGATGCATTAATGGTAAATAAAAATATACTGAAATTATTGGTGGTAAATATTTATTACCATTAATGGTAACTAAACAAGATAATTATCTTACAAATTTGAAAAATGCAAATAAAGACTACGACCACAAGATTATTTTATACCCTGTAATTTGGCAGGAATTAAGAAAGCTGAAGGTATCATTTGTTAATGAGAATGTAGAGCAATGGAATGCCTTTACATTTACATTGCTACCCTGCCTGTAGGAATCTAAACTGGCAGAGCCACACTGAAAAACAATCTGATAATAATTCACTATTTGAAGTTAAATTTCCACATTTCCTACAGACAACACACACACACACACACACACACACACACACACACACACACACACACACACCCTCACCCTAAGAGAAGCTCTTGTACCTGCACCTTAGGAGGCTATTGTTAGCAGAATCATTCAGAATAGCAACAAACTATGATAAAAATGACACAAATATACATATCAGTAGCAAAATAGATAAGTAGAATTTGGCATATTAGAATGAAATATCATATGCAAGAGCATAGATGTATTAGAAACATAATGAAGTCATAGAAGACTAACACCATACCATATACTTCTTAAAGCTCAGAAGCAAACAAAACTAAGTATGGGAATACGTATTCGCATAAAACTCTAGAATTCAAAAAGGAAAGGGAATGATAAATGCAAATTCAAAACAATGCTTGCATCTCCTGAAGCACAAGGAAATGGGATTGGGAGAGAAGTTGTACTTCATGGCATTGGTGATGTTCCATTTCTTATGTTACGTGGTTTATTCATAAGAATTGTTTATTTTGTTATTTATGCCTCATAATGTGTATGTTATGTGTATTCCTCTTTGCTTACCAAGTTACAAAATAATTTTTAAAATTTAAAAATGTGTAAGAGGATTGAGTTGATATGTCTGAGTAACTTATGTGAGGCATTCTGACTACCTTATTTTATGAGTATCTAATATTTTCAGGTGACTAGTTAGTAAAATGACTAATCTGAATGACTTTTCCTTTATCTTTTGCTTTATTCAGAGTCTCATTTTTGTGATCTCCATTTATGTTTTACAAAAGATGGAACTTTTCACTTTTTTTGAGTTATGATCACATTATGTTCTACTTTGATAGGAGGAGAAAAGTTGCCCCTAAATTGAAAAACTCGTAAAATGAAACTCTTCAGTCTAATTACATACCTGTGCTGCTGCTTAAAGGAATAGGGTACAAAGTTTACAGTGATAAAGGGAGAGCAAAGAATACTAATTTCTTACTGTGAGGAATATAACATGGGGATCATTTTAGCCACAATATGAAGATTATGTTTGGCAATAATGACATAAGTAAATTGGGACCAAAAGCAATATTCTTCAGTGATATATCAAATGCTGCTTAATAGTGTTTGTACTTACTACTTGTTCCTTCTGCTTATAAGTTTCTTTCCCCAGAATGTCTTAATGCTAGCTGAGTGTTCATACTTATGTCTCAGCTTAGTCGTCTACTCAAGAGATGCCATCTCTCTTGGTGCAAAACCTAAAACAGCACCTGGGTCATAGAGGATCTCTAAGTACTTATTAAAGAAAGAAATGAGAAAAGATAAAAAGAATAACAGCTTACATTCTACAAGTGTGTTTAGAATATTTGAGACTGGGGAAGAGTAGAGGTGCAGAGAAAGTTTAGTCAAAATACTTACTAGTAAGGCCTGGCATGGTGGCTTATGCCTGTAGTCTCAACTATTTGGGAGGCCGAGGCAGGTAGATTGCTTGAGCCCAGGTGTTTGAGACCAGCCTGAGCAACATGGCAAGACCCTGTCTTTACAAAAAATACAAAAAAATTTATCCAGATGTGGTGGCAAGTTCCTGTAAGCCAAGCCCTTCGGGAGGCCGCAGGAGGTGGATTGCTTGAGCCCAGGAATTCGATACCAGCCTAAGCAACATGGCAAGACCCCATCTTTACAAAAAATACCAAAAAATCTAGCCAGGTGTGGTGGCAAGTTCCTGTAGTCCCAGCTACCCAGGGGGCTAGGTGGGAGGATTGCTTGAGCTGGGAGGTTGAAGCTGCAGTGAGCCATGATCACACCACTGCATTCCAGCCTAGTCAATGGTAAGACCCTGTCTCAAAAAAAAAAAAAAAAAAGAAAAAGAAAAAAATTACAGAAAAGCAATAAAAAATGAAAGCATTTCTGAAATGTCATATTAGAATATATTATACATACATTAAAAAAGGTAATCATTATTTTATTAAGAATAATGGTGTCTGGTTTCATCAAAATAGAGTAAAACATAAATTTGTTATGATATTTTTGAAAACTATAGAATATTTTAAAACCATCTTTATTAAAAGATGATATATGGTTAAAATTATTTTTATGTGGTATGTGTGTATGTGTAGTTAGTATATTTTGAACTTACAAAATAAAAATCTATCTGCATGCTAAGGAAAAAAAAGAAAACTAATTGCTATAAGAAGAAAATTAATTATAATATCTAAATTTTCACAGATGTACCAAAAAGTGAAGAAGGATCAAAATATACTCACTGTGGACAATGTGAAGAGTGTTCTCCAAAATACATTTCCTCATGCTAATATTTGGGATATTTTGGGAATTCATTCTAAATATGATGAAGAAAGAAAGGTAAGTTGGGACATTATGTTAAGTGGAGTAGGCCAGGCACAGAAAGACAAACACCACATGATCTCTACTCATGTAGAATCTTTAAAAAAAGTCAGACTCACAGAAACAGAGTAAAATGGGGGTTACCAGAGGCTGGGGATGGCAGAATTGGGGAGATATTGGTCAAAGGATACAAAATTTCAGTTAGACTAGAGAAATAAGTTCAAGAGATCTATTGTACATGGTGGTGACTGTAGTTAATGACATATTTTATACTTGAAATTACTAAGTACATTTTAAGGATTCTCACCACAAAATATGAGAAGTATATGAGGTAATGCATATGATAATTAGCTTTATTAGCTATTCCACAATGTATATTAATATCAAAATGTCATATATCATAAACATATATATTTTTTACTTGTCATTTTTTAAAAGGTGAACAATTAGAGACTCAACCCAGAAGATTCGGAAAGAGCCAAAAAAAAAAAAAAAAAAGGCAACAACTCAAAGAAATTTTCAGAGAAAGAGAAATAGTACAAAGAAATTCCAAAAATTAATGTATAGGAGCCTTCATTAGAAGGGACTCACCAAATACGCAACACATTGAATGAAAGAGGAATGCTCTGGGGTATGGGGATAAGGAATACTTTTCTGAAGAAGTGATATTTAAGCAGAATCCTGAAGCAGGAGGAAAAGTTAGACAAAAGAAAACAAGGGGGTTGTAAGAGATTAACATTCCAGTCAGAAAAATATTGTGTTCTGAGATGTAAAGGAATTGAGAGAAGCTGATGTTGCTACTGTGTAGATTGAAAGCATATGTTGTTCCTGTGTTATAGGGTACAGTCGAGGAGATAAGGCTGGAGAGGCAAGCAAGGGGTCTGAATATACAGGGTCTTGTGAACAACATTTAATGCACTCATGTCAGTAGAAGCTCTTGGCAACAGTGAAAAACCTGAAAGGCATTAAGTAGTGAAGTGACAGTGACATGCATTTTTTTTCTAAAGAGCATTCTCCATTGTTGAGAATGGATTGTTGGTGGGGAGGAGTAGGTGTGGTGATATGTATTAGGAAACATAAGGTGAGAGATGTGAGATGGACTAGTAGGCTTTTGGAAGAAGTGGAGGCAGAGAAAATGGACATATTTGAATTATTTAGGAAGTACCATCCAGGTGCTGCTGGATTGGATAAGGTAGAGGGGAGATGAGAAATTGTCAAGGGTAACTCCCAGGGTTCAGCTGAACAACTAACTGGTAGTGTTGATGCCATTGCCAAGAAGGAAAGGAGTGGAGGAGTTTATCCTTGTTAAACTATAAGCTTTAGGAGAGAGTTTGCATATCATTTACATGCATTCATAAACCTAAGACATAGTAGGTGCCCACTAAACGTACAGATAGTATAGTACAGTGGTTAAGAGTTCAGACTCTTGGTCAGACAGATCTGGGTGCAAATTCCATTTCCAAAACATTGTAGCTGTGTAACATAAGAAGTGATTTAATCTCTCTGTATCTGTTTTATCATCTGTAAAATTGATGTAATAGTAGTACTTGGCTTCCTAGAGTATTTGTGAGAATGTTGGCTATAATAATGATAATACTTAGTATTGGATAGCAAATGAGTTATTTAGTCACTTTTTAACTCATAAGCTAAAATTCAAATGTTGAGGACCTTCATGATCTGGCCTCTGCCTACACCCCTCTCTAACTCCGTATCTGACAGCTGTCCCCCATATTTCACACCCTGTAAACACTGCTGTATTAGTCCATTTTCACGCTGCTGATAAAGACATACCTGAGACTGGGCAATTTAGAAAAGAAAGTGGTTTAATGGACTTACAGTTCCACGTGGCTGGGGAAACCTCACAATCATGGCAGAAGGTGAAAGGCATGTCTCACATGATGGCAGACAAGAGAAGAGAACTTGTGCAGGGAAATTCCCCCTTATAAAACCAGCAGATCTCATGAGACATATTCACTGTCACGAGAATAGCATGGGAAAGATCTGCCCTCATGATTTCATTACCTCCCACTGGGTCCCCCCACAACATGTGGGAAATGTGGGAGCTAAAATTTAAGATAAGAATTGGGTGGGGACACAGCCAAACCATATCAACTGTGAATTTACCATTGCATAAGTATACCACACTCTTACTTCCCTTGCTATATTCTCCTCACTTGGACTGTCTTTCTCTATTTTATCTCTCTGGCAAATTTTTATTAAGCCTTTAAGATTTTTAGTATGACTCCCTAAAAGAAGACCTGTATGATCCCTTCCTCTCCATACTCCAGCTTGATTAGGTGCTTCTCCTGGGCCCCATAGAGTCTTCTACATGCCTGTGTTTTGTCTGTCTGTATGTGAACCCCTTGAGAAAAGACTTTCAGCTCTATAATCACAGTATCTAGCCTAATGCAGGTGGCAGGATTGAATAAGTGTTTATTGAACATATAAATACAGGGATAAATAAGTCTCTGATGCCGATAAATGTTTGGATGTTTATTAAGTTAATGTCATACTCTATACCAAGAATCAGCAAGTCCACCCACTGCTTGTTTTTGTAAATATTTTGGGGACACAGCCATACTTGTTTATTCATATGTCGTCTATGACTGCTTTTGTGCTGTAACGAGAGTGGAGTCACTATGTCAGAAACTGAGTGGCTCACAAAGCCTAAAATATTTACTCTCTGGCCCTTTACATAAAAAGTTTTTTGACTCCTTGTAGGTAAATTACTTTCCTTTAGGCAATGTTTGGAAAGGACAGATAAAGTTAGCAAAATGGATGTTTTTTCCTATGGCATATAAAAATGTGGCGGTGTTCCATTTTCTTATGTTTATTATTCAAACAATCATATTTTGTTTAACACTCTGATATTTTTTAACTGAATAGGCTGGAGCAAGCTTTTATAAGATGACTGGCCTGGGTCCTTTGCCTCAAGCTCTTTATAATGGTGAACCCTTTAAACATGAAGAGATGAATATTAAAGAACTAAAAATGGCTGTTCTTCAAAGAATGATGGATGCATCTGTATATTTACAAAGAGAAGTTTTTTTGGTAGGTAAGCATTTATAAGAAAATACATGATGAATATTTATAAATGATGTTTTTATTAAAAACTTATTTTAATGACAGAAGTTGATTTGGTAAAAAATTTCCATTCTGATCATTTCATAGTGATTTTTAAAATGATACTTTTAGCAGCTTAAGCCACGCCACCCTGCCTGTGCAGAGACTGTGGTGCAGTGGGGCCCTTTATACTCCATGCCCAGGCAGATCTTCAGGAATCTGGAACACCCACTGTCCTCGATTAGGAGTTTAGGCTACCCCGCTCCCTCTGCAGAGAACTTGGAGCCAAGGAGGTTTCCCA
Source organism: Homo sapiens (assembly GCF_000001405.40). NCBI lineage: Eukaryota > Metazoa > Chordata > Mammalia > Primates > Hominidae > Homo > Homo sapiens. The sequence continues at coordinate 95,936,610 of NC_000013.11, read as the reverse complement.
GCTCCATGCCTAGGCACACCTCTAGACACCTGGTGGTTGCCCACTGTATTCTCCCTCAGTGTTGGTGCTTGTGCCTGCCGTTGGGGTACCTGTAGGCAGGCCTGCTCAGCCTGGCCCTGCCCATCTTGCCCACCATGTCTGAGCAGGGAGGCCAGACCACTGTGCACACCACAGATCAGCCCATTGCCTGAGACAACAGAGAGATTATCCCAGTAACAAGGATCAAGTATATACCCTGCCATGTTGGCCTCAGCTGGCTTTTACTCATAAGGGCTATCTACTAGCTTGTAGGTCAAACCACACAGCCCAAAGTAAAATCAGCTGATAGAAATGCATAGGCTATAGAAGCATCACTTAAGGAATTTCAAAATATAATTGAAAGCTTTATCAATAGACTGGACCAAGCAGGAGAAAGAATTTCAGAGCTTGAAAACCAGTCTTTTGACCTAACCCAGTCAGACAAAAATAACAAAAAAGAATTTAGGTCAGGCATGGTGGTTTATACCTGTAATCCCACCTCTTTGGGAGGTCAATTCAAGAGGATCACTTGAGCTGATGAGTTTGAGACCAGCCTGGGCAACACAGTGAGACCTCTGCTCTACAAAAAAACTTAAAACTTAGCCAGGTGTGGTGATGAGTGCCTCTAGTCCCAGCTGCTCGAAAGGCTGAGGCAAGAGGATCACTTGAGCCTAGGAGATGGAGGCTGCAGTAAGTCATGATCATGCCACTGCACTCTAGCCTGGATGACAGAGCGAGACCCTGTCTGAAAAGAAGAATTTTTAAAAATGAACAAAGTGTTCAAGAAATACGGGATTATGTTAAAGGAACCAAACCTACAAATTATTGGCATTCCTGAGAGAAAAGGAGAAAAAGTAAACAACCAGGAAAACATATTTGAGGGAATAATTCAAGAAAATTTCCCTCATCTTGCTAGTGAAGTAGACGTTCAGTTACAAGAAATTCAGAGAACACTGTGAGATACTATACAAGGTCAGCATCACCAAGGCTTATAGTCACCAAACTGTCCAAGGTCAGTGCTGAAGTAAAAATCTTAAAGGCAACTAGAGAAAAAAGGCAGATCACATACGAAGGGAACCCCATCAAACTAACAACAGTGGTCTATTTTCAGCATTCCTAAAGAAAAGAAATTCCAACCAAGAATTTTGTGTCCTGTCAAACTAAGCTTCATAAGTGAATGAGAAGTAAAATCTTTCCCAGACAAGCAAGCACTAAAGGAATTCATTAGCACTAAACGGGCCTTACAAGAGCTCTTTAAGGGAATGGAAGAATGGTACAAAAACACACTTAAGTACATAGCCCACAGACCCTATAAAGCATCCACATCATAGAAACTGAAAAGCAGACAGCTAAGAACTTCACATAGGATCAAAACCTCGTGTACCAATATTAACCTTGAATATAAATGGCCTAAGTGCCTCACTTAAAAGGCACAGAGTGGCAATTGGATAAAAAACAAGACCCATCTGTCTGCTGTCTACAGGAGACGGGCTCAAAGTAAAGGGTTTGAGAATTATCATGCAAACAAAACAAAACAAAACCAGGAGTTGCTATTCTTAGATAAAACAAACTTGAAACCAACAATAGATAATTATAAAGTGTTCAACAAGAAGACTTAAGTGTCCCAAATATATATGCACCAACACTGGAGCACCCAGATTCGTAAAACAAATACTTCCACACCTATGAAAAATCTTAAGGCAGCTGCGCAATAATAGTGGGAGACTTCAACTCACCCACTGTTATTGAACTAACCCAGTCAGACAAAAATAAAAAAGAATTTAGGCCAGAAATGGTGGTTCATGCCTGTAATCCCACCACTTTGGAAGGTCAATCCAAGAGGATCGCTTGAGCTGAGGAGTTTGAGACCAGCCTGGGCAACACAGTGAAACCTCTCCACAAAAAACTTAAAACTTAGCCAGGCGTCATGGTGGGTGCCTGTAGTCCCAGCTACTCAAAAGGCTGAGGAAGGAGGAAGACAGCAGACAGATGAGTCTTGTTTTTTATCCAACTTGCCACTCTGTGCTTTTTAAGTGAGGCGTGTAGGCCATTTATATTCAAGGTTAATATTGGTACATGAGGTTTTGAGCCTGTCATGAAGTTCTTAGCTGGCTCCTTGCCATTTCTATCGTGTGTTAGACACTGACAGTGTTAGACAGATTATCGAGGCAGAAAACTAACAAATTCTGGACTTAAATGGACACTGATCAGTTAGACCTAATAGACATCTACAGAACATTCCACCCATCAGCCACAGAATATTTATTCTTTTCAGCTGCACACAGAGCATACTCCAAGATCAAGCACATGCTTGGCCATAAAGTAAGTCTCAATAAATTTTTTAAAGTCAGAATCATACCAGTCATACTCATGGACCACAGTAGAATAAAAATAGAAATCAGAACTCAGAACATCTCTCAAAACTACATAATTACATGGAAATTAAATAACTTGCTTTTGAAATCACTTTTGGGTAAACTGAAATTAAGGCAGCAATAATAAAAATTCAAATAAATGAAAACAAACAACATACGAAGATCTCTGGCATGCAGCAAAAGCAGTTTTCAGAGTTATAGTGCTAACCACCTATCTCAAAAATTTAGAACTATCACCAGGCGCGGTGGCTCACGCCTGTAATCCCAGCACTTTGGGAGGCCGAGGTGGGCAGATCACGAGGTCAGGAGATCGAGACCATCCTGGCTAACACAGTGAAACCCCATCTCTACTAAAAGTACAAAAAAAAATTAGCTGGGCCTGGTGGCTGGTGCCTGTAGTCCCAGCTACTCTGGGGGCTGAGGCAGGAGAATGGCATGAACCCGGGAGGCGGAGCTTGCAGTGAGCCGAGATACAGCCACTGCACTCCAGCCTAGGTGACAGAGCAAGACTTCGTCTCAAAACAAAAAACAAAAACAAAAAAATTTAGAACTATCTCAAAATAATGACTTAACATCACACCAAGAGGAATTAGGAAAAACAAGAATGAACTAACCTCAAAGCTAGCAGAAGAAAAGAAATAACTAAAATCAGAGCAGAATTGTACAAAATTGAGACCCAAAAATTTATACAATGAATCAGTGAAACCAAAAGTTAGCTCTTGGAAAGGACAAGATCGATAGACCACTAGCTAGATTAACAGAAAAAGGAGAAACGATCTAAATAAGCACAATCAGAAGCAACAAAGGTGACATTACAACTGATCCCATAGAAATACAGAAGATCCTCAGAAGACCTCTATGCATACAAACTGGAAAATCTAGAGGATATGGATAAATTCCTGGTCTCCCAAGATTGAATCAGGAAGAAATTGACACCCTGAGCAGACTGATACTGAGTTCCATAATTGAATCAGTAATAAAAAACCTACCAACCAGTAAAAGCCCTGGACCAGATGGATTCATAACTGAATTCTGCCAGATGTATAAAGAAGAACTGTTACCAATCCTACTGAAACTATTCCAAAAAACCAAGGAGGAGTGATTAATGCCTCCCTAACTCATTCTGCAAAACCTGTGTTATCCTGATACCAAAACCTGGCAAACATGCAATGAAAAAACTACAGGCTAGTACCATTGATGAACATAGATGGAAAAATCCTCAACAAAATACTAGCAAACTGAATCCAGCAGCATATCAAAAAATTAATTCACCGTAATCAAATAGGCTTCACTCCTGAGAAAGGTTGGTTCAACATTAACAAATCAGTAAATGTCATTCACCACATACACAGAATTTAAAACAAAAAATGTGATCATTTTGATAGATGCTGAAAAATTATTCAATAAAATCAAACATCCCTTCATGATAAAAACCCTCAACAAACTGCATTGAAGGAACATACCTCAAAATAATAAACGCCATCTATGACAAACCCACAACCAACATCATACTGAACAGTGAAAAGCTGGAAACATTCCCCTTGAGGACTGGAACAGGAAAAGGATGCCCAGTCTCACTATTCCTATTCATCATAGTACTGGAAGTCTTAGAGCAATCAGGCAAGAGCAATAAATAAAAGGCATCCAAATAGTAAAAGAAGTCCAGTATCTCTCTTCACTGATGATATGATTCTACACCTAGAAAACCCTAAAGACTCCACCGGACAACTCCTAGAACTGATAAATTACTTAAGTAAAGTTTCAGGATTCAAAATTAATGCACAGCAATCAGTAGCATTTCTATAGACCAATAACATTCAAGCTGAGAGCCAAATCAAGAATGCAGTCCCATTTACAATAGCCATACACACACACACACACACACACACACACACACACACACACAAATAAAATACCTAGGAATACAGCTAACTAAGGAGATGAAAGATCTCTACAAGGATAATTACTAAACACTGCTGAAAGTGATCATATATTATGCAAACAAATGGGTAAACATTCCATGCTCACGGATTGGAAGACTAAATATTGTTAACATGGCCATACTGCCCAACACAATCTACAGATTTAATGCTATTCATATCAAACTGCCAATGTCATTATTCACAGAATTGGAAAATACTATTCTAAAATTAATATGGAACCAGAAAAGAGCCCAAATAGCCAAGGCAATTCCAAGAAAAAGAACAAATCTGAAGGCATCATATTGAGAGGTGACAATGTGCTGGTGGCCCTTGCTCACTCTCAGCACCTCCTTGCCCTCGGCGTCCGCTCTGGCCATGCTCGAGGAGCCCTTCAGCCTGCCACTGCACTGTGGGGGCCCCTCTCTGGGCTGTCCGAGGCCGGAGCCGGCTCCCTCTGCTTGCGGGGAGGTGTGGAGGGAGAGGCGCGGGCGGGAACCAGGGCTCCGCGCCACGTTCATGGGCCAGCGCGAGTTCCGGGTGGGCGTGGGCTCAGCAGGCCCTGCACTCAGGCCGGCGGGCGCTGCCGGCCCGGGCAGTGAGGGGCGTAGCACCCGGGCCAGCAGCTACAGAGGGTGCGCTGGGCCAGCACTGTGCTCGAATTCTCGCTGCCTCATCTGCCTCCCCCTGGGTCAGGGCTTGGGACCCGCAGCCCGCCATGCCTGAGCCTCCCCCCCACCCCCACCCCACCCCACCCTGCCCCGGCACCGTGGGGTCTTGCGCAGCCCGAGCCTCCCCGACGAGTGCTGCCCCCTGCTCCGCGGCGCCCAGTCCCATTGACCGCTCAAGGGCTGAGGAGTGCCGGTGCAAGGTGCGGGAGTGGCGGGCAGCTCCCCCTGCGGCCCAGGTGTGGGATCCACTAGGTGAAGCCCCTGGGCTCCAGAGTCTAGTGGGGACTTGGAGAACCTTTATGTGTAGCTGAGGGATTGTGAATACACCAATCAGCACTCTGTGTCTAGCTCAAGATTTGTAAACACACCAATCAGTACCCTGTGTCTAGCTGGAGGTTTGTAAATGCACCAATCAGTGCTGTGTCTAGCTCATCTAGTGGGGACTTGGAGAACTTTTGTGGCTAGCTCAGGGATTGTAAACACACCAATCAGCACCCTGTCAAAACGGACCAATCAGCTCTCTGTAAAACAGACCAATCAGCTCTCTGTAGAATGGACCAATCAGCAAGATGTGGGTGGGGCCAGATAAGGGAATAAAAGCAGGCTGCCCAAGCCAGCCGTGGCAACCCGCTTGGGTCCCTTTCCATGCTGTGGGAGGTTTGTTCTTTTGCTCTTTGCAGTAAATCTTTCTGCTGCTCAGTCTTTGGGTCCGTGCTGCCTTTGAGAGCTGTAACACTCACCATAAAAGTCTGCACCTTCACTCCTGAAGCCAGCGAGACCACCAACCCACCAGAAGGAGAAAACCCCGAACACATCTGAACATCAGAAGGAACAAACTCTGGACACTCCATCTTTAAGAACTGTAACACTCACCGCGAGGGTCCACAGCTTTATTCTTGAAGTCAGTGTGATCAAGAACCCACCAATTCCGGACACAGTATTACCCAACTTCACAGTACACTATGAGGCTACAGTAACCAGAGCAGCATGGTACTGGTACAAAAATAGACACATAGACTAATGGAACAGAGTAGAGAACCCAGAAATAAAGCCACACACCTACAAACATTTTAGCTTTGAAAAGTTGATGAAAATTAGTGGGAAAAGGGTCCTCGATTCAATAAATGGTCCTAGGATAGTTGGCTAGCCATATGCAAACAAAACTGGACCCCTACTTTTCACCACGTTCAAAACTTAACAAGATGGATTAAACAGTTAAGTATAAGACTTAAAACTATAAGAATTCTAGAAGAAAACCTAGGAAACACCGTTCTGGACATCAGTCTTGGGAAAGAATTTATGGCTAAGATCTCAAAAGCAATTGCATCAAAAACAAAAATTTGACGAGTGGGACCTAATTAATTAAAGAGTACAACAAAAGAAACTCGCAACAGAGTAAACAGACAGCCTACAGAATATACAGAAAATATTCACAAACTGTATATCCGACAAAATTCTAATATCCATAAGTAGCAAATAAATCAAGCAAAGAATAAATAACCCCATTAAAAAGTAGGCAAATGACATTAACAGGTACTTCTCAAAAGAAGACACGCAGGCGGCCAACAAGCATATAAAGAAATGTTCAACACTACTAATCCTTAGAGAAGTGCAAATCAAAACCAAAAGGAGACACCATCTCGTACCATTTAGAATGGCTGTTATTAAGTGAACAAACAACAGATGCTGGTGAGGCTGAGGAGGAAGGGGAACGCATATACACTGTTAGTGGGGATGTAAATTAGTTCAGCCCCTTTGGAAAGCAGTTTGTAGATGTTTCAAAGAACTTAAAACAGAACTACCATTCAACCCAGCAATCCCATTACTGGGTACATCTCCAGAGGAAAATAAATCGTTCTACCAAAAAGACACATGTATGTTCACTGCAGCACTATTCATAATAGCAAAGATGTAGAATCAGCCTAGGTGTCCATCAGTGGTGGATTGGTTAAAGAAAATGTGGTGCATATATACACCATGGAATACTACGCACCCATTAAAAATGAAATCGTCCCCTTTGGAGCAACATGGACTCAGCTGGAGGCCAAGCAAACTAACACAGAAACAGGAAACCAAACACTGCATGTTCTCTCTTATGAGTGGGAGCTAAACATTTGGTACTCATAGACATAAAGATGGCAGCAAGAGACACTGGGGATTTCTAGAGGGGAGAGGGAAGGAAAAAGTCAGGGAAGGGTTGGAAAACTATCTGGTACTATGCTAACTACCTGGGTAATGGGATCAGTCATAACCCCAACTTCAGCATTACATGATACACCTGTGTTGTAACCAATCTGCATGTGTACCCTCGAATCTAAAATAAAAGCTGAAATTCTTTAAAAATATATTTAATTAAATTTATCTTAGGCATAATTGCATCTAAAATTGCTTAATTGGAAAAAGTTGTAATTTTTACAAGGAAATGTATTCTCCCTCCCCCTCTCCCTCATCTCCCTCTGATGCCAAGCCGAGGCTGGACTGTACTGCCTCCATCTTGGCTCACTGCAACCTCCCTGCCTGATTCTCCTGCCTCAGCCTGCCTAGTGCCTGGGATTGCAGGCGCGCGCCGCCACGCCTGACTGGTTTTCGTATTTTTTGGTGGAGACGGGGTTTCGCTGTGTTGGCCGGGCTGGTCTCCAGCTCCTGACCTCGAGTGATCTGCCAGCCCCGGCCTCCCGAGGTGCCGGGATTGCAGATGGAGTCTCGCTCACTTAGTGCTCAATGTTGCCCAGGCTGGAGTGCAGTGGCATGATCTCGGCTCACTACAACCTCCACCTCCCAGCCGCCTGCCTTGCCCTCCCAAAGTGCCGAGATTGCAGCCTCTGCCCGGCCGCCACCCCGTCTAGGAAGTGAGGAGCATCTCTGCCTGGCCGCACATCATCTGGGATGTGAGGAGCCCCTCTGCCCAGCCGCCCAGTCTGGGAAGTGAGGAACACCTCTTCCCGGCCGTCATCCCGTCTAGGAAGTGAGGAGCGTCTCTGCCCGGCTACCCACCTTCTGGGATGTGGGGAGCGCCTTTGCCCCGCCGCCCCGTCTGGGCTGTGAAGAGCACCTCTGCCCCGCCGCGACCCCGTCTGGGAACTGAGGAGTGTCTCTGCCCCGCCACCACCCCGTCTGAGAGGTGAGGAGCGTCTCTGACCGGCTGCCCCGTCTGAGAAGTGAGGAGCCCCTCCGCCCAGCAGCCGCCCCATCTGGGAAGTGAGGAGCCCCTCCGCCCGGCAGCCGCCCCGTCCGGGAAGTGAGGAGCGTCTCCGCCCGGCAGCCGTCCTGTCCGGGAGGTGGGGGGCAGCCCTCGCCAGGCCAGCCGTCCCGTCGGGGAGGTGGGGGGCAGCCCCTGCCCGGCCAGCCGCCCCGTCCAGGAGGTAGGGGGCAGCCCCTGCCCGGCCAGCTGCCCCGTCCGGGAGGTGGGGGGCGCCTCTGCCCGGCCGCCACCCCGTCTGGGAGGTGTACCCAACAGCTCATTGAGAACGGGCCATGATGACGATGGCGGTTTTGTCGAATAGAAAAGGGGGAAATGTGGGGAAAAGAAAGAGAGATCAGATTGTTACTGTGTCTGTGTAGAAAGAAGTGGGCATAGGAGACTCCATTTTGTTCTGTACTAAGAAAAATTCTTCTGCCTTGGGATGCTGTTAATCTATAACCTTACCCCCAACCCCGTGCTCTCTGAAACATGTGCTGTGTCCACTAAGGGTTAAATGGATTAAGGGCGGTGCAAGATGTGCTTTGTTAAACAGACCCTGCAAGGCAGCATGTTCGTTAAGAGTCATCACCACTCCCGAATCTCAAGTACCCAGGGACACAAACACTGCGGAAGGCGGCAGGGCCCTCTGCCTAGGAAAACCAGAGACCTTTGTTCACAAGTTTATCTGCTGACCTTCCCTCCACTATTGTCCTGTGACCCCGCCAAATCCCCCTCTCCGAGAAACACCCAAGAATGATCAATAAATACTAAAAAAATTTAAAAAAACAACAAAAAAGCAAACAAACAAACAAACAAAAAAATTCAGTGAGTTAATTAATGAGAATTGTCCTGCTCACAATAGGTGCTCAAGAAATGGTTACTACCATGATTCTGGTTGTGAAGTGAAATTGCCAACACCTGAGACAGAGCTCATTAAATGTTTACCAAACTGAAGAATAAAAAAAAAAAAAAAAAAGAAAGAAAATGTATTGTAATAATTCTAAATTGCTTATTTATTTTTGATTAAGTAATCTTTGTGTTATCTGCATACTTTTTGAAACATGGATATAAATTGCCTGTATTATCTAAATAACATTTTTGTTTTTTTAGGGCACATTAAATGATCGCACGAATGCAATTGATTTTCTAATGGATAGGAATAATGTTGTACCCCGTATAAATACTTTGATTTTGCGTACTAACCAGCAGTACCTCAATTTAATATCTACATCAGGTAAAATAATCCTATACTGTTCTACAAATGTTTATTGAGTTGTGAATTCTTTATTTATATTTAACGTTTAATTTGAAATTTTTCAGTAACTGCTGATGTTGAAGATTTCTCTACTTTCTTTTTCTTGGATTCACAAGATAAGAGTGCTGTAATTGCAAAGAACATGTATTATTTAACCCAAGACGGTAATAAGCATATTTTATTTACCTGAATTCTTAAAGTGATAGAAACTTGTAATGTTCATAAGGCAGTTGTATAATAAATTTTAATATGTTGCTATTTTTGAGTAGAGGCCTAGATTTCAATTTTAGAGTTTGTAAATTTTTTAGTATTTAACGTGTGCTGAGAAAACAATGCCTTCTATTCTAACTTTGTTTATCTTATTTTTGCCTTTTTTAAACAAACTATTTTCACCTTTTTAAGAAAAGAATAAAATCTTTTCAGTACTATGTAAACTATCTTATAATGTATACAGAAAAGTACAATTACCAGATCAGAGAAGATAATAATTCTTCTGCATTCTGATTAAATAACATGCAGATATTTTGCTTAAGGTAGGGGTTACAACCAGAAGAGAGGAGACCAAGATAGTAACACACTTGGGAAAAAGGATTTAGCCAAACTGAGAAGTCTGCAGTGGGACCGTAGATTTGTTAGGGTACAATTAACTATTCAGATAGATGAATATAATTCGAATTTGGTGGTTTTTGTTTTGCTTTGCTTTGTTTTGTTTGGCCTGCTTTGCTCTAGAAATAAAAACAAGAGCCAATGAGTAAAAGATTAAAGAAGGCTGATTTTGGTCTCAGTAGGGAAGTGGTAATTTTCTAACAGTGAGAGTTCATTAAACAGATGGAATGAACTATGTTGTAAGGGGCAAACTTTTATATAGGAGAGAGATTTAAAGCAAAGGCCACACAACCAGTTCTTGTAAATGCTGTAGATTAAATCCGAGTTTCTACCAGATGGCTCCTGGATTACTGTCTAACAGATTCCATGATTTTATGTTCATAAAGGAGTCTGGCTACATATTGCTGTTTTCTATATCTACTAATAAGCTTGATTGTTACGGTTTTACATATATTTGGGACATAAATTTTTTTTTTTTAAACAAATGTAGCTAGAAGGCAGATTTGCTTACCAACACTGGGAGTTTTATATAAGCTTATATAATGAGTTACTCTTCTAACCGGAAGCTTTATATAAGCTTGTATAATGAATTACCCTTGTAGCATTTTTATATGTAATTTTATATGTATTTATTTTTGTATGTATATATACGTACTTGCATGTATACATTCACACATAACATTTTAAAAATCTTTGCTTTTCAGAAATATTATTTTAATTTTTTTTAATGTGTTAACTGCACATGTTCCCCTGCTTTTGTTTTATTTTTTAAAAAAAAAGTTAATTTGAGTAAACTGTTTGAAACTTTCAGATGAGAGTATAATTTCTGCAGTCACTCTCTGGATTATTGCAGATTTTGATAAGCCTTCTGGGAGAAAACTTCTTTTTAATGCATTAAAGCACATGGTGAGTACCTAGATATTCTTACTAACAATTTTAATTTATTTCAATTTAAGGAAAGCAATATGAAGAACATACATTAAATATTTTCCCCTCCATGTTAATGTTTCAGTTAAGTAGACGAAGGAATTCAGATTTAGTCTTCATGTAAAACAGGTAACTTTGCTCAGGAAAAGAAAAACCTACCTGTTTTCTATGACTCGTGACATATATTCTCTGGTAGTCCTTGTGATCAGACATACACATACCACATATTGATTACAAATAGGGTATTAAACAAAGTAAGTAACTCTAGACCCTACCACCACTTCAGTGACCCGAAATCCACTATTTACCAACAATAGCTAGTAATAGCAATTTTTGGTCACATAATTAAGCAGCATTTTCTTTCCCTGATTATTTAAGAAAAACTAAGTAAATTTATCTCACTGAAGAATATTTTAAGCCTTAAGTCAACATTAAATTTCTTGTTATTGATTATAAACCAGTATACTTCAAGAGGATATATTTCTGTATATAAAAGTAGTCTTTCATAACTGTCTGTATTTCTAAGTTAATATATAAGTTTATCTAGATAAAAAATACTTAAGAAACATAAACCAAAATATTTTATGAAATTGTTTTTATATTAGCTAAGTATAAATTTATTGCTGTATAACAAATTACCACTTGGTGGTAAACAGTGAACATTTATCTTAACAGTTTCTGAGGTTCAAGAATTTAGGAGCAATTTACCTGAGTGATTCTATCTTAGATTCTCTTATAAGGCTATATTTAAGATTTTGGTTATAGTTGCAGTGATCCGAAGGCTTCACTGGAGCAGGAGGACAAGCTTCTAAGATGACTCACTTACATGCCACTGCAGGAGTCCTCAGTGTTTCACTGGCTTTTAGCAGAGTGCTTCATTCCATTGCCACATAGACCTGTTTTTGGTGTTACTTAAGTGCCCTCACAACGTGGCAGCTTCCTTTTTCCAGAACAAGGGTAAAGAGATAAAGACTGAGCCACAATGTCATTTATAATCTAGCCTCAAAAGTTACACACAGTGTTTTCTGTTTGTTGAGCAAATAACTTCTATTCAGTATGAAAGGTGCTTTACAGGGCATGAATACCAGAGATGGGGATCGTTGGGGCCATCTTGGAGACTAGCTACCACGTTAAGAATAAATAATACTTCTTAAATTAAGCATTTTTATTTCATATTACACCATGTCAGAATGCATTTAGGCTTTACTCAGTAGCCTGCAGACCGGAAAATTTCAAAAAAAAAAAAAAAAAAAAAAAAAAAAAAAGCTGTTTGGGATCTATTACATCTATTGGGAGAAATTAACTTTTGCCTGCTGTTTCTTCTCAAGCGGTTCTGGGTGTGTATATTCTTTCAGAGGCTCACAAACTCCCTTTCCCCAGTTGTTTCAATGTGTCTAGCAGATAACTTTCTCTTGATTTAGTTGCTTCTTCTATAACTTTCAGAAGTGCTATCTTTTAATAATTGTTTATTCCTTATAGGATGGATGATTATTTTCATTGTCCCAAAGATTTTCAAAACCCAAGTATCATTAGAACCACAAACTAAAAACACTGTAATATATGAAGTGCAATAATCATGATGACAAGAAATAATTTTGGATCCCAAAATGCTATCTGTTGGAAATATAAAAATTGAAAAAAGATAATCATTGTCTAATCAAATCATCATTTCATTGTAGTTTTTCTTTCACCCAAGTATTTTACATTTTTTCTGGTTATTTATCACATGTTCCTTATAGAAAATCGGAAGTACATAAAATCAAAGACTAACAAGGAAGAAAAAGTAATCACCCATAAAACCTATTTTAATGTTTAGGTGTATTTCCTTTCTGGGTTTTTTATATTTATTTTTACATGGTTGAAATTATCACTTACAGTTTTATCAAAATTATTTTCTTATAATGTTAAACAATGTTGTGTCAACAAGAATTCAAATGGATACATAATAAACTGTCTACATGGAAATATTTAGTAACATTGAAAATTCAGGTGGTTTTGTTTTTTTGCTACTGTTGGTATTAATGCAGTCATAAATAATTTTGAATGTGTAGCTTATCTTATTTTTTTATTACCTCTGAGAATAGTTTATTAAAAATGACTTTGTCTCCACTAAAAATACAAAATTTGCTGGACGTGATGGCACATGCCTGTAATCCCAGCTACTGGCGAGGCTGAGGCAGGAGAATCCCTTGAACCCGGGAGGCGGAGGTTGCAGTGAGCCAAGATCACACCATTGCACTTCAGCCTGGTTGACAGAGTGAGACTCCATCTCAAAAAAAAAAAAAAAAAAGAATATGCTGAGCCAGGCATGGTGGCTCGTGCCTGTAATCCCAGCTAATCACGTGGCTGAGATGGGAAGTTTGCATGAGGCCAGGAGTTCAAGCCCAGTCTGGGCAACATAACAAGACTCTGTCTCTAAAAAAAATTTTTTTAAAAACAATTAGCCAGGTGTGGTGATGCACGCCTGTAGTCCCAGTTATTTGAGAGGCTGAGGTGGGAGGATCACTTGAGCCCAGGAGTTTGAGACTACAGTGAGCTATGATCACACCATTGCACTCTAGCCTGGGTAATAGAGTGAGACCCCATTAATTAGTCAGTGAAGAAAAGAACGTACTGAATATAAGGGTTGTTAACATTTTTAGACTCCCGATAATTTTTAACAAATGACTTTCCAAATGGCTGTTAATTTTCATAGTTTTTGAGAGGATCTGTCACATCACAGTGTTGAAAGTCTTGATTTTTGTTATACCTAATTCTTTCTGCCAATTTAAAAACAAAGAGAGTTTCTTTTTTTAAATTTTTTTGTTTTGTTTTGTTTTATTTTGTTTTGTTTTTTGAGACGGGGTCTCGCTCTGTCATTGAGGCTGGAGTACAATGGTGTGATCTCGGCTCACCACAGCACCCAACTCCTGGGCTCAAGCAATCCTCCCACCTCAGCCTCCTGGGCAGCTTGGGACTGCAGGTGCATGCCATCACACCCAGCAAATTTTTGTATTTTTTTGTAGAGACGGGTTTTGCCATGTCATCCAGGCTGGTGTCACACTCCTGAGTTCAAGTGATCCACTCGCCTCAGCTTCCCAAAGTGCTGAGATTACAGGCGTGAGCCACTGTGCCTGGCCAAAGATGGCTTCTTATTTGTATTTATTTGATAAGTAGTTATAGGGAAAATTTTTCTTTCAATATGACTTTATTTATTTTTAGCTTTGATTCCAGGGGTACATGTGGAGATTTGTTACATGGGCATATTGTGTGATGCTGAGGCTGGAGCTTCTAATGATTCTGTTCTCCAAGTAGCAAACATAGTACCTGATAGGTAGTTTTTCAACTCTCGTGGCCCCCCTTTCTCCCTTCCCATCCCCTTTTGTAGTCCCCAGTGTCTACTCCCATATTTGTGTCCCTGAGTATCCATTGTTTAGCTCCCACATAAGTGAGAACACGCAGCATTTGATTTTCTGGTTTTGTGTTAATTCACTTAAAATAATGGCCTCCAGCCGAGCCAATGTTGCTGCGAAGGACATGATCTCATTCTATCAATCAATGTGTAGATTGATTTCAATTTGCACATATTGTGTAGTATTCCATGGTGTATATGAGTCACATTTTCTTTATTCAGTCCACCATTGGTGGGCACCTAGGTTGATTCCATGTCTTTGCCATTGTGAATAGTACTGTGATAAACATGAGTGCAGGTGTCTTTTTTGGTAGAATGATTTATTTTTCTTTGGATATATACCCAGCAATGGAGTTGTTGGGTCAAATGGTAGTTCTGTTTTTAGTTCTCTGAGAAATGTCCAAACTGCTTTTTACAGTGGCTGAAGTAATTTTCATTCCCACTGTGTTTAGGCATTCCCTTTTTCTCTGCAACCTTGCGAGCATCTGTTATTTTTTTGACTTTTTAATAATACCAATTCTGACTGGTATGAGATGGTATCTCATTGTGGTTTTGATTTGCATCTCTCTGATGAGTAGTGATACTGAGCATTTTTTCATGTTTGTTGGCTGCTTGTATGTCTTCTTAGAAGTGCCCATTCCTTTGCTCACTCTGTAATGGGGTTGTTTTTGTCCTCTTGATTTGTTTATGGAAGATTTTTCTGTGTTTACTAGCCAGTTAATGTTTCTTTTTTGAATAAATATTTTTCTGTAACTTCGTGTAGTGTTCTTGGGGGAAAAAAAATTCACAGTGTGAATCTCTACCCACTATTCTGTCCTTCCAAGTGGGAGAGGCATGCTAACACTGCTTCCTATCCACTATCTGGAAAACAGCAACAACAACAACAAAAATACTGTCACCACCTTTTTTTTTTTTTTTCAACTTTAAGAGTTATGTGTAGGATATGCAGGTTTGTTACACAGATAAACGTATGCTATGGTGGTTTGCTACACAGTTCATCCCATTGCCTAGATACTAAGCCCTGCATCCCTTAGCTATTCTTCCTGATGCTCTCCCTCCCCACACCCCCTACCCCCAACAGACCACAGTGTGTGTTGTTTATGCCATTTTGTCCATGTGGTCTCATCATTCAGCTCCCACTTAAAAGTGAGAATATGTGGTGTTTGGTTTTCTGTTCCTGTGTTAGTTTGCTGAGGATAATGGCTTCCAACTCCTTCTGTGTCCCTGCAAAGGATGTGATTTCATTCCATTTTATGGCTGCATAGTATTCCATGGTGTATATGTATCACATTTTCTTTATCCAGTCTATCATTGATGGGCATTTAGGTTGATTCCGTGTCTTTACTATTGTCAATGGTGCTGCAATGAACATACACGTTCCTGTATCCTTATAATATTTAACAGAATGATTTATATTCCTTTGTGTATATGCCAAGTAATGGGATTGCTGGGTCAAATGGTAATTTTGTTTTCAGTTCTTTGAGAAATCTCCGAACTGCTTTTCACAGTGGCTGACCTAATTTTTATTCCCACTGTGTTTAAGCATTCTCTTTTTTCTGCAACCTTGCCAGCATCTGTTCTTTTACGACTTTTTAGTAATGGCCATTCTGACTGGCGTGAGATGTTATCTCATTGTGGTTTTGATTTGCATTTCTTTAATGATCAGTGATGTGGAGCTTTTTTCCCCATATTTTTTGGCCACATGTATATCTTCTTTTGAGAAGAGTCTGTTTATGTACTTTGTCCACTTTGTCGTTTGTTTTTTTCTTGTAAATTTAAGTTCCTTGTAGACTCTGGATATTAGACCTTGGTCAGATGGATAGATTGGAGAAATTTTTTCCCATTTCATAGATTATGTGTTCTCTCTGATGATAGTTTCTTTTGCTGTGCAGAAGCTCTTTAGTTTAATTATTAATATATCCCATTTGCCAATTTTTGCTTTTATTGCAATTGCTTTTGGCATTTTTGTCATGAAATCCTTGCCCATGTCTACATCCTGAATAGTATTGCCTAGATTTTCTTCTAGAGTTTTAATAGTTTCGGGTTTTACATTTAAGTTTTTAGTTTATCTTAAGTTAATATTTGTATAAGGAAGGGGTCCAGTTTCAGTTTTCTGCATATGGCTAGCCAGCACTTCCAGCACTATTTATTAAATAGGGAACCCTTTCCCCATTGCTGGCTTTTGTCAGGTTTGTCGAAGATCAGATGGTTGTAGGTGTGTGATCTTATTTCTGAGTTCTCTGTTCTGTTCCATTGGTCTATGTGTCTCTTCTTGTACCAGTACAATGCCATCTTGGTTACTGTAGCCTTGTATATTTTGAAGTTGGGTAGCATGATACCTCCAGCTTTGTTCTTTTTTCTTAGGATTGGCTTGACTATTCGGGCTCTTTTTTGGTTCCATATGAATTTTAAAATCACTTTTTCTAAATATGTGAAGAATGTCAATGTTAGTTTAATGGGAATAGCTTTGAATCTATAAATTACTTAGGGCAGTATGGCCATTTTCATGATGTTCGTTCTTCCTGTCCATGAGCATGGAATGTTTTTCCATTTGTTTGTGTCCTCTCCGATTTCCTTTGAGCAGTGGTTTGTAATTCTCCTTGAAGAGATTCTATACTTCCCTTGTTAGCTATATTCCTAGGTATTTTATTCATTTTGTAGCAATTGTGAATGGGATGGCTCTCTGCCTACTTGTTGTTGGTGTATAGGAATGCTAGAGATTTTTGCACATTGATTTTGTATCCTGAGACTTTGCTAAAGTTGCTTATCAGCTTAAGAAGCTTTTGGGCTGAGATGATGGGGTTTTCTAGATATAAGATCATGTTATCTGCAAACAAATGTAATTTGACTTCTCTCTTCCTATTTGAATACCCTTTATTTCTTTCTTGCGCCTGATTACCCTGGCCAGAACTTTCAATACTGTGTTGAATAGGAGTGGTGAGAGAGGGCATCCTTGTCTTGCGCCAGTTTTCAAGGGGAAATGCTTCCAGCTTTTGCCCATTCAGTATGATATTGGCTGTGAGTTTGTCATATATGGCTTTTATTATTTTGAGGTATGTTCCTTTAATACCTGGTTTATTGAGATTTTAACATGAAGGGATGTCTCATTTTATCAAAGGCTTTTCTTGATTGATTGAGATAATCATGTGGTTTTGTCCTTAGTTCTGTTTATGTGATGAATCACATTTATTGATTTGTGTCTGTTGAACCAACGTCGCATCCTGGGGATGAAGCCAACTTGATCTGATGGATAAGCTTTTTTATGTGCTGCTGAATTTGGTTTGCTAGTAGTTTATTGAGGATTTTTGCATTGATGTTCATCAATGGTATTGACATGAAGTTTTCCTTTTTTGTTGTATTTCTGCCAGGTTTTGGCATCAGGATGATGCTGGCCTCATAGAATGAGTAAGGGAGGAATCCCTCTTCAGTTTTGTGGAATAGTTTCAGTAGAAATGATACCAGCTCTTCATTGTACCTCTGGTAGAATTCAGCTGTGAATCCATCTGGTCCTAGGCTTTTTTTGGTTGGTAGGCTACTTATTGCTGCCTCAGTTTCAGAACTTGTTGTTGGTTCTGATGCCCCATATCATTGCTGATTGTGTTTATTGGATTCTTCTCTCTTTTCTTCTTTATCAGTGTAGCTAGTGGTCTATTTTACTACTTTTTTTCTAAAAACAGGTCCTGGATTGGTTGATTTTTTTTGAAGAGTTTTTCGTTTGTCTAACTCCTTCAGTTCAGCTCTGATCGTGGTTTCTTGTCTTCTGCTAGCTTTGGGGTTTGTTTGCTCTTGGCTCTCATGTTCTTTTAATTGAGATGTTAGGTTGTTAACTTGAGATCTTTCTAGCGTTTTGATGTGGGCATTTAGTGCTATAAATTTTTTTATTAACACTGCTTTAGTTGCATCCAGAGATTCTGGTACATTGTCTCTTTGTTCTCATTAGTTTCAAAGTAATTCTTGATTTCTGCCTTAATTTCATTATTTACTCAAGAGTCATTCAGGAGCAGGTTGTTCAATTTTCATGTAGTTGTGTGGTTTTGAGTGAATTTCTTAATCTTCAGTTCTAATTTGTGTTGTGGTCTGAAAGACTGTTACGATTTCACTTATTTTGCATTTGCTGAGGAACGTTTTACTTCCAATTATGTGATCGATTTTAGAGTAAGTGCCATGTGGCAATGAGAAGAATGTATATTCTGTTGGGTTTTGGTGGAGATTTCTGTAAATATCTATCAAGTCCACTTGATCCAGAGCTGAGTTCAGGTCGTGAATATTTTTGTTAATTTTCTGTCTCGATGATCTGTCTAATACTGTTAATGGGGTGTTAAGGTCTCTCACTATTATTGTGTGGGAGTCTAAGTCTCTTTGTAGGTCTCTTAAGAATTTGCTTTATGAATCTGGGTGCTTCTGTATTGGGTGCCTATATATTTAGGATAGTTATTTCTTCTTGAACCCTTTACAATTATGTAACATTCTTTTTTGACCTTTGTTGGTTTAAAGTCAGAAACTAGGATTGCAACCCCAGCTTTTTTTCTGTTATCCATTTGCTTGTAAATTTTCCTCCATCTCTTTATTTTGAGCCTATGTGTGTCTTTCCATGTGAGATGGATCTCTTGAAGACAGCGTGTTGATGGGTCTCCACTCTTTATCCAGCTTGCCATTCTTTGTCTTTTAATTGGGGCATTTAACCCATTTGCATTTAAGGTTAGTATTGTTATGTGTGAATTTGATACTGTCATCATGATGCTAGCTGGTTATTTTGCAGACATGTTTATGTGGTTGATTCATAGTGTCACTGGTCTGTGTACTTCAGTGTGTATTTGTCATGGCTGCCGACGGTTTTTCTTTTCCATACTTAATGCTTCCTTCAGAAGCTCTTGCAAGGCAGGCCTGGTGGTGATGAATTCCCTCAGCATTTGTTTCTCCTTCACTTATGAAGCTTAGTTTGGCCAGATATGAAATTCTGGAAATTCTTTTTTTTGGGAATTCTTTAAGAAATGAATTGGAAATTATTTTCTTTAAGAATGTTGAATATTGGCTCCAATCTCTTCTGGCTTGGAGGGTTTCAGCTGAGAGGTCTGCTGTTAGTCTGATGGGCTTCCCTTTGTGGATGACCTAGCCTTTCTGTCTGGCTGCCCCCTAACATTTCTTCTTTCATTTCAACCTTGGAGAATCTGATGATTATATGTCTTGTGGTTGATCTTTTCATGGAGTATCTTACTGGGGTTCTCCACATTTCCTGAATTTAAATGTTGTCTTTTCCTGCTAGATTGGGGAAGTTCTCCTGGATGAATATCCTCAAGTATGTTTTTCAACTTGGTTCTGTTCTCCCTGTTTCTTTCAGGTACCCCATCAGTCACAGCTCCTTTTACATAATCCTATAGTTCTCGGAGGTTTTGTTTGTTCCTTTTCATTCTTTTTTGTTTAATGTGTCTACCTGCCTTATTTCAGCAAGATAGTTTTCAAGTTCTGAAATTTTTTCCTCTGCTTGGTCTGTTCGGTTATTGATACTTGTGGTTGCATTGTGAAGTTCTTATGTTGTGTTTTTCAGCTCCATCAGGTCATTTATATTCCTCTCTAAACTGATTGTTCTCGTTTACAGCTCCTGTAATGTTTTATCATAGTGCTTCGTTTCTTTGCATTGGGTTAGAACATGCTCCTTTAGCTTAGCGAAGTTCCTTATTACCCACCTTTTGAAGCCTACTTCCATCACTTCAGCCATCTTGGCCTCGGCCCAGTTCTGTCTGCTTAGGGGAGAGGTGTTGCAGTCATTTGGAGGAGAAGAGACACTCTGGCCTTTTGAATTTTCAGCATTTTTGCTTTGATTTTTTCTCATCTTTGTGGGCTTATCTACCTGTGATTTTTGAGATTGCTGACCTTTGAATGGGGTTTTTCTGGAGTCCTTTTTGTTGACGATGATTTTGTTGCTTTCTGTTTGTTTTTAACGGTCAAGCTGCTCTTCTGTAGGGCTGCTGCAGTTTGCTGAGGGTTCACTCCAGACCCTAGTTGCTTCTGTTTTTCCTGTACCCAGAGGTATCACCAGTGAAGGCTGTGAAACAACAAAGATGGCAGCCAGATCCTTCTGGAAGCTCTGTCCTAGGGGGGTACAGACCTATTGCCAGCCCAAACACACCTATAGCAGGTGGCTGGAGACCCTTGTTGTGAGATCTTATGCAGATAGGAAGAATGGGATCAGGGACCTGCTTAAAGAGGCAGTCTGGCTGCTTGTTGGTGGAGCAGGTGTGCTGTGTTGGGGTGGATCATTTCTCACCCAGACTGTTTGGACTCTCCAGAGCCGGCTGAGTGGAACAGCTGAGTCAACCGAACTGCAGAGATGGTAGCCGCTTCTCCCACTGGGAACTCTGTCTCAGGAAGAGATCAAAGCTCTGTCTTTATAATCCTGGCTGGTGTGGCTGAAGCCTCTGCAGGGAGGTCCTCCCCAGTGAGGAGGAATGGATTGGGGTCCTGCTTAAAGAAGCAGTCTGGCCATGATCGGATAGAGCAGCTATGCTCTGTTGGTGGGGGAACCTTCCTTGTCTGGACTGTTTGGACTCTCCAAAGCTGGCAGGCTGGAACAGCTGAGTCGACCAATCTGCAGAGATGGTGGCCACCCTCCCCCGGAAGCCCTGTCCCAGGGAGAGATCGGAGCTCTGTCCTTATAACCCTGACTGGAGTGGCTAAAGCTTCCACAGGGATAAGTGTATTTTTTGCATCTAAATAAGTATGTCCTTTTCATATATAATCTATTTATTATTCATTTACTGTCTAAGTATTTGAGTGACTATGTTTTCCCTTCTGGGGATATATTAGTTTACAATATTAAGATCTTTTCTCTTGTGCAGGTTAAATTTTAGCAGGGGTAGCGTGCATAGGGAGACAGACAATAAGTGATAGACATATGTAAATTGAGTTACATGTCAAGAAGCTGAGAAATGCTATGGAAAAAGAAAAAGAACTGGGTAAGGGAAAATCAGGAGCAGAGAGTCAGGTTGCAGACAGATTACAATTTTAAATAAAGTTGGCAGGATACGCCTCATTGAGAAGATGACATTTCAGCAATGACCTGAAGGAATTGAGGGAATTAACAATTCAAATACTGAGGGAAAATATATTCCCACCAGAGTGTCTAGCTGATGCAGAGGTTCTAATGCAAGAACATACTTTATGTAAGAAGACAGCAAAGTGTATGGCTAGAACACAGCAAGGAGAAGAGATGAGATAACAGAAGAATGAGGTGCCAGATAATATCAGGCTTCTAAGTGTTAGGATTTTAATCATTGACCCATAGAAGCATTTTGTAGATCAATATTTTGCATGTCACTTTACATTTTGACATCATTTAAATTAGTGTGTGATGTTCTTGACAGTTAAAAAATGTCTATATCAGAACTATCAGTCTTTTAAAATTTCTTCATAATTTTTATACTTAAGAGTTTTGCAGGGGGTTTTTTGTTCTTTTGTTTTTGTTTTTTTGAAAGAGTCTCACTCAGTCGCCCAGGCTGGAGTGCGGTGATGCAGTCTCGGCTCACTGCATCCTCCACCTCCTAGTAGGTTCAAGTGATTCTCCTGCCTCAGCCTCGCATGTGGTTGGGATTACAGGCGTGCATCACCACGCCCAGCTAATTTTTTTTTTTTTTTTTTTTTTTTTTTTTTTTTTTTTTAGTAGAGATGGAGTTTCACCATAATGGCCAGAGTGGTCTCGAACTCCTCACCTCAGGTGATCCACCTGCCTCAGCCTCCCAAAGTGCTGGGATTATAGGCAGGAGCCACTGAGCCCACCCACTTAGAGTTTTAATTCTATTAATTATCCTTTCTATATATCAAACATACTGAAGTCAAAACAAAATAGTAACTTTTCACTTGTCCAAGGAAATTGACAAATCTTTAATTCTCTCCTTTTGTAGCTTGCTTTCTTCTGCCTTTGTAAATTTAAGTGGATGCCAGTAGTTTTAAGAAACTTTACAGTAGTTGTAAGGAATATTTTAACACTTTGAATATATCATCTCATTGCCTTCTTTTTTTTTTTTATTATACTTTAAGTTCTAGGGTACATGTGCACAACATGCAGGTTTGATACATAGGTATATATGTGCCATGATGGTTTGCTGTACCTATCAACTCATCATTTACATTAGGTATGTCTCCTAATGCTATCCCTCCCTCAGGCCCCCATCCCTCAACAGGCCCTGGTGGGTGATGTTCCCTTCCCTGTGTCCAAGGCCCTGTGTCCAATTGATCTCATTGTTCAATTCCCACCTATGAGTGAGAACATGTGGTATTTGGTTTTCCGTCCTTATAGTTTCCTGAAAATGATGGTTTCCAGCTTCATCCATGTCCCGGCAAAGGACATGAACTCATCCTTTTTTATGGCTGCATAGTATTCCATGGTGTATACGTGCCACATTTTCTTAATCCAGTCTATCATTGATGGACATTTGGGTTGGTTCCAAGTCTTTGCTATTGTCAATAGTGCCACAATAAACATACATGTGCATGTGTCTTTATAGTAGCATGATTTATAATCCTTTGGGTATATAAGCAGTAATGGGATTGCTGGGTCAAATATTAATTCTAGTTTAGATCCTTGAGGAATCACCACACTGTCTTCCACAAAGGTTGAACTAATTTACACTCACACCAACAGTGTAAAAGCGTTCCTATTTCTCCACATCCTCTCCAGCATCTGTTGTTTCCTGACTTTTTAAATGATTGCTATTCTAACTGGTGTGAGATGGTATCTCATTGTGGTTTTGATTTGCACTTCTCTGATGACCAGTGATGAGCATTTTTCCATGTGTCTGTTGGTTGTGTAGATGTCTTCTTTTGAGAAGTGTCTATTCATATCCTTTGCCCACTTTTTGATGGGGTTGTTTGTTTTTTTCTTATAAGTTTGTTTGAGTTCTTTGTAGATTCTGGATATTAGCCCTTTGTCAGATGGGTAGATTGCAAAAATTTTCTCCCATTCTGTAAGTTGCCTGTTCACTCTGATGATAGTTTCTTTTGCTGTGGAGAAGCTCTTTAGTTTAATTAGATCCCATTTGTCAATTTTGGCTTTTGTTGCCATTGCTTTTGGTGTTTTAGTCATGAAGTCCTTGACCATGCCTATGTCCTAAATGGTATTGCCTAGGTTTTCTTCTAGGGGTTTTGTGGTTTTAGGTCTAACATTTAGGTCTCTAATCCATCTTGAATTAATTTTTGTATAAGGTGTAAGGAAAGGATCCAATTTCAGCTTTCTACATATGGCTAGCCAGTTTTCCCAGCACCATTTATTAAATAGGGAATCCTTTCCCCATTTCTTGTTTTTGTCAGATTTGTCAAAGATCAGATGGTTGTAGATGTGTGGTATTATTTCTGAGGGCTCTGTTCTGTTCCATTGGTCTATACCTCTGTTTTGGTACCAGTACCATGCTGTTTTGGTTACTGTAGCCTTGTAGTATAGTTTGAAGTCAGGTAGCGTGATGCCTCCAGCTTTGTTCTTTTGGCTTAGGATTGTCTTGGCAATGCAGGCTGTTTTTTGGTTCCATATGAACTTTAAAGTAGTTTTTTCCAATTCTGTGAAGAAAGTCATTGGTAGCTTGATGGGGATGGCACTGAATCTATGAATTACCTTGGGCAGTGCTGCCATTTTCATGATATTGAGTCTTCCTATCCATGAGCATGGAATATTCTTCCATTTGTTTGTGTCCTCTTTTATTTCTTTGAGCAGTGGTTTGTAGTTCTCTTTGAAGAGGTCCTTCACATCCCTTGTAAGTTGGATTACTAGGTATTTTATTCTCTTTGTAGCAATTCTGAATGGGAGTTCACTCATGATTTGGCTCTCTCTTTGTCTGTTAATGGTGTATAGGAATGCTTGTGATTTTTGCACATTGATTTTGTATCCAGAGACTTTGCTGAAGTTGCTTATCAGCTAAAGGATATTTTGGGTTCAGACGATGGGGTTTTCTAAATATACAATCATGTCATCTGCAAACAGGGACAATTTGACTTTCTCATTTTCTAATTGAACACCCTTTATTTCTTTCTCTTGCCTGACTGCCCTGGCCAGAACTTCCAACACTATGTTGAATAGGAGTGGTGAGAGAGAGCATCCCTGTCTTGTGCCCGTTTTCAAAGGGAATGCTTCCAGTTTTTGCCCATTCAGTATGATATTGGCTGTGGGTTTGTCATAAATAGCTCTTATTATTTTGAGATATGTTCCATCAATACCTAGTTTATTGAGAGTTTTTAGCATGAAGGGCTGTTGAATTTTGTTAAAGGCCTTTTCTGCATCTATTGAGATAATCATGTGGTTTTTGTTGTTGATTCTGTTTATATGATGGATTACATTTATTGATTTGCATATGTTGAACCAGTCTTGCATCCCAGGGATGAAGCCCACTTGATCATGGTGGATAAGCTTTTTGATGTGCTGCTGGATTTGGTTTGCCAGTATTTTATTGAGGATTTTTGCATTGATGTTCATCAGGGATATTGGTCTAAAATTCTCTTTTTTTTGTTGTGTTTCTGCCAGGCTTTGGTGTCAGGATGATATTGGCCTCATAAGTTGAGTTAGGGAGGATTCTCTCTTTTTCTATTGATTGGAATAGTTTCAGAGGGAATGGTACCAGCTCCTCTTTGTACCTCTTGTAGAATTCGGCTGTGAATCCATCTGGTCCTGGACTTTTTTTAGTTGGTAGGCTATTAATTATTGCCTCAATTTCAGAGCCTGTTATTTGTCTATTCAGAGATTCAGCTTCTTCCTGGTTTAGTCTTGGGAGGGTGTATGTGTCCAGGAATTTATCCATTTCTTCTAGATTTTCTAGTTTATTTGCGTAGAGGTGTTTATAGTATTCTCTGATGGTAGTTTGTATTTCTGTGGGATCAGTGGTGATATCCCATTTATCATTTTTTATTGTGTCTATTTGATTCTTCTTTCTTTTCTTCTTTATTAGTCTTGCTAGCAGTCTATCAATTTTGTTCTTTTCAAAAAACCAGCTCCTGGATTCATTGATTTTTTGAAGGGTTTTTTATGTCTCTATCTCCTTCAGTTCTGCTCTGATCTTAGTTATTTCTTGCGTTCTGCTAGCTTTTGAATGTGTTTGCTCTTGCTTCTCTAGTTCTTTCAGTTGTGATGTTAGGGTGTTGATTTTAGATCTTTCCTGCTTTCTCTTATAGGCATTTAGTAGTATAAATTTCCCTCTACACACTGCTTTAAATGTGTCCCAAAGATTCTGGTACGTTGTGTCTTTGTTTTCGTTGGTTTCAAAGAACATCTTTATTTCTGCCTTCATTCGTTATTTATCCAGTAGTCATTCAGGATCAAGTTGTTCAGTTTTCATGTAGTTGAGTGGTTTTGAGTGAGTTTCTTAATCCTGAGTTCTAATTTGATTGCACTGTGATCTGAGAGACAGTTTGTTGTGATTTGTGTTCTTTTATATTTGCTGAAGAGTGGTTTACTTCCAGTTATGTAGTCGATTTTAGAATAGGTGCAATGCGGTGCTCCAAAGAATGTATATTCTGTTGATTTGGGGTGGAGAGTTCTGTAGATGTCTGTTAGGTCTGCTTGGTGCAGAGCTGAGTTCAGGTCCTGGATATCCTTGTTAACATTTGTCTTGTTGATCTGTCTAATATTGACAGTGGGGTGTTAAAGTCTCCCATTATTATTGTGTGGGAGTCTAAGTCTCTTTGTAGGTCTCTGAGGACTTGCTTTATGAATCTGGGTGCTCCTGTATTGGGTGCATATATATTTGGGATAGTTAGCTATTCTTGTTCAATTCATCCGTTTACCATTATGTACTGGCCTTTTTTGTCTCTTTTAATCTTTGTTGGTTTAAAGTCTGTTTTATCAGAGACTAGGATTGCAACCCCTGCTCTTTTTTCTTTCCATTTGCTTGGTAGATCTTCCTCCATCCCTTTATTTGAGCCTATGTGTGTCTCTGCACATGAGATGGGTCTCCTGAAGACAGCACACTGATGGGTCTTGACTCTTTATCCAATTTCCAGTCTCTGTCTTTTAATTGGGGCTTTTAGCCCATTTAAATTTCAGGTTAATATTGTTATGTGTAAATTTGATCCCGTTATTATGATGTTTGCTGGTTATTTTGCCTGTTAATTGATGCAGTTTCTTCATAGCACCAATGGTCTTTACAGTTTGGCATGTTTTTGCAGTGGCTGGTACTGGTTGTTCCTTTCCATGTTTAGTGCTTCCTTCAGGAGCTCTTGTAAGGCAGGCCTCGTGGTGACAGAATCTCTCAGCATTTGCTTGTCTGTAAAGGATTTTATTTCTCCTTCACTTATGAAGATTAGTTTGGCTGGATATTAAATTCTGGGCTGAAAATTCTTTCCTTTAAGAATGTTGAATATTGTCCCCCACTCTCTTCTGGCTTGTAGGGTTTCTGCTGAGAGGTCCGTTGTTAGTCTGATGGGCTTCCCTTTGTCGATAACTCGACCTTTCTCTCTGGTTGCCCTTAACAGTTTTTTTTTTTTTTTTTTTTTAGTGGGCAGGAATCTTTTTTATTATTATTATTATTATTATTATTATTATTATACTTCAAGTTTTAGGGTACATGTGCACATTGTGCCGGTTAGTTACATATGTATACATGTGCCATGCTGGTGCGCTGCACCCACTAACTCGTCATCTAGCATTAGGTATATCTCCCGATGCTATCCCTCCCCCCTCCCCCCACCCCACAACAGTCCCCAGTATGTGATATTCCCCTTCCTGTGTCCACGTGATCTCATTGTTCAATTCCCACCTATGAGTGAGAATATGCGGTGTTTGTTTTTTTGTTCTTGCGATAGTTTACTGAGAATGATGATTTCCAGTTTCATCCATGTCCCTACAAAGGACATGAACTCATCATTTTTTATGGCTGCATAGTATTCCATGGTGTATACGTGCCACATTTTCTTAATCCAGTCTATCATTGTTGGACATTTGGGTTGGTTCCAAGTCTTTGCTATTGTGAATAATGCCGCAATAAACATACGTGTGCGTGTGTCTTTATAGCAGCATGATTCATAGTCCTTTGGGTATATACCCAGTAATGGGATGGCTGGGTCAAATGACAAGCAATGGGGAAAGGATTCCCTATTTAATAAATGGTGCTGGGAAAACTGGCTAGCCATATGTAGAAAGCTGAAACTGGATCCCTTCCTTACACCTTATACAAAAATCAATTCAAGGTGGATTAAAGACTTAAACGTTAGACCTAAAACCATAAAAACCCTACAAGAAAACCTAGGCATTACCATTCAGGACATAGGCATGGGCAAGGACTTCATGTCTAAAACACCAAAAGCAATGGCAACAAAAGCCAAAATTGACAAATGGGATCTAATTAAACTAAAGAGCTTCTGCACAGCAAAAGAAACTACCATCAGAGTGAACAGGCAACCTACAAAATGGGAGAAAATTTTCGCAACCTACTCATCTGACAAAGGGCTAATATCCAGAATCTACAATGAACTCAAACAAATTTACAAGAAAAAAACAAACAACCCCATCAAAAAGTGGGCAAAGGACATGAACAGACACTTCTCAAAAGAAGACATTTATGCAGCCAAAAAACACATGAAAAAATGCTCATCATCACTGGCCATCAGAGAAATGCAAATCAAAACCACAATGAGATACCATCTCACACCAGTTAGAATGGCGATCATTAAAAAGTCAGGAAACAACAGGTGCTGGAGAGGATGTGGAGAAATAGGAACACTTTTACACTGTTGGTGGGACTGTAACTAGTTCAACCATTGTGGAAGTCAGTGTGGCGATTCCTCAGGGATCTAGAACTGGAAATGCCCTTAACAGTTTTTCCTTCATTTCAACTTTGGTGAATCTCACGATTATGTGTCTTGGGGTTGTTCTTCTTGAGGAGTATTTTTGTGATGTTCTCTGTATTTCCTGAATTTGAACATTGGCCTGCCTTGCTAGGTTGGGGAAGTTCTCCTGGATGATATCCTGAATAGTGTTTTCCAACATGGTTCCATTCTCCCCATCACTTTCAGGTACACCAGTCATACGTAGATTTGGTCTTTTCACATAGTTCCATATTTCTTGGAGGCTTTGTTTGTTTCTTTTTAGTCTTTTTTCTCTAAGCTTGTCTTCTCACTTTATTTCATTAATTTGATCTTCAATCACTGATACCCTTTCTTCCACTTGATTGAATCTGCTATTGAAGCTTGTGCATGTGTCACGAAGTTCTCATGCCATGGTTTTCAGCTCCATCACGTCATTTAAGGTCTTCTCTACACTGTTTATTATGGTTAGCCATTTGTCTTATCTTTTTTCTAGGTTTTTAGCTTCCTTGAGATGGGTTCGAATATCCTTCTTTAGCTCAGAGAAGTTTGTTATTACCAACCTTCTGAAGCCTACTTCTGTCAACTCATCAAAGTCATTCTCTGTCCAGCTTTGTTCTGTTGCTGGCGAGGAGCTGCGATCCTTTGGAGGAGAAGAGGCCCTTTGATTTTTAGAATTTTCAGCTTTTCTGTTGTACTTTCTCCCCATCTTTGTGGTGTTATCTACCTTTGGTCTTTGATGTTGGTGACCTACAGATGTGGTTTTGGTGTAGATGACCTTTTTGTTGATGTTGATGCTATTCCTTTCTGTTTGTTAGTTTTCCTTCTAACAGGTCCCTCAGCTGCAAGTCTGTTGGAGTTTCCTGGAGTTATGCTGCAAATCCTTTTTGCCTGGGTATCACCAGCGGAGGCTGCAGAACAGCAAATATTGCTGCCTGATCCTTCTCTTTGTCCCAGAGGGGCAGCTGCCTATATGAGGTGTCTGTCGGCCCCTGTTGGGAGGTGTCTCCCAGTTAGGCTACATGGGGACCCACTTGAGGAGGCAGTCTGTCCATTCTCAGAGCTCAAACACCATGCTTGGAGAAGCATTGCTCTCTTCAGAGCTGTCAGACAAGGACGTTTAAGTCTGCAGAAGTTGTCTGCTGCCTTTTGTTCTGCTAAGCCCTGCCCACACAGGTGGAGTTTAGAGGCAGTAGGCCTCGCTGAGCTGCGGTGGGCTGCCCCTAGTTCGAGCTTCCCAGCCGCTTTGTTTACGTACTCAAGCCTCAGCAATGGTGGACGCCCCTCCCCCAGCCAGGCTGCCAGCTTGCAGTTCAATCTCAGACAGCTGCGCTAGCAGTGAGCAAGGCTCCGTGGGTGTGGGACCTGCCGTGTCGGGCACGGGAGAGAATCACCTTGTCTGCTGGTTGCTAAGACCTTGGGAAAATCACAGTATTTGGGCAGAAGTGTCCCATTTTTCCAGGTAGTCTGTCACACCTTCCCTTGGCTAGGAAAGGGAAATTCCCCCACCCCTTGTGCTTTCCAGGTGAGGCGATGCCCTGCCTGGGCTGCACCCACTTTCCAACCAGTCCCATTGAGATGAACCAGGTACCTGAGCTGGAAATGCAGGAATCACCCATCTGCTGCATCGGTCACACTGGGAGCTGCAGACTGGAGCTGTTCCTATTCGGCCATCTTGGAACGCCCCCATCTGATTGCCTTCTGGCTTCTGTTGTTTCTGATAAGAAGTTAGCCTTTATTGTTACTGAGATTCTTTTGTATACAGTGAAAAAAGCATTTCTCTTCTTTTCAAGATTTTAGCTTTTGCTTTTAACATTTTGACTGGTGTGTCTGGCTGTGGATATCTTTACATTTATCCTTATTGGAGTACATTGAGCTTCTTAAATTTGTAAACTATGTTATTAATCAAAATTGGGAATTTTTCAGTAGTTTTTAAAAGTATCTTCTATGTTTCTTTTTCCTTGTCTTCCTGGGTCTTCTATAATGCATATGTTGGCATGCTTAATGGTGTCCCACGTTTCTCTGAGAAACTGTTCATTTTTTTCAGTCTTTTTACATTCTGTTCTCCAGATTGTATAATCTTTATTGATTTATCTTCCAGTTGCCATTCCAAGTTGTTTACACAGAAAATACATACATAGCCACATATAAATTATTAGAATTAATTATATAGTTTAAGGTTGTTTAATACCAGTCAATGTCCAATAATTAATTATATTTCTAAGAGCTGCAACAAACGAGAAATGCAGTTTAAATAAATATACCGTTTACAATAGTATGAAAAATATCGAACACTGGAAATTTTTGTGGAAATTGTCAAGCAGATTCAAAAACTCATCCAGAAATTCAAAGTACCAAGAGTAGCTAAAATAATCTTAAAGCATAAAAAGTGATAATTGCTTTACTGGATATCAAGATCTTTGATAAAACTACGTAATTGAAAACAGTTTGGTATCAGCACAAGGATAGAAAAATAGAGCAATGGAAGAAGAATAGAGAACCCAGAAGTAGAGCCATGCATATATTAACACTTGATTTATAACAAAGTTGGCTTTATGGAACAGTAAGGGTAATCTTTGACACTTCCCCCTTTTCACGTCATACACAAAAATTGATTCCAGATGGATTATAGAGCTAAACATAAAAGGCAAAACAATAAATCTTCTTAAAGATAATGTATACTTTAAAGTTCATATGGAACCAAAAAAGAGCCCGCATCACCAAGTCAATCCTAAGCCAAAAGAACAAAGCTGGAGGCATCACACTATCTGACTTCAAACTATACTACAAGGCTACAGTAACCAAAACAGCATGGTACTGGTACCAAAACAGAGATATAGATCAATGGAACAGAACAGAACCCTCAGAAATAACGCCGCATATCTACAACTATCTGATCTTTGACAAACCTGAGAAAAACAAGCAATGGGGAAAGGATTCCCTATTTAATAAATGGTGCTGGGAAAACTGGCTAGCCATATGTAGAAAGCTGAAACTGGATCCCTTCCTTACACCTTATACAAAAATCAATTGAAGATGGATTAAAGACTTAAACGTTAGACCTAAAACCATAAAAACCCTACAAGAAAACCTAGGCATTACCATTCAGGACATAGGCATGGGCAAGGACTTCATGTCTAAAACACCAAAAGCAATGGCAACAAAAGCCAAAATTGACAAATGGGATCTAATTAAACTAAAGAGCTTCTGCACAGCAAAAGAAACTACCATCAGAGTGAACAGGCAACCTACAAAATGGGAGAAAATTTCCACAACCTACTCATCTGACAAAGGGCTAATATCCAGAATCTACAATGAATGCAAACAAATTTACACGAAAAAAACAAACAACCCCATCACAAAGTGGGCGAAGGACATGAACAGACACTTCTCAAAAGAAGACATTTATGCAGCCAAAAAACACATGAAAAAATGCTCATCATCACTGGCCATCAGAGAAATGCAAATCAAAACCACATTGAGATACCATCTCACACCAGTTAGAATGGCGATCATTAAAAAGTCAGGAAACAACAGGTGCTGGAGAGGATGTGGAGAAATAGGAACACTTTTACACTGTTGGTGGGACTGTAAACTAGTTCAACCATTGTGGAAGTCAGTGTGGCGATTCCTCAGGGATCTAGAACTAGAAATACCATTTGACCCAGCCATCCCATTACTGGGTATATACCCAAAGGACTATAAATCATGGTGCTATAAAGACACATGCACACATATGTTTATTGCGGCATTGTTCACAGTAGCAAAGACTTGGAACCAACCGAAATGTCCAACAATGATAGACTGGATTAAGAAAATGTGGCACATATACACCATGGAATTCTATGCAGCCATAAAAAATGATGAGTTCATGTCCTTTGTAGGGACATGGATGAAATTGGGAAACATCATTCTCAGTAAACTATCGCAAGAACAAAAAACCAAACACCGCATATTCTCACTCATAGGTGGGAATTGAACAATGAGATCACATGGACACAGGAAGGGGAACATCACACTCTGGGGACTGTTGTGGGGTGGGGGGGAGGGGGGAGGGATAGCATTAGGAGATATACCTAATGCTAGATGACGAGTTAATGGGTGCAGTGCACCAGCATGGCACATGTATACATATGTAACTAACCTGCACAATGTGCACATGTACCCTAAAACTTAAAGTTTAATAATAAAAAAAAGATAATATAGATTATCTTTTTTACTTTAGAGTAGAGAAAGGTTTCTAAAATGAGACCCAAAACACAGTAGCCATCAGGTATAATACCAATAAATGGAACTACTTTAAAATTAAGGACTGCTTCCCATTATAACACATCATCAGTACACTACAAAACAAGCCATAGAATGGGAGAAGCATATCTCTACACATATAACCAAAAAAAGCCCTTAAGTCTTAGAAATCCAACTCCTCCAAGTCAGGGGCCAAAAAAGATAATCCAAAAAATACTGGAAGCAGATTGAACAGGCAAGTCATAAAAGAAGCCAAAGAACATATCAAAGGATGTTTAGTATTGTTAATGATAAGAGAAAAGAAAATTAAAACCCTGATGAGATATCTTTACATATGTACGAGAATGATTTAAATTAAAATCTGACAATACAAAGTGTTTCTTAGGCTGTGAGGTAATGGAACTGTTTGTTATCTGTTGCTAGTATGTATATTACTTTGAAAAACTATTTAGCATCTTCTGAAGTGGAAGATATGTATATCCTATTTTTAGAGCTCTAAACTGGAAGAAACTCAGATGTCCAGCAACAGTAGAATAGATAAAAGACTGTATATTCATATGATGGAATTCTGTACAGTACTAAAAATTGACTACAGCTACAGAAAACAGTATTGATAAATCTCACATTATTGAGTGGGGAAAGAACACAAAATAATACTGCATGACTCCATTTATATGAAATTTAAAATTGATTAAATGTTTAGCAGTGCAAGTTTAGGGGATAAACTATAAAGAAGAGCAAAGTTGTTATTACCATAAATGACAAGAGAGTGGTTGTCTTTAGAAAAGTGGGAGGGTGTGGTAATTGACAGAGATCTGCGGAATCTTTTTGGAGTTGCTGGCAGTGCCAGTGACCAGGATAGTAGGTTTATGGGTTAATTCACTGAGCTCTACATTTTGTTTTGTGTATTTTTTATTTGTGTTATTTCACATACAAAAAGCTTAAATATAATGTTACATTACAAATGAATCATTATGCAAATATCTGAAGGAATTAGAGTTAGTAAAATGATTGTTAGGCTTTTTCAGTGGTATATCACATTTAGTACAGTAAACATGGGAGGGCTTTGATAGTGAAAGATGGTGCATGATACAGTGAACAAACTGGATGGGAAAGAAAATATATTCACCTGTAAAATGATATGTATGATACTGGTCTTTTTAATCTATAAATATGTTTGCAGAAAACAAGTGTTCATAGTCGGTTGGGGATTATTTATAATCCTACATCAAAAATAAATGAAGAGAACACAGCTATTTCTAGAGGAATTTTGGCAGCTTTTCTTACACAGAAGAACATGTTTTTGAGAAGCTTTCTTGGGCAACTGGCAAAGGAAGAAATTGCTACAGCTATTTACTCTGGAGATAAAATTAAAACATTCCTTATTGAGGTCAGTAGCTATTTGAAATATTAAATATGTATGTATTGCATATTTTAAAAGTGTGAGTGTATTTGGAGATATTGTTACTGAAAAACAATGGTAGATTTAAACAAATGAAGATAATAAACATTCCTTTTCAAATGGGAAAAGATAAACATTAAATGATATGACTCTGCACAGAGGCATTTAGTAAATCAGATTTCATATGTTTCATTAACTACTTCATGATTCTTAAAGTTGATGGCATTCTAGTTAGGATATGTACTTAAGTGAAGAATTGGGGGTTAAAGCGTTACGTAAATCTCAGGTATTTCACTGAAGGGGTCCATTATGGGGGGGGTTTCAACGATGATCCTCTTGAAGAAACAATCATTATTCATTCAAAAAATACATATTGATCGTTTATGAGACAATGGAGATAAACTTGTGAACAAGCAGATAGAGTCCCTGTCCCTGTTCTTTGTGGAGCTTACATTGTAGGAGGAAAGACAGACAAAATATTTATAAGTGGTTTTGATTGATTTGCTTCCAAAAGTCAGGTCATTAGCTAAGGATTAGAGTGGCAGTATGTACTTTTAAAGGGTCGAGGACAAAAAGAGGAAATGTTGAATATTTTACTATTATTCTGAGAGTGAGAAAATAAATTAAATACATTAGTGAAGGAAGATTTCTGGTCATTGCTGAGGGTCCACTTGAGATTAATGACAATAAATTCAAAGTGAGATCAGCCTTGGTCGTATATTTTTCTCCAACTGTATTTTACTGTTTTCATCCAGTTGCAGACTCAGCAGAGTTGTGTTTAACCAAGGCTGGGGTTTGGACCAGTGAATATGACTGAGAGGGAGCATTCAAGGGAGCTAAACATGGAGAAGTTTTGGTTATAGTAAAGTACCCTGAGATAGAACTTGGTTAAAAGGAAATTACGCCATGGGAAGGATGATAGACAGTGAATAAATGGTAGAGTCTGTGGACTGAAAGTTTGAGTAATGGTTGATCTAGGGATGGTGATGGTCATGTGGTTGTGGTCAGAAAGGGGATGATTGAAATGGGGATTTTGGAGGTAAAGATCAGGGCCTACATGGTCCAACACCACAGCCACTGGCTACATATGGCCATTTTATACTTAAATAAGATTTTAAATTCAGTTCCTCAGTCATAGTAGCCACATTTTGAAAGCCGCATAACCATATGAAGCCATGGCTGCCATATTGGACAATGCAGGAAAACATTTTCATCATCATGAAAGCATCTGGGAACTTGTTAGAAATTCAGAATTTAAGGCCTGGATTCTACTGAAGTATATTCTGCATTTTAATAAGATACCAGGTGATTGGTATGTACATTAAAGTTTGAGAAGTACTGAGAGAGAGAAATGTACCTTAGTATGAAGGTGCAATGAGCATGTATGTGGTTTATTTTCTGTGAATGTCCATATATTTTTTTACTTTGACCAAGCATTACTTTTATTATTTCCATATTTAAATATATTATTACTAAACTGGTCTTCTGGGATTAGTATAATGGGGAGAAAGGAGTATTTCCATTTTAAACACTTTTTAAATTGATAGTACCAAATAAGAGGTACTGAGTTCAGAATTTAATAAATATTTAATTTCATTTTCTTCATATCAAATTTTATTTAAATTGATGTTCCCTAGTAATTTACTAGTCTGGTAGTTTCCCTGAAATTCTCAAAGAATGAATAGCAAACTGTATCAACTTGTAACAAGATTTAAGCATGTTATAAATGACTTGTCAAAACAGAATTCTTTTTTTAAAAATGTTCTTTCAAAGAAAATTATACCAAATAATGATTTTGAAAGTATTATTTAAAATTTTATACTAATATTAGTTTTTTAAACAAAATGATTTAATATATTTACTGTTCTCATATTAGTTTCATCAGTCTTAACTTTTGCTTTAGGGGATGGATAAGAATGCTTTTGAGAAAAAATATAATACTGTTGGAGTGAATATTTTTCGAACTCACCAGTTGTTCTGTCAAGATGTACTTAAATTACGTCCTGGAGAAATGGGTATTGTCAGCAATGGGAGAGTAAGTAGAAAAAGCTATTGCTCTCTTTTCTCAGTGACACTGCAGTGCACTGGTCTGCCTTTTTTCTGTCACAATTCCCCTGATGTGACTGACACACACAGAGGACGGTGTTCATGAGCTGAAGACACCAGACACAACTCAGCATAAATAAAATGGGGTCATGACACACTTCCCATTCCTTCATTCTTTCCCCCATTTAATGAGAATGATGATGTGGGTAAGGAAGAATGTTCTTTATGTGTCTTGCTTTTATTTTGTTCTAATGTAAGTATTAGAAGGAACAACTTAATGCACATCTTCAAAACATTGTCATTAGAACCACTGTTGTAGTAGGTGTAGCAAGTAGGTTATGACATCTTTCTTCTTGTTCCTACAGTTGTGTATGTTAAATGGCATTAGATACTATTTTCAGTTTTGAAGTATCAAGTAGTATAAATTGCCATGTAGTATTTATTAATAAAATATTTACAAGGCTGTAGGAAGAAAATCTCTTACTCTCCAACCACCCTAATAAAACTTAATAGCTTATTGTTTTTCCTTTCAGCCCTTTTTTCTACCATACATAGATAGCCATTTTTGGTTTTTTAGAATACATCCTTATAATCCTACTATATATAATTTTACATCATGATTTTTCTGTTAATATAAATGTTTTTCTGATTGCAGTCTTTGTAGACACATACAAAATAAGTGGATGATATCTATATACTAATATTTTTAATATGATAGTCTTATTTCATACAAATTGTTTAAGTAAAAAACTGAATCTGGTGCTTAGGTTTATTAAGAAATCAACAAATGCAGTGTTTTTCACGTATCTGTGGCTTGAATTTTCAAATTATATATCCCTCAATCATCTTCAAAGTTCTAATGCACTCTTAATGTTTTGTTTTTCACTTACTTTTGAATTCTGTTCACCTGCATATTAGATTCAGGTTCATCTATGTACAGTGCTATTTTACACATGTCAAAAGCTGCCATTTATTGTAAAAAGTATTGGTGAATTTTGGTAGTGAGATATGTAGAGCTCTGTAAATGGCATTGCTTTTTCACTTTAAAAGTTACTTTGGGAGGAAATACAGCTTTTAAAAACAGTTCTAAAGCTTTTGGCTGTCTTTGACCATGTCAAGCATTTTAAGGGATAAAGAGGGAAACAATGGCACCTGTTTTATCTAGTGCCTTACCTTTTAGTTATATACTAGGGAAAAGCTATCCTATGTCTTGTCATTTTGATATAATTCATATAGTGTTATTGACATTAATGATAACAAATACTAGATACAGTTATGTTCAACTTATTTCTCATAAACATAAAACTATGTTTTGTCCTGACTTTCCTTAAAATTGATAAAAATATTAAGATATTAATCTTACACCTACTGTGAACCAAACATTCTTCTAGATTCTGAAGGCACAGCAGTAAACAACTACGTTTTCATGGGGCTAATATTTTGATGGATAGAGAGAGACAACAAACAGCACCCTTACTGATAAGGCATCTATCTTAAGTATGTTTATGCTGCTATAAAAATATGCCACAGACTGGCTAATTTATAAAGAACATAAATTTATTTCTTATACTTCTGGATGCTTGGAAATGTAAGGCTGACGTGCTGCCATGGATGTCTGGTGAGGGCTGCTCTCTGCTTCCAGGATGGCTCCTTGTTGCTCTGTTTTTACATGGTGGAAAGTAGAAGGGCAACAGAGTGCTCCCTTCAGTCTTGAACTCTTTTATTATAAGGATACAAATTCCATTCATGAGGGCAGAGCCCTCGTGGCTTAATCATCTCCCAAAGGCCACACCTCTCAGTGCTATCGCACTGGCCACTAAGTTTCAACACATGGGTTTTGAGGGACACGTTTTGTCTTAATCTGTTTTGTGCTGCTGTAACAAAATACCTGAGACTATATAATCTCAGAAATCTATTAAAGAACAGAAATTTATTCTCTCATACTTCTGGAGGCTGGGAAGTCCAAGATCAAGGCACTGGCATCTGATGGGAGCTTTCTTGCTGCATCCTCATACGGCAGAAGGCAGTGGGGCAAAAAGGGGATGAGTGCTATGTTCCTACATGGCAGGAGAGAGCAAACCCACTCCTGAAAGCCTTTTTATAGTGGCATTAGTCCATTTTGAGGCACAGCCCTCATGACCTAAACACCTCCCATTAGGCCCCAGCTCCCAACACTGTTGCATTGGGGATTCAGTTTTAACATAAATTTTGGAGAGGACAAAGACATTCAAACCATAGCACATTCATAGCAGTGTCATATGGGCAAAGAACCAAAGAAGGTGAAGGAGGAAGCCATGTCAAATATCTGGAAGAGGATTGTTCTAGACAGAGTACAGTGAATGCAAAGGACGTGAGGTGAGTTCATGTCTGTGAATCCTGTGAATCATGTCTGCTATTCTAAGAATAGCAGGTAGGAAGAGAGCAGGCAGGAGAGAAGCCAGAGAAGTAGCTGGGGGCCAGATCATATTGGGTTTTATAGGAAGTTTAAGGACTCCCACTTTACTCTGAATGAGTTGGGAAGTGCATAGTTCTGGGCAGGAGATTGGCATCATCTAGCTTATGTTTTATTTGGATCACTAGAGGCTGTTACATTGGGAATATACAATAGGGGGTCAGGGAGCCAGTTGGGAGATAATGCAGTAGTCCAGATGAGAGATGATGGTGGCTTGGACCAGAATGGTTCTAGTGGTGGTAGTAAGAAGTGGATATGGGATGTATTTTATGTGAAGAATGGACAGGAATTGTCCAGGGACTTTGGTGTGAGATGTGAGAGAACTAAGTTACTGGCAGAGTGGAGTTACTGTGGATCAAGGTGAGGAAGGCTGCAGGATGAGTGAGGTTGTCAGGAGCAGTATAAGAAGAAGGAAAGAGAATTCAGTTTGGACCTCCAAAAAGACTTGTTAAGAAGGTGATTGAATATGAGTGTAGTACAGAGGAAGGATTGGGGCTGGAGATAGATATTAAGTCAAATTATGTTGATTTTTTCTGTTGACTAATGGAAAAATGTAATTTCAATTATCCTTTTATTTGTATAACTGTGGTTTTAATAGAAAAGTATATTGGAAAATAAGTCTGTGGTTTATGAGCGATAATGTAATACTTAGCTTATCACTCTGAAAGTAATGCTGTTAAGCATAATAATCACAGCAATGTGGCAGATGTTATAAAAATTTGGAATCAGATAGTTTAATGCTTGAAATAAGTAT
This sequence comes from Homo sapiens, assembly GCF_000001405.40. Classification (NCBI taxonomy): domain Eukaryota; kingdom Metazoa; phylum Chordata; class Mammalia; order Primates; family Hominidae; genus Homo; species Homo sapiens. Next base: position 95,897,589 of record NC_000013.11, on the reverse strand, counting down.
GATATTTTAGTATAAATCTTCATTCTGAGCCTGTTCAAATGTTTCCATTAGAATTGGAACATATGAAAAGTTAAAATTGTTTATAAATGATCAACAACTAGGGTACAATGATGATCACACAGTTTCTTAAAAACACTGAATAATTTAAAATTGACATATTTAATATTAATGCCACAAATAATGCCATTGTTATAATAATATTTATTTGTATTACACTACATATTCACAGTTTGCTGAAAGACATGGGGTAGCAGGGAGTAGGGAACAAAAGCAGGGTCTTTTTTTTGTTTTATAGTCAGATCTGGATTCAAATTCCAGTTGCACCATTAATTACATTACACTGTGAGACCTGATTTCTTCATTTGGACAATGAGAATGATAATAATCTGTCTTACAGGATTGTTGGGGTGATTAAATATGCTCCTATATTTAAAGCACATAGAAGGAACCCAAACACAGAGTAAATTTTCAGTAAATATTAACTGCTATTTTCTCTCAATATTTGAAGGGCATCATGAAAAATAATGGGCATTTGTAGACTTAATTTGTGTTACACTAGCTAAAAGTTAGCATAAAATCAAAACTAGTTGATCAAACTTCTGTGAGTAGAGAGACATTTTTAGCTCAGTATGTGGATGAAAATCTGACAGAGTTTTCTGCAATTTTCATGACCTGTCAAATGAAGTAATGCATTTCTGTTACAGCAATTATTCTATGTAACTGAAAAATCACATTTCTCAAATGTTATGAAGAAGATTTAAGCAACATAATTTTCAAGTTTATTGTTCTTTTACCCAACTTGGACATTATGTGATTTTATGCTATTTAAGTTACTTTATTCCACAAATTTTCAGCTTTAAATAGAACCAAGACACAGAAACATTAGGTTTCTCCTGTTTGATGCTGTGCTTAATGTAAGCAAAATACAGCCAGTTTTCTGGTAAATTTAATCAGTAAAGATAGCCAATGTAGTTAACCCCTTAAAACAATACTTTTAAGATTTTATTTCCTTATTCTAATGTTACTAACAAAACTGCCCCTGTCGCTAGAGGTAGTATAGATAAGATTCAACTGTTTTCCAAGACTGCTGATTCATTGTTCAGAAATGTAACATTGAATGTGCTTTCAAAGTTGCTTTAAAAATTATATCACGTCTTAAGACAATGAAATGTTTATATGAGTACTTTTAGTATTATAGTGCCCATTTTTGTGTTTTTAAGAGCCCGTGTTTTATATTTAAGGTGAAACATGATATTTATTTAGTTGAGATGCCAAAATCCCAGTTAGTCACCTTTGATATGAGAAAATGGGATAGAAAGATTCAAGAACTATGCTTCAGTAATTTTTAGAAAAGATGAACTGTAGGAGCAGGTGAAGGGGAAGTGAGAAAATCTGGCTACAGCCATTACATTCTGGTCTTTTTACCAAGAAAAAAATAATCTGGTTGACGTGTTTTCTGATTATCATTAAATATAATTGTTTTGTACATAGGATTATGTCAGTCTACAGTAGGGTTTTGTGTACGTGGTGTTAGAATGATTGTTATGTACTAATTTCCTCAGAAAGTGCTCATGGTAGTAGAGTCAGTAGTGGTTGTGATGGGAGAGCCATTCTGAGAAATTAGGTATGTGGCAATTTGGCAGCTTCTAACTTTGTAGTTACTGGTTTAAAGTTAATATAGGTGACCTTGCTAGGCTCCTAACCATTTATACAGTATCAGTTAAAAGAAGACTGGTTGGTATTATTATAGTAAGTATGTGATTTTTATGTGATTTTTCTCTTGGGTTTTGCTATTTTATGGCTTTCTTATAAAGTAATTCATGTCTATATAGTGTAGAGTACAATTTATAGATGAAGGTGAAAGAAAATTGAAATTAAAAGATTTTTAAAAATATAGACCATTGCTTTCAAAATTGAATTCAGATTGAAATGGTATTTGGAAGCATCATGATTTATGTTTCAAATCACGATTTATGATTTATGTTTCAAATCATGATTTATGATTTATGTTTCAAAGTAAAACTTTCTAATGGAAATAATTTGCTAATTTTTTATATTGTCACTTTGATTTTGGTGTTTATACAAATGTTATTTGTAATATCAAAGTGAGAAAGTATATCTTGTTTCCTAGCGTATTTAGTAAATGGCAGGATTAATAGCTACCATATCTTTAATCTCTAATTCATTTTTGCTTAATAAAGAAATATCTATTTGATGAGGAAATGTTTTTCCTAAACTGATATCTTCTAGAAGATATATGATAATATAACTGTTTTTATTTTAAGTTCTTAGGACCTTTAGATGAAGATTTTTATGCAGAAGATTTTTACTTGTTGGAAAAGATAACATTTAGTAATTTAGGAGAGAAAATTAAAGGCATTGTTGAAAATATGGGAATCAACGCAAATAAGTGAGTATATAAGTTCTAAGAGCAATTCATTTTGGGTTTGGTATTTTGAGTCTAATGTTTTTAAGATTAGAAAATGTTTCAAATATATAGACAAGTAAAGGTATAATAAAAGACATATATAAAGAATATAAGCAAATAATAAAAGGCATCCATTTACTCACCATCACAAAACTGTAGATGTTAATGTTTTCTTTGCCTTGGCTCTGTCTTTCTCCTTGTTTCTTACCCATCCACCCCAGTCTCCTCCCTCCCCAAGAGGTAACCATTTTCCTATAGATTGTATGCATGGTTCCCATATTTGTCTTTTTGCTTCATGTGTAAATATCCATTATTGGTGTTTATTGTGTTGAAGGCTGTGACTGTTTTAGAGAAATGCTATTATACGTAGGTCTCCCTTTGCAGTCTACTTTGGTAGATTTAACCATGTTCAGATATATAAAACCTTTCTTGAAGCATTAATTGTAACATGAAATATGGAACTCTTTCCAAAAAACTCATACACTGTTTGTCTTGTTTATCTAGCATGAGTGACTTTATTATGAAAGTTGATGCCCTTATGTCCTCTGTGCCTAAGCGTGCATCTCGATATGATGTCACATTTCTTAGGGAGAATCACAGGTAAGAATGTATTCGTATTTGTTTGTGATTTTTCTGTTAATGCATGCAATTATTTCCATTTGTTTTCATAACATGGTAAAATTTAAGGTAGAATTAAAAGTTATTTATTAGGGAATAAATGTATTTGACAGTATTAGGAAGATAAATTCCAGTTAGTTATATATTCTAGTAAATAAAGGGTAATATATATGGAGAGAGAGTGTACGAAATTTCAAGTAAGTTAAACATGTTATAATTTGTCATATTTTTAATATCTTTCATACTTAAGATCATTTGTAATTTTTGCAGTATCTCAAGATAGTCATAAATAATATTATCTTTATATTTTCAATGTGTAAAGTGACTGAAGAGTTCTGATTAATCAAATGTAGGGTGGCCTCTGTCACAAAGCTAAACACACATGCATGCGCGAGAGTTCAAAGGAGTGAAGAGAGGGTCAAGGCAAAGCTGAACTGTTGTAGGCCCGGCTGCTGCCTCAGGCCAGCAAGGTGAATCAGCAGATCAGCAGCAAGTGTGTGAGCTGCAAAATTGCTGCTGCTGCCTCTCTGTTCTCTAGATCTCCTGAGAATCTCTGTTGTTGCCCGCCCAAGCAAGAAACATTCTGGAAAATATGATTTAGCCTGGTCAAGTTGACACATTATAAAGCTGCTGCGTGGACCAAGGGTCCAAGGATTTACTCTGTCAGGCTCCTGTGGTAGGATGGAAATAAAAGGCTGTTTAATCACTATCATATGTGATTTCTATGCCCATATTCTCTATGAGAGTGCCTCGTTAATTGTAAAAGTAGCTAAACTGCTTTTTAAAAAAATACTACTGAAGATTCCCTGAGCTCACTCAAGTGTCTTACAGTTATCACCTTTAGTAATTTTCTCTAGAAATACCATTTTTTGTCTGTCAAAGAGCATTCTTTCCTATCAAGGGAGATAATAATATAAATACGGTTAAATTTATATGTAAATTTCTACATTAAAGTCACACTCTGTTATTGAATTTTAGAAAATGTCAGTGAACCTTTGGAAATTGATAATTAGGATAATACAGTATGCCACAGTGATGGGCAAATACTTCAGGTCACTTTACATTTGAATTTATGAATTATCAGTATTACTTCCATAGTTATATCTGTATATTTCATGAGCATATGCATTTACTTCTAAAATCACATAAAAATATTTATTCACAGCTTTTTAGAGAGATGTGTGTGTATACATGTATATATATATTTAAACACAGTATTATATCTTTGCCATTCTGCTTCTATGTCTATAGGGAGTCATTTTATAATTAAATATGTTAAAACACTTGTTATAAATCCGTTATTTCTGTATTGATATGTTTGATCTTAATTCCAACTTTTAAAATTTAAATTGGCTTATAAGAAAATTTAAATTTGACAGGGTAACTTAAATTAGAAGGTTTGCAAAAGGAGAAAGAGTAGGAGTATATTGAAATCTGGAATAAAGTGAAAAATGAGAAAAAACAATTATATTTTTTCCCCAGCCCTGAAAGATCTCTATATTAGCCTATTCCCTTCCATTTAGACTCTGTGGATTTGACATTCTTCTAACATCTTAGACAAAGGCAAAAATAGCAATCCTAACTACTCACCCCATCATCCCAGGAACTTACAACATTGAATGTAAGTTGTGTGAGAAACTATGAGGTCTTGAAGGAAGCCTTGCAGGCTGCGGCAATAATGACCCTCCTGTCATGAGCATACCATGAATTTGGCTCTAAGTTTTCCAGTTTATACAGTTCCCAAGTTCATGAGAGGAAAACAAACTAGATGTTCAGATGAAGTGTAATTATTCTTAGAAGAGGGAAGACAGAGGAATTTCTCCCGGGAGCCTTTATAAAGAGGATGCTATATAATGAACAGTGTTTTCAATATTCTTAAAATAGATTACTTGACCTATTTTATAGATAGGTTAACAGTATCATAACAAAATTCAACTCAGAGTTTTCTATTGCAACGGCCTGTTTGAAATGTGTTCAATATATCTGTAAGAGTTGATTAACTGTGTATACCTAAGCAGTTCTTCACCCTTTTTTTTCTGACATGGACTTTAATAATTAATTAACTGTCACTGTGCTTGACAGTATTCTTCTGGCTAATGACATGAAGTGTATCAATAGTTTTTTGGCAATTGAGTACAAATCTGTTACCTTAAATAGGTGGTAGTTAGCATCTTGTTGTTAATATTGCATGAGAAATAGGATGTTCTGTTCTATTCTTGGGTTAGTCAGTGTACTATCTACTAGTGGGCTCAGGATTCTACTCAGAACTGTCTTGTACATGTATAATCAGATGGTGGGGACTATGGAATTCTGCTTCATACAACTTCATAGAATTAGCAGTCTGGGAGAAAAAAGCAGCAGTAAACAGGTGCATGCTGAAACCATAATTACATCTCATACAGCATACATAAAATGACCAGTTTTGAGTGGTGTTACAAAGTAGGGTAGTAATTTGTAAAGTGTTCACCAAGGTAACTACAGGAAGCAACAATTGTCAAGAGTCACTTTAATAGCAGAACGTCTGATTTGTGGCTCTTAGGTCTAGCAATAATTATCCATTAAGGTCTGTTGTCTGACTATGCCCCTCTTATTTTAAGATAATTAAATCGTCAACTGCCTAGAAAATAAAATGTCTTGCAGTTTTCTATTTAGATGACCCATATTTGAAGTAAGTGTTTATATTAGCTTTTTAAAAATTGCTGAGCAATTAATCCCCTCACTGCAGAAGCCTTTTCCTACCAAAGAAACTAATATTCCTGTAACTACACATGTACCTCTTGATTTGGTAACCTTTTTCCTTTGTAATATGTAAAATGTATAATTAATTCATCCTACATCTGAGAAAAATATTTCCTACATGATTATAGTGTTAAAACAGTAATTCAGTAACATATTCTCTGCTTTTAATCAAATATACATGATTAACTTTTAATTATATTAAATGTAGAATTGACTGTCTCCCTCTGGCCTGTTCTGTACTTTTAATCATTTTCTCATTTCCCTTTAAAAAACTAGTCCATCTTCTAATTTAGAACTTTTATCGGTGAAAGATAAAAACGGATAGGACAGAGGGAATGAGGTGAGGAGAGGAAGACTGGGATCAAAATAAAGTATGATTAATTTGGATATTTTTGTTCCTGAACTTACCTGTTATAGTATATTGATTTTTTGAAATACTAAATTTAATAAAGTATGAATAGTTAATTTTATTCTCAAATCTAAAGAAATATATTCCACTAACACAAAAGCATCTTAGCTTTATTTTTTAAATTGTACAATCCATGAGAATGTTGAGGGCCTAAAATTATCAGAGTTTTTACACTAATGGGATCATTCTTTGAAAGGCTTTTAAAAAATCATTTCATTCATAAAACCTTACTTCATTTTCTCTCATTCTTTTCAGTTTTGTAATTTGTTGAAAACAGATTTTCAGATTTGCAAGCATTGTGTGAAATAACCAGTATTTTACAATTTTAGTGAGAAAGAAAACAATTTATAAGAATTATATAGCTAAGATCATGATTAGTTGTTTGTATAAACTTAACACGTCATCTTTCATCTTATTTTCTATTTTCTTAGTGTTATAAAGACGAATCCTCAAGAGAATGATATGTTCTTCAATGTCATTGCTATTGTTGATCCATTAACAAGAGAAGCACAGAAAATGGCACAGTTGTTGGTTGTAAGATAATATAAATTAGACTAAATGTTTTTGTTTTTAAATTCATAATTTTTTCAAGTCTGTTTTCAAATATAATCAGCTGTTTATGCTCTTGATCCTTCACCATTTTAATAGAGTGTCATATTTCAATGTAGAAAATGAAATGATGGAGCTGTGCACAGGGTGTTGTTATGACTGTGCTGAGGTTAGGTGTTGCTGTGAACTGCATTGTATTCCCCACAAAATTCATATTTCAACACATGAAATAGGTCTCAGTGAACTTTAAGCCCTAACTCCCAATGTGACTCTCTCTGGAGATAGGGCTTTAAGGGGATCATTAAGGTTAAATGAGGTTATATGGGTGAGACCCTGATCCAATAGGATTGGTGGCCTTAAAAGATGAACAGAGGGAGACTTCACAAAGAAGAGGTTATTTGAGCACACAGTGACATGTTAGCCCCGTGCAAACTAGAAAGAGAGCTCTCTCCAGAAACCAAATCAGCTGGCATCTTGATCTTGGAATTCCCAGCCTCCAGAACTATGAGAAAATAAATTTCTATTGTTTAAACCACTCCATCTGTGGTGTTTTGTTATATTAGCCTGAGAAGACTAATACAGGTGTCTTTCATATGTTGTGAAGTGTGGCTTTTGGAGAAGCTGAAGCTTAAGCTTAATTGGATAAAACTTAAAGTGTAATAAATAATAAATAATGTTAGCCAAACAAGTGAAGCCGAGGAAAGGGGAAACATGGAGTTTGTATTCTATAGGTTTGGCCGCTATAACAAAGGCCAAAATAACACTACTTTCAAGACTGAAGTTTCTTTCTTTCATCTCCTGGTCTAAGTGTAGGCTGCCTTGGGGTTGCTAAGGCAGCTACACAGTGTGAGGGACTCAGGCACTGCCTGTGTCATTGTTGAGCTGTCACGAAGCACCTAAGATCACCAGTCAGGCCCTAACATCATCTCTGCACTTCTGCCAGGAGGAAGGGGAGAATAAGAGCACAGCCCCAAAGTTAGATGTATGCTGTCCTATCACTTCTCACTGACCAGAATGTCCGCAGGCTGGCTACACTGAATGACAAGGGAGGCTGGAAACTATGCCCACAAGTCCTGCATTAACCTGGAAATTCTTTCCCTGTGAAAGAGGAAAATGAATGCGAAGAGACAGATATCAGTCTCCAAAAGGACTTATGTGGCTTACCATTTTACTTAGAATGTCAAACATTCAAATTAGAATGCAGCCTTCAGTAGTTAAATTTGAATAAGCTAGTCCCATTAGAAGGCTGTATGTTTTGCTACTGATATCGAAAATTTTACAAACTATTTGTCCTTTGGTAGTCAACTTCACTTTTGAAACAGGCAAAAGTAATTAGATATTGAGTCTGGTGAAAATGTAAGTGATCAAGCCATATGATTCGCTGTATATCAAAATTTCAAAATGCAATTTTTTTTAGAATTTAGTGCGCACTGCCAAATCTCATTGGAAAATGAGATTTTATTAGTGGAGACAAATAATTTTGGAAAGACTTTGTCATTCTAGCTGTTCAGTTTATGAAACGAGTAGGACAAACCATAGCTGATTTACCTACTTGTTCTTTTAGCATTGGTTATACCTTCAAATTTATATGTCTTGAGATACACTATTCAGATTATTCTTTAGAAAGCAATCATATCTGAAAGGAGTGGAGCTAGTATGATGCTTTTTAGTATGCAAAATCCCTATTCCTATGAAGAGTCATTATTCAAAAAACACTACTTAAATTTGTAAGTTTTTTATATAAAAGTAGAATTTAGGAGTAAGAAATACGGAATTAGCCAAAGCAGGAAGATCACTTGAGAAATTCAAGACCAGCCTGGGCAACATAGCAAGACCCTGTCTCTAAAAAAATAAAAAATAAATTAGTCAAACATGATGCTGCATACTTCTAGTCATAGTTACTACTCAGGAGGCTGAGGTGGGAGAATTGGTTGAGCCCAGGAATTTGAAGTTAACAGTGACCTATGATCACACCACTGCAGTCTAGCCTTGGCAACAGAGCAGGACTATGTCTCTTAAAAAAAAAAAAGGAATTATACAGAGATATAAAATATGGAATTGCATTCCAGTTTCCATCATTGGTAATAATAGCATACTTTATTTCTTACTTTATAAAAGGATAATTTATTGGAAGAAATGGATAGTTTCTCATCTAACACTTGAGAAAAACAGTGGTTCAGTGACCTCCAGAGTAGCAGATATGATGAGTGATAGAATAAGAATTGAAAGTCAAATCTCTTAAATCCTTAGTCTTTATGTTCTAATTTCTCATCAAGCCTGTATCCTTTCTATTACATATATCTGTTTCGTTACTTCTCCCTTTACCTATATCATTTGTTATCTAACAGCTTTAGAATCTTCACTGACATGTTGCCTATGTGGAGATGGGGACTATCAAAATTAGTAATTCTTCCTCTACTTCTTACTATCCAGGGAAATGAAAAGAAAGTATTTATTCGTAGGTAGCCAAGAACTTCCAAATCCCAAAAGAATCAGGACACCACCAACGTTGTTGTAAGGTCACCACTTTGTATTTGCAGATCAAGGTTCTAGTAATTATTTTCCTTGTTCTTCAATACTAAGGAAATTTAGATACTATGAAAAAAAGTCACTTTAGGCAAAGGGCAAGCAGCATAACCCTGGGACATTGAAATCAACTGTTTGGATTAAAATCTTGCCTGTGCTGTGAGTTTCTGTGTGACCTTAATCTCTCTGTACCTAAACTGCAAAAGTACTATTTCAGCAGGGCGTTGTAAGGATCAAGTGAGATAATGAACATAAAGTTTTAATATAGTACCTGGTACATAGTAAATACATAATAAATATTAGCTATTAATATTATTTAATATCAAACATGGGAATTTCTTTCCAATAGGTACTTGGCAAGATTATCAACATGAAGATAAAGTTGTTCATGAACTGTAGGGGCAGGCTTTCAGAAGCCCCTTTAGAAAGGTAAATCTGAGTGAACAAAATTTCATTTTGAAAAATTTGTAAATGCTGAGAAGAAAAAAACAATCATTGTTACTGGACCTGGTTTTTTCTTTTCTTCACAAGATGCTTCAAAGAAATAAGTCAGAAGGTCAGACTATTTACTAACCTTAACTGACTTAAAATTGATATAAAAATTAAAATAACCTAACTCAGCAAAGTGATCTGACCTAATTACAGAATTTACATGGATTTATATTTATTCATAGGTATTTTTGGAAATGTGATTTAGGAATACCTATTTAGATATACATCAATGGGAAATAAGGTGGAATTAAACCATTTTTGGTTTAGCAGAATTACCAAAATGATCTTTATTATATCATCACATTTACTATTTGGGGGCATTAGGATAAAATTAGCTTAGAATAACCTGCCAGAGATATAAAAAAGTGTTGTTTATAATTATATACAAATATTCCTCATTAACACTCTTCTGTTGAAATAACATTCTCTCTCAAGAGGGGACAAAAATATACCCTTTCTCTTCTTTGTGGATCAGAATCACTGTCATTCATTATGAGCCATTCTTATTGATGGGAATATTCAGTTCTCCTTCATGTGTCATTGGGCAGAAAACAGGGTATGTACCATTGCACTAGTATAGCTTTTTAAGACTTTTTAATGTGCTCATCTCTGTATTATTTAATGATGTAATTCTAAACAAAAAATGTATGCATACACACACAAGACAGGTAGCATTCTGTTCATTCCTTGTTTACTTTTCAAATTGTATTTGTTACAACTGACATACTATAGATGTTGCCTTGAGCAGAACTTTTTTTTATTTTTATTTTTATTTTTTTTGGAGACAGGTTCTCACTCCCATTGTCCAGGCTGGGGCACCATCACAGTTCACTGTAGCCTCGACTTCTCAGGCTCAGGTGATTTTCCCACCTCAGCCTCCTGAGTAACTGGGACTACAGGTACGTGCCACCACGCACAGTTTTTTTGTTTTGTTTTGTTTTGTATTTTTGTAGAGACGGGGTCTTGCCATGTTCTCCAGGCTGGTTTTGAACTCCTGGCCTCAAGAGATACACCTGCCTTGCTCTCTCAAAGTGCTGGGATTATAGGCATGAGCCACTGTGCCCAGCCAGAGCAGGCATTTTAAACCTAAGTATTTTTAATAGTTGGAAAGCAATAAAATGGAAAATGTGGGAAATTTAAGTGAAAGTTTAGGACTTATTCATTGTCCCTCAAGACTCTTGTCCATATATCTCATTGAGTTTTTATGCTTCTCATTTATCTTTTGTATTTTAAATTTTATCACATGCCTTTTTACATCTGAACAAAAACTTTAAATTTTTTAGCTACTAATTGAAAGGTTTGTTAGTTCCATAAGTACAGAATTTTTATTCACAGGAGTAGGGGTCCTCTCTGTAAAACATCACATTATGTAATAAAGAATAGGATTACTGAACATATAAGCAAGCATAATCTACTGGGAGGGAAAGAATTGACTTTTCTAAATGAAATAATGTACTAGAGTATACAGTTATTTTTTTAACTAGTAGTTCAACAGAATCTTATTAACTCAGTAGCATATATCAAGCAACCTAGCATACACATTTATTCCCAGCCCTTTCCTTTTAGTAAATTTATTCTTCTCAGAGATGAGACAGGTTAAGGGCAGGAATCCCCTCAGCTTCTTACTCTTAACTGCTATACTTCCTCAGCCTTCCTGTATTGTAGGGAAGGAATGAGGCATCTTTCTTCTTTTTTAGTTAAACATTCCCACTCTGTTTTGATCTCATGCTTTCCTGTTTGTTCTGGATCCTTGCTATATCACATATTCTCTCTTGTGGATCTTTAATCTCTATACTAGCTTTTTTCATTCAGTCCTTAAAGTTATTCAATTTTTTTAAAAGTTGCTCCCTTAACTTTCTCTCCTCTAGAGTCTTTTTTTTCCCTCTTCTTCATTCCTTCTTAACTAAATTTCTTCAAAGAATGGTCAGACTCTGTCTTCATATCTCATTCACTGTACCTTCCACTGCAGTTTCTCTTTAACTTTCTCTTTGCCACTGAAATTGTATTTACCAAATCACAAAGAAATTGCTACTCACTACATTCAGAGAATACTTTTTCTTTGATATTTCCACTGCAGCAAGAATTTGTTTTGAACATTTACTTCATGACTGTATTCTCTCCTGTTTCTCCTCTTTTTATTTTCTTTGTCTATCTGCATAACATGGCTCCCAGTGATCACCACTGCCTGGGACTCACACTCTGAAAGTTCTCCTGGAGTGAGAGCTAGACCTAGTGATTTGGCTCTCATAAAACAAAATATGGCTAAAGTGATGGAATTTCCCTTCTGCAATTAGGTTATGAAAGACTGTGACTTTTGTCTTGCTGACATTCTCTCTCTGTGGCTCTTCTGTGTGCTTCTCTTTTGAAGCATATTGGAGATGCCTTTTTGGGAAGTAACTGCAAGCAGTCTGCAGACAACTACCAGCAAGGAACTGCGGTCCTCATTCAGACAGCCCTTGGGGAACTAGAAGAACCTGGAAGTAGATCCTACCCTTGTTGAGCCTTGAGAGAACTACAGCACAGCTGACACCTTGACTGCAGTCTCAAAATAGTAAAAGCCACTAGCCTTGATAGCATAACATAATAATTCTGTGCACAATATTGAAGGATGAGGTTAAAATACAGCAAAACTGAAGTTAAGTCTAAAAGTGCTATTAAGCAGTTGCTTTCAACTTAATCCTATTTGTTTTTAGTTGAGCTTTTAAAAGTGGTACTAGAATTTCAGCTTGAATTTCATTTGTTTCCTACCATTTCTCTTCATATTATTAGTGGTGGTAAAAGTTAATAAAATAGCTGAAAAATAGACCATGGTCAGATTTGAAGGAGGATGCATACAAATCATAATACAATAACAGATCATAAACTCCTAGAACCTGCATAAGTCAGGTATATCTTAAAGGGATTCTAATCATGTTCATTAAGGAATAGTTAACAATGGTAGATAATATACATAGACTTAGATAGTAGTGTCAACAAATAATGATTGTCTATTTCTCATAAGCATTAACTTTTCTGCAGTATAATGCATCTTAGTCTTTTTGATTGTAGACTTCTGGTCAGATCATTAAGCAATTTTCAATTTTGAAAATATTTTAAAAGAAAAATCTCAGTTTTGGTCACATTATGTATTTTTATGTTTTATTAACAGCTTTTACCGTTTTGTTCTGGAACCAGAACTGATGTCAGGGGCTAATGACGTTTCTTCTCTTGGACCAGTGGCAAAATTTTTGGATATTCCTGAATCACCCCTCCTAATCCTCAACATGATTACTCCAGAAGGCTGGTTGGTTGAAACAGTGCACAGCAACTGTGACCTTGATAATATTCACTTAAAGGATGTAAGTTATTGTGTATAGTCATATAAAGAGAGAGAAACAGGATAAATTCTTATCAGCTATTACAATTGTAGCAAGTGAGCAATCATACTATGAATGTTTACCAGAATATTCTTTTTTATGATTCTAGGTCCTGATCCAATCTTTCCTTTGATTTTTAAGTTTTTCTAATTTCCAAACTCAGCTTCTCTAGTCTTCCAAGTTCCTAGGTGTCTTTACATTTTTTCTTTCTTTCTTTTTGCCTGAGACTACTAGCTTGCAAAGACATTTCTCTAAGATGAGCAGTGTCAAAAATATAGAGAGGAACACCTGGCAACTTAGTACAACACCATTAAGTACTTATTTTGCTCTTCAAGTTTAGTTTTTAACTCAGCAAATTTCACCCAAAATTGTTTTGTTGTTGTTGGTTTTTTTTTTTTTTTTTTTTTGGCCTCACAGCTCATAGCCAGAGAAAGTAGTCCTAACTAAATTAGGGTAGAAAGTAGGAAACAAAATTTGCGGTATACTACAGGCCAGGTATACCTGCTTCTCATCACCCCCGGTATGACCCTTGTCTAGTGAGTAGTCAGACTTCTCTTCCTCAGCTGTTGTAATTCACAGCACAGAAAGAAAGTATTAAACTGAGTCTTTTAAACGTTGAATCTAGAATGAGAAAAGGAATTCAGAAACCACAAAAAAGGGAAGCGTTTTGGAAGAATTTAAGATACGTGTGGTAGTCTGTTTTCACACTGCTATAAAGAACTGTCTGAGACTGGCTAATTTAAATGGAAAAGAGGCTTAATTAACTCACAGTTTCGCATGGCTAGGGAGGCCTCCAGAAGCAATCATGGCATCACGGTGGAAGGGGAAGCCAGGCACATCTCACATGACAGCAGGAGTGTGAGGGGAGTGCCACACACTTTAACACCATCAGACCTCATGAGTATTCACTACCATGAGAACAGCAAGGGGGAAATCTGCCCCCATGATCCAATCACCTCCCACCAGGCCCCTCCCCTGACGTGGGGATTACAATTAGACATGAGATTTGGGTGGGTACACAGAGCCAAACCATATCACTTGGTATCCAGAAAATGAGGAAAAAATACTTCCTTCTCCTTATTGTCCTTACTTCCTTCTCCTTATTGTCCTCCCTCTGACCTATTTCCAGCTCTTTGTGTCTGATACCTCCTGTAGAATATAGCCATTGCCTTGACTGAAGCATAAACATTTACCTGTAATAATTTGGTTAAGATTGTTTATAATGTTTATTTCTCATGCTTCTTATGCATTATCTTTTGCCTAAAGATTTTCCTTCTAGGAAAGTTTATTTTGATCGGCTCGTATGTGGATTCTGTGGGATCCTAAATCACTTTTCTGTAACATACTCCCCATCACTCCCAACTGGACCCACCTCAAAAAAGAACCTAAAACTCAGTCATAACCATCTTCTAATATCAGTCCTTCAAATTTAGAGAAAAGGCAGCAAACTAATAGCATTAATGAGAAAAACTTAACAAATGAATCTTATAAGAAGTGAAAAAAAAAATCGCTGTTTTTTCCATGATCAGTCAGATCTCTTAATAGAGTCTGGAATTCTTCATGAAGAGAGTGCGGCAATATACTCAATAAGGTAACTTTTAAACATGCTATCCAAAACTGTGAAGTGTTTGTAGTGGGAGAAATTAGTACAGCTTAAGAAAGATTTTAAATTGAATCTGCTGGTGAAAATTTCAGCAGCTATTCAACAGCTGATGGAGATTAACTAAAACTTTTTTTTGTAGTGAGTGTCAAATCTAATAGCGTCTTTTTAGAAGTTGTTCGGATGAACACTAGCTCTAACTCTGAAGTTAGAAGACTAGGATGAAGGAAAATTTCCTGTGTCTTCATAGTTTAGGTGAATAAACAAAAGGAGATTATAAATTCTAGCATCTGTAAAAGTTAACTACCCCTCAGGCTCATCTTTTTCATTGTGTGCTATACAAACTTAAAATATTCTGCAACCATCCTGGAAAAATAACAAAGGCATTTGGTATAGTAGAAAGGATTTTTAGATAAAGGGGAAAAGTACATACACTCTGGCAAAAATGAGATAACAATGAGAGATTTACCACCATATACTAACTTGTACAAATATTCCTGGTTACACCTAATTCCCAAACACTGTACAAACACCTGGAAGAAACTTGATCTGGGAAAATTCTCCCTTGGCAGGACTTTGTTCACATGATTGTCACTACATTGACATTATTGCACAACCAGCATTAATTTCATAATTAAAGGTGACAAAAATGATTAAGAAAGCTAGGCCGGGCATGGTGGCTCACGCCTGTAATCCCAGCACTTTGGCAGGCCAACGTGGGTGGATCATGAGGTCAGGAGTTTGAGGCCAGCCTGACCAACATGGTGAAACCTCCATCTCTACTAAAAATAGAAAAATTAGCCGGGCATGGTGACACGTGCCTGTAATACCAGCTACTCAGGAGGCTGAGGCAGGAGAATTGCTTGAATCCGGGAGGTAGAGGTTGCAGTGAGCCAAGACTGTGCCATGGCACTCCATCCTGGGTGACGGAGCGAGATTCTGTCTAAAAAAAAAAAAAAGCTAAAAGTGAGACAGTTACTTTTACCTGGAGTTCAGATGTGTTGCTCTTCTCAGTGCTTATTGTTAGAACTGCATCAAAAGACTCTCTAATTATATTTCATCACAGCATATATATGAAAGATGTCAAAATACCTGGAATAACAATGGTGGTTACACCATTTTCACACTGTTCCAGGTATTGCCATAAAAGGCAAGAGAAGATGCAATAAATAAAAGATTGCTAACAGGAATAGGATGTGGCTCTGTTAAAGTGAATTCACAGAAAAATGCATTAATCCCTCTGAAACATAAATAATTTTGATATCAGTTTTATTTATTGATATATTCATTACAAATATAATTGTGAAAGAATTTGTTTGATTGCCAGAGGTATGCTATAGATCCTAAATAATACTGTATTATGAATTAGATGAACACTGTTCATCTTAGGCTCAGTTTATTCTCTCAGTGCATAATATATGAAATTTATGTCTCAAACCATCAAACACTTACAAAATTTGGGAAAAGGTCACATTTGCAGCGAAGAGTTCTGTCTCTTCTGCAAAACTTAGAAATTTAAACAAAACCTTAACAAACTTGAAAATTTATATATCAGAAGACTTGTACTTTAGAAGTCTCCCTTAATCCACAAGGGATTTGTTCTAAGATACCCCCACCCACTCAGTGGATACCTGAAACCATACATAGTACCTAACCTTTTATACATTGTTTTGTTTTGTTTTGACATGGAGTCTTGCTCTGTTGCCCAGACTGGAGTGCAGTGGCGTGATCTCGGCTCATTGCCAGCTCTGGCTCACTGCAAGCTCAGCCTCCCGGGTTCATGCCATTCTCCTGTCCCAGCCCCCCGAGTAGCTAGGACTGCAGGCGCCCGCTGCCACGCCCGGCTGATTCTTTGTATTTTTAGTAGAGACGGGGTTTCACCGTCTTAGCCAGGATGGTCTTGATCTCCTGACCTTGTGATCCACCCACCTCGGCCTCCCAAAGTGCTGGGATTACAGGCGTGAGCCACTGCACTCGGCCATGTTTTGTTTTTTTATATACATACCTACCTATGATAAGAGTTAATTCATAAATTAATTAAGCACAGTAGAGATTAACCTTAGTAACTAATAATAAATAGAACAATTATAAAAGTAGGTCATCATCTTCTACTCTTGTGCTTTGGGGTCACTAAGTGACATAAGGGTTCCTTGAACACAAGCACTGTCATGCGAGATTTTATTACAATACTCAGAACAGTGCACAGTTTAAAACTTATGAATTGTTTATTTCTGGAATTTTCCACTTATTTTTGGACCATGGTTGACTGAGGATAACAAACTGTACAAAGAGAAACCACAGATAAAGGAAGACTACACTACCTTATGTGCCTCAAACCACCAAATTATCTAAAACTAATTCCTTTAACTTTTTCTTGGATTTTTGCCCAGAGTCCTGAATAGTTTCTTAAAGTTCAGATTGCACTAAAGTCTTTAAGTTCAGCCTTCACCTGCCTTGAGATAAGATGCAAGAAAAAGATGTACTATCATTTATCCATCTCCACTATCAGATAGCTTGTCAGAGTTTAGATTACAGATCAAGATATGTGTTATAGCTTTGCTATTAATAACTTGGGAAAATGTGTCTGCAGTTACACAAAATCACATTCAATAGCAACAAAAATACTAGATTAACATATTTACAGACAATTGTTAACAAACCCAAATGTTGATCTTTATAATTAAACTTAGCCTTTTCTTAAAGGAAGACACTTAGCTATTCAGCCACAGAAGAACAGTACAATTAATATCCTATTAGAAAAATTAATATGTTCCATGGACACAGGGAAAGGAACATCACACACCCGGGGCCTGTCACGGGGCCAGAGGGCTAGGGGAAGGGATAGCATTAGGAGAAATACCTAATGTAGATGGCAGGTTGATGGGTACAGCAAACCACCACGGCATGTGTGTACCTATGTAACAAACCTGCTCATTCTGCACATGTACCCCAGAATTTAAAGTATAATAAAAAAAAATTAATACATTCTCAAGGTTATATTTGAAAGGTATTAAATTTATGTCTGGTATCAACAATTAATATTTAAAACAGAAAATAAAAATATAAAGGGAAGATGGAAACATAAGCATCAAAAAAGATCACTAACTTTCATATTTTTGCTAAAAATGAGCTTTGTGGCCAGGCACAGTGGCTCACACCTATAATCTAAGCACTTTGGGAGGCCAAGATGGGCGGATCACTTGAAGTCAGGAGTTTGAGGCCAGCCTGGCCCACATGGTGAAACCCCGTCTCTACTAAAAGTACAAAAAATTAGCTCAGAGTGGTGGCCTATGCCTGTAATCCTAGCTACTCGGGAGACTGAGGTGGGAGAATCGCTTAAGCCCGGGAGGCGGATGTTGCAGTGAGCCGAGATCGTGCCACTGTACTCCAGCCTGGGCAACAGAGTGAGACCCTGTCTCAAACAAACAAACAAATAAATAAATAAATGAGCTTTGAAAATAGGAACTAATTTAACTTAAATCACCTCTATGAAAACTTAAAATATTCACTAGAAAGAACTCTTTGGAAAAGGAATTGGCTATGTTTGTATGTTGTGGTTTGAATAAGTCAACAGAATTGAAGTCTGTTATATAAATATATAGGAACAAGAGAAATTTTCACATTAATATAAATTAAGAAGATACTGTTATTCACAAACTGGGTAAGTGTATTTAGACTCTTCCCTAGTATCTAATTCATAATAAAATAATTAAGCTTTACTTTACAGTCACTTTGGTGTATTGCTTCCTTGTCTGTAAAGTGAGGGTGTTGAACTACATGATCTCTACAATCTTTTTCTAATTTTTAACATTCTCATATTATTCTGAGACTATCCCATGAAAATCTTTCCAGTCAAGTAAATTGCTATAAAGACTCTGGATATAGGTTAATAAATTATATAAAGTTTATCGCTAGAATAGTAATTCAACAACTAATTCAGAATTCAACTAAAGTTTTTTAAATAAATACTGTCTTCAAAGAAGTTACTTATTTTTTGTTCTTAAAACCAGTAAAATAACAAGAATCAAGAAAGAAATGCTGTAAACAAATGTTGTAATTATTTCTGAGATAATTGCAGTCAAGGAAAACAACTATACAATACAGAATGTATCCAAATAGTCTATATCCTAAACACACTAAACAATAGTGTTGAAAACCTAATATGGTGAAATAAGATTAGATATAGGTAACATTGCTGTCTTTAATCTCAACAGAATTCTGTCTGTGAAAATCACTGTTTGATTTATTTTCATGTTTAGTTATGCTGTTCATATGAAGTAGAGAAAAAGCTTTATCTTGAAAATATTTATTATAACATTTGCAATAGAGAAAAATCCAGAAACAACTGGAATGTCCAGCCATTTAAAATGATATTTATAGAGACAGAGACATGTTCTTAGAAAACCATGTTTAATGAAAAGGCAGGTTACTTTCTTACAAAAAAAATTTATGAAGACAAGAAATAGAAATCAGTGTGTTGATGTTTATATCAGTGTTTATTCTGTTGAGGTGCGTTCTGTTTTTTCTTCTTTCCACTTTGGAAGTGGAAAACGAATTTTTATTTTTTAAAATTAACTTTAAAAATATATCGATCAATTTATAATTAGTTGATTATAGACATTAATTTTTTTAATTACAAGAAAGCCAATAGATAGTAAGTTAGCTTTCTTGCCAAGTCTGAAGTGGGAGCTTCAGGACAACAGCAAACTGAAGCAGATTCTTTAAGGAATTTCCCATCTAAATCTCATGTTCACGTCTTTCCTGCTTGGTTATATTGGTGCATATACCATGAGGTTCAGGTAAAGCTGATGTCATGAAAAAGAAAAAGTTTATCATAAGCTTTTTGTCTTGAAGAAATCAGTTCAACTCATGAATTCACTCATGTGTAAAATAAAGACTTAAAGTTAGCCACCAAAATACATTGGCCAATATTAAAATAATCACATTTATTTATTTCAAAATTTTGTATTATGAGTTTTACATAACACCAAAAACAATGACATACTTCCTCCACAGACTGAGAAAACTGTTACAGCAGAATATGAACTAGAATACTTACTACTGGAAGGACAATGCTTTGATAAAGTGACAGAACAGCCTCCTCGGGGTCTGCAGTTCACACTAGGCACAAAAAATAAACCTGCTGTGGTTGATACAATAGTGATGGCACATCATGTAAGTATTATTTAATTGATGGTGTTTAATTTGATGTTTTGGTGAATTCTCTGTTTTCCTAAGAGTAAAATGAAATAATCTTTATTCTGCTGTTGCTGAACAGTTTGCAGAAAACAAAATTGAATCTTTGAATAAGATAAATAAAAAATGGGGAAAATCATACTTTAATAATTTTTGACAGGTTATTGTAAAATCTCTTTACTTGGAATTGATTTATAGAATTTATTCATTCTACAGTTAATAAATACTTTCTTAGATCATTCGTGTATTCATGAGCAATTCGATGGTTTTTAGTCATATTACTCAATGATTATTTTTTTCTCATCTTAAAAGGGGTATTTTCAATTAAAAGCAAACCCAGGTGCTTGGATACTGAGGTTACACCAAGGAAAATCTGAAGATATTTATCAAATAGTTGGGTGAGTTATGCAGGCTGCTTTTAAATTTTTACACATAAATACGTTTTTAGTGTAATACAACCAAGAGAATCAAAACAACAATTAAAATGTTAAGATTGGCCTGGCGCAGTGGCTCAAGCCTGTAATCCCAACACTTTGGTAGGCCGAGGCAGGCAGATCACAAGGCCAGGAGTTCAAGACCTGCCTGGCCAACATGGCAAAACCCCATCTGTACTAAAAATACAAAAATTTGCCAGACATGGTGGCGCACACCTGTAACTTCAGCTATTCAGGAGACTGAGGCCCAAGAATTGCTTGAATCTTCGGGAGGCGGAGGTTGCAGTGAGCAGACTGCACCACTGCACTCCAGCCCAGGACAGAGAGCAAGACTCTGTCTCAAAAAAAAAAAAAAAAAAAAAAAAAAAGATGACTGAGTTAGGTCTGAACATCAGCAAGAGGGCAAAACAGGACATTCCGGTGCTCATACCCATGCAGAAACATCAATTTGAACAACTATCCACTCCACACATGAAACTACCTTAATAAAAACTAAGGAACGAGGTAAGCTGTTACAGCACTGCAGTGTAGCACAGAAATAAGAAAGACACATTGAAGAGTGTAGGATAATTTACATTACATGCATTACTCCTTCCTCAACCTGATACAGCACAGCTGGAGAGATACCCCCTTGGGGGAAGTAGAGGGAAGTGAGCAGCAGACTTTGCCTTGGACCCCAAAACCATGCTCACCCCAGTAAAACCCAAAGCCAGGTAGGCCTCACAGCCCCAACTTAATGCTGGTACCAGAAGACTGAGCTGCCAGATCCTGTAGCCCCAAGCTCCAAATCTGCCTGGTAGATTCAGTTTCCAAGCCTGTCCAACCACCAGGCCTACCCCACCACCAGGCCTACCCCAGAAGCCCCAGGCTATTGCCCAGCCTCAATGCCAGGCCAGCCCCCACAAATTCAGGCTCTTAGACTTTTCCCTGTACCAGCATAATTGATATTTTGATCATTTAATGACAATATGGTATACATTATATCTTATATAACAACACCGTTATCCCTGGGTTATATTCAATTTGGAATTGTTTTTTTGCACAAAAATTTTCCTGTTCTTCAGTGAGCCATAGTAGAAAGCAGGAGTTATCACACTTTTTTGGTAAGGAGCCAAAAGTAAGTATTTAATGTTCATTTGAGAGCACATGTGGTCTTTGTCAAAATTATTTTTTTAACAATTATTTTAAAGTGTAAAAATCATTTTTAGCTTAGGGCTATTAAAAAAATAGACCATAAACCTGATTTGGTTTACTGGCCATAGTTTGCCAACTCTTGATAAAGTCTTTTTTATACCCTTAATAAATATCTCTAGATTTCATTGCTTTCAATAAATACTTACTGAGCACCTTTTATTATACCACACGTTGTGCTCAACAAAGATAATATAGGAGTAGGGGTTACTGTATCTTTTTTTCACCACTCTTTCCCCTTTATACTGTGCCTAGCTCATAGTGTCAGTTAATAGATGTGCTTGATGGCTTATGCACACAGAGCCAGGGATGCTTAGTTCTGTGGTAGAGGTGGGTAGGAGGAAGTCAGCATTGACATTAGAGATGATATAGTACCTCAAGAAAATTGAAGAATTAATAGGAAGTTATTAGTCATACCACAGACGGAACATTCCAGGAAGAGGGTAGACATGCACATCTCCCATCTAAAACTCTTAGGGCCATATGTGTTTTAGAATTTAGAAGTTTTTCGTTTGGAAAGTTAATACAGTACACATATCATATATTATGACGTATATCCCAGCAGGATCTGAGAAAGCCCTTTATTAAACATCATTTGTATTGCAGAATGCGTTAATATTCACACTAAAAGGGTTTATGTAAATGACTGAAAAAGAGAATGAAAAGACAATCCACAGACTGGGAGAAAATCTTTGCAAAGCATATATCTGACAAAGAATTTATATACAGAATATATAAAGACTATCAGAACTCAATATTAGAACAAATAACCAGATTAAGAAAATGTGCAAAAGACTTGAACAGACACTCTACCAAAGAAGATATATGGATAAGTACAGAATGTATTTAACATTGTTAGTCATTAAGAAAATCTACATTAAAACCACGAGATATGCCACATATCTATTAAAATGACTAACTTTATAAAAAGAATGACGATATCAAGTGTTGGTGAGGATATGGAGTAACAGGAGCTGTTTTTCACTTCCATTGGGTATCTAGAATGGTACAACCACTTTTGAACAATTGGACAGTTCCTAGAAACGTTAAATTTACACTTAGGCTAGGCATGGTAGTTCACACATGTAATCCTAGCACTTTGGGAGGCCAAGGTGGGAGGACTGCTTGAGCCCAGGAGTTTGAGACCAGCCTGGGCAATATAGCAAGACCTACCTCTATGTAAAATCAAAAAAGTAGGCAGGCACAGTAGCTCACACCTGTAGTCCTAGTTACTTGGGAGGCTGAGGTGGGAGGATCAGTTGACCCCACGAGGTGGCAACTGCAGTGAGCCATGGTCATGCCACTGCACTCCAGGCTGGGCAACAGAGTGAGACCCTGTCTCAAAATAAGAAGGAGGAGGAGAAGGAAGGGGATGGGGAGGAAGGGGAGAAAAGGGGAGAAGAAGAATTTGCTTTCTGTGGTTTCAGTCGCCCATGGTTAACCACAGTCCAAAAATATTAAGTGGGAAATTCCAGAAATAAACAAATCCTACATTTTAAATTATGCACTGCTGAGTAGTGTGATGACCTCTCACACCATCCTGCTCTGTTCCACCTGGAAAATCATTCCTTTGTCAGGTGTCTGCCCATGAGTCACTTAGTAGCATTCTCAGTTATGAGATCAACTGTCATGGGATCACAGTGCTTATATTCAGGTAACCCTCGTTTTACTTAATAATGACCACAAAAGGCAAGAGTATTGTGCCTAACTTTAAATTAAACCTTATCATAGACATGTATGTATAGGAAAAACATACATTTAGGGTTCGGTACTATCCATGGTTTCATACATCCACTGGATGTCTTCGAACCTATACCCTGTGGATAAGTGGGGGTTGCTGTACTACTGCATGTCTCCTTTTATAAGTTACAAAACACTAGATAATACAAGCTATAGTGACAGAAATCACTTGGTGAGGTGGAATAAGCAGACAAAAATAAGGACAAGTATTGGAGATAAGCGGTTGAACAATGCTGTTTTGAGAACCCCCAGCCAAATTGAGTTCCAGTACTGGAGTGGCTAGTGACCTTGCCCTAATGAAGAATGAAAGGCAGCTGGATGTGAATGTTTACTGTGTGCCTTTCATGGGATACTTCGTTTACCTGGTGGATGGTCTAATTCATAGTTGTCTGACCCCAGACCCAGTTTCCCTCACACAGGAAACTTGTTTATGCTGACAGATGTCCGTGTGGCTCTTGTCTGACCCATGTCCAGTTTATGTTTGCCTGATCATCGCGGTGACACTGGGAACCCAACATTGTGTTCTCCCCAGCATCCTCGAGAAAACCTGGTCTGGGATAGTCCCTGGCTCTTCCAATGGGGGGTGCAAATTTAATACACCACCACAAAAAGAAATAAGTTCAAAGATTTATCACTTACAGATCCTGGACAGGAAGGGCTCCATCTCTAGGTCACATCAGGCAAGAATGAAGAGGAGTCAGGCAGAGAGAAAGAGAGAGCATGCATGCAACTAGCAGTATATATAAGGGAATAGAGCATGGGTCACTTTTGGTCTGTTTGAAGGGAAGGCAGGACAACAGAAGCCCAGTTTGCTAGGCAGGAAGGGTACCTCTAAGTTCTTATCTTTGGCTACCAGCTGGACCCATTTGGGTATGTTCTAATGCCTATGCAGCAACCTATGCTACCTTGCTGTGTCATTCCCATTACAAATAGACAGTTCCTACCCTCCCAAAACTCATTCCAGTAGAAAAGATAGTCAAGAAAATGAGTGACTATTATATGTTCTAAGTGCTATAAAAGAGTGCTATGGTAGTGTAGAAAATGAGCAAAATAGGCTGTAACATTTATATTGACCCTTATAAAAGCCATGGTTTCAAGATATAATTTTAAGAAGCATTCATGCTTTGTTTCAGCTTTTTAAATTTTGTGCAAACTGCTTTGCCAGGAATTCAGCATTTCTATATCTGCCACTACCGTTTCATCATTATGTTTTGCAAAGGGAAAGCCCTGTATATGAATTGTGAGGCAAATCCCTTCTGTACCACCAACTATCCGTATGATCTTGTATAAGTTTCTTTGCTATTTGTAGTCTTTATTTCCTCATTACAAAAGGGAATAATCCTACCTCCCTTGTGGGGTTTTGCTAAGGACTAAATGGGAAAATCATTGTAGAATATTGAGTAAATGCCCATTTCCTCTCCACTTATCCCTTCTTTTACAAATACAGTTATACAATAGCACATGTATTATGTAAAACTAAAACTATACATGATTTAGATTCTATTTTATCTTCTTTACTATTATTTTCTATCATACACAGTTCATAAAGATGTTCTTGATGTTATATTTGAAGTACCACTAACATATTAGTGAAAATTGTTTTTTCTCATTCACAGACAACTTTTGGCAGTAGAAATAACTTACAAACTTGTTTGTATTACTTATAAACAATAAAACCATATACTTAGTCATAATTTAATTCTACATATGATTAATGTCACTAGCTATCCAAAATGCAAAAAAAATACATGTTACTGTGTAATAAAAAGTCTAACGAGGTCAATATAAAATATAACAAAAACTGATATTGTTTATCCTAATTTATGTTTTAATTGTAATTGATATTACCTTTATAATTAGGAAAAATATTCCTGAAACCTGCTAAAAATCTAAGCTAAAATAATATTGATATGAGTTTCTAAGTTCAGATTTTAAAGCCATGGCTAAATTATTTGATTTTTTAAAATTTGGCTTTCCACTTCTGAGGCATAATGCCCACAATGTGTACTTTCTGTGTCTGTCAATCTTTTTGTAGTCATTAACTGCAGATTATTTGTGTGTACTCAGTATTGGCTGTTACTTACCTTGAATACAAAAAGTCTCAAAATTATTCTCCTTTATTTCTTTGTAGTTCTACCAAAATTAGACAAATGCTGCTCAGATTTTCCTAATTAATTGTAGAGAATATTAGATACTTTATTTATGCACCTTTAATGCCAAATTATTGTGCTAGACTTCTCATTTGAAATCTTTAGAAAAATCTTTTCTGCCAAAGTAACACTTGTAATCAATTTTAGTTTGGTACCTTTGAGACTGAACTGTTTCTCCCATGTTTTTGTAGGAGGAAGGACAGAGATGTCAAACAAGGCTTTCCATTCTTTCTCCGCAGGTACTCGAGTTGGTCCACCGTAACTTTGCTGGCTCTGCAGTAGTTAAAACTCACTCTCTGCGGACTCTTAAAAGTTCTCTATTGCTGTACTTCACTCTCCTTTAGTTCCCTGGTTATGTTGGTGTGGTCTCCTCATACCTCCTGGTTGCCATATTGGCAGGACACATGACTACCCAGTGGTAACAACAAAACCAAATCGCTCTCCTTCTTGGCTGCATCTGATCTGTGGAAATACCTAGACATCAGTTGCCCAACAAACTCTAGTTCAGAGCAGTTGCAGAGGCAGTAAGCACTCTCCTGACTCCTCGATTAGAGCAACAAAACAGTCCTCAAATACCCAATCCTGCTCCATGTACACTTCTAACTTTCCCAGACATGAGTCCTCTGTGCATCCCAACTTCAGAATATGTGTTGCAAAGTGTCTTCTCCTTAAAGTGTCTACCTTACTGAGTTTAGAATGAGAAGGCAATACTCTTCCCCTTCCGTCCTCACAGGGTGTAGTGGTGGAGACTCACAATCTGACAACAGCTCTCTGTAAGGAAACTCTTCTGCCTTCATCTCACACAATCCCTTTTCTGAACATTTTTATATGCTTTATCTCTCTGAGGGGCAATCTGCATATTGTGAGGGTATTGAGAATGGATGACTATGCATACTCACTTCGGTGTCTGGTAGCTATCTCATTGGTGTTTCAGTGGAAGCATTCTAGCATCCTTTTACCCCTACCCCCAATATTCTGTTTAGTTCTTTACTTTCATATTACCATTAGTTAAATATAAATTTTAATGAATTCACTATTGATCACAGTTTTTATATGTCTTTTAATTTTCACATTCATTTTTTGTTTAGATGGTGTCTTAGGCCATTTTTTGCTGCTGTAACAGAATACCTGTGACTGAGCAAATTTATTGGTTCATAGTTCTGGAAGGTTGGAAAGATTGAGGGACAGCATCTGGCAGAAGCCTTCTTGCTGCATTGCCCTATGGCAGAAGGCAGAAGGACAAGAGAGAGCAAGAGAGGGCCAAACTTGCCCTTTTGTGGTAGCACCACTTCCACTCAATGAGGGTGGAGCCTCATCACCTATAATCACCTATTAAGGGTCCCACCTCTTAATACTGCCACAATGGCAATACAATTTCAACATGAGTTTTGGAGGGGAGGGACATTCAAATCGTAGCAGATGGCTGACTTCCCATATTATCATAGAAGTATTTAACACAAGCAATTGGATGCTTTTACATCGTATTGGGAAGGACTGGCGGAGCAAGCTCTCCAGGAGGGCTGGATCCTAGGAATGCTTGAGAACAAAGCCAAGGAACTGACCAACCAGAAAGAGCTGCTACTTTCCCATCATCAGAAGTGAGAGAAAGCTAGAAGCTGCTGCCAGCAACACATCAACTGGCCTTTGGTACCCAGAAAGCTAAGCAGTTACACACTGGAACACTGAAGTAGAAAACCTCAATGTCTCCATGACGGTGCTTGACAAAAGAAGCTAGGCAGGCATCAGCACATTGCCCCGCTCACTTCTAAGTTCCAAATAACATGCAAATGTATCTATCTGTTTAGCAGAATCTAATTATCAACCAAAACCTTAGCTGCAAAAGAGTTGAGTAACAACAACAACAAAAATGGGTGTATCTTTCTAACTACTGCAGTGTATGCTAAAGGTGGGATGTTGCCTGCCATATCATAATATACACCACCTTACCACAAATAAGTTTTTTCAGAGACATTAGTGGTGTACCCTCAAATGTTTAAAACTTTGAGGTGGTCCTCAAAGGTTTAAAAATTTCTTTTGCAGTTCCGTATGAATTATAACTTTCCTAAGTATTGAATAACAGCATTATAATTTTATTCAGAATGCTTGAAACAAGGCTTCATCATTGTTTCTTACCAGTTAGTGTTTTGGATGAAAAATATGAAGCCAATCTGATTTACATTTCTTCTCTGAAAATATAAATTGTTTTTTAGAATTTCAGGAGACACATGTATAAGTGCTTTTTTTAATTAATCATGCTTTCTGACACACAGTGAATTCTTTCATTTTGAAGTAAATGGCATTTACTGAGATTCAGTATTCTCTTGAATCTCATTGAGAATATGAATTATTTGAATGCTTCCCTTTTTTCTGCATTAATGCCTTATCAATGAAGTCCATTTCCTCTGACTGCTTAGCTTGTTCCCTTCATTTAAGCTGCACATTTTCCTCATGTATCCAGAGGTTTCAGGTGCTTAGCATTGTTGGTAAAGGTCTGATAGTACAGTGGTGAAGAGCCAGACTATCTAGACTCAATTTGGATCTAGGATAATAATTGTACTTTCCTCAAAGGATGGTTGTATGGATTAAGTGAGTGAGCATCTATGAAGTGCTTAAAACAGTGCCTGAGGATGTGGAGAAATAGGAACACTTTTACACTGTTGGTGGGACTGTAAACTAGTTCAACCATTGTGGAAGTCAGTGTGGTGATTCCTGAGGGATCTAGAACTAGAAATACCGTTTGACCCAGTCATCCCATTACTGGGTATATACCCAAAGGATTATAAGACATGCTGCTATAAAGACACATGCACACGTATGTTTATTGCGGCACTATTCACAATAGCGAAGACTTGGAACCAACCCAAATGTCCAACAATGATAGACTGGATTAAGAAAATGTGGCACATATACACCATGGAATACTATGCAGCCATAAAAAATGATGAGTTCATGTCCTTTGTAGGGACATGGATGAAGCTGGAAACCATCATTCTCAGCAAACTATCGCAAGGACAAAAAAACCAAACACCGCCATGTTCTCACTCATAGGTGGAAATTGAACAATGAGAACACATGGACACAGGAAGGGGAACATCACACACTGGGGCCTGTTGTGGGGTGAGGGGAGGGGGGAGGGATAGCATTAGGAGATATACCTAATGTTAAATGAAGAGTTAATGGGTGCAGCACACCAACATGGCACATGTATACATATGTAACAAACCTGCACATTGTGCACATGTACCCTAAAACTTAAAGTATAATAAATAAAAAAAAAACAGTGCCTGAAGTAAAATGAGAGCTCGTCACCATTACTACCTCTGCTACCTGATGGAAGTGGAAAGAGATTTGCTTTCGAATTTGTCTAGGTCTAGCTGTAGTGCTCTGCTAGCTGGCTTTTATACTCTGGGTCTCAGTGGACAGGGAATTAAATGGCTAAAGTTGTCAATGCCCTTAAGTAGTGTTTTGTGACTATAAGCAGCTGAAAGTTTTTAAGAAATTTGACAATGTTTCTACCATACAGGTTAGATCCTTTTTGTTTTGTTTTGTTTTGTTTTGTTTTGTGACAGGGTCTCTCTTGCCCAGACGGAAGTGCAATAGCACAATCACGGCTCACAGGTCACTGGAGCCTCAATCTGCCAGTTTCAAGCAATCGTCCTACTTCAGCCTCCTGACTAGCTGGGACCACAGCGCTGGCCACCACATCCAGCTAATTTAAAAAAAAATTTTTTGCAGAGACGAGGTCTCACTGTTGCCCAGGCTGGTCTCAAACTCCTAGACTCAAGCGATTCTCCCACCCCAGCCTCCCAAAGTGCTGGGGTCACAGGTGTAAGCCATCACACCTGGCTTCTTTCTGTTTTCTAGTGGTGATTGTTGGACAGAGTTCTGCCTGCTACATTGGTTTAACCACCTCAGCTCAGGAATTGGGAGTAAGAGAAAGTCAAAGACGTGTCAGTCATGATAGTGCTAGACTCCCCAGGTGTTCATTTTGGAAAAATGTTAAAAGTATGTATTATATATAACAACTCAAAAGTAACTATACTAATTTGACATCTGATTGCTTCCCCTTCAACAAAATTCAACTTTATTGTAAATATGATAGAACTTTTTAGTCCATAGTGAGAATAGTTTGAAAAAATAATTACGGAGCACAGTTGCCATATTTGTTTAAGCAATTTTGAAAATGGGAGAAAAAAACTGCATTATACATAATACAAAATGGAAACATTCAGGTGATGCAGATGGACATCATAGACACATTTTCAGTCTCATTATTTTAACAATGTACTTCAAATTTTGGCATTTGAAAATGGCTGGTGGATATTAAAAAGTTGGATAGTGTAGAACTCCTTTGAAATATAAACAACTTTGAAGTGTAAAAAATTGTAATTATCACTACAATATATCAGGGATGTGAAAGATTTTAGTTGTGTGATAGCCTTGGTATATAACAGCAAAGATAAGCCATAATTTGAACTTTCAGAGTGATTGGGTAGTATTGAATTTAATGAGTTACTTTTGTACAATTTTAATGTGTACTGAGTTAAAATTTATTGGATAATTTTGAAAATTACAGCATATTATAGTATATCTTAATTGACTATAGAAACAGAAAAACATGATATATGCACTAGTGTTATTGGACTTACGTTTATTGCAAAATGAGTTTATTCTGTTATGCCATCATAATTGTATGTCTATTCTTAAATTAATTATGGACACATTTTTCTACTTTTAGGCATGAAGGAACTGACTCTCAAGCAGACCTAGAAGATATCATTGTTGTATTAAACAGCTTCAAAAGCAAGATACTCAAAGTAAAAGTATGTGGGGGCAGAACTTTTTATAGGCTTTGTTCTTAATATTAAGAATTATCTTCTTTGTTTTTTAATTAATTGATTTATTTTACAATTAACTTTACAATTTTACAACCTAAAATGTTATATTTGAACTCCAGCAGTAAAAAAAGAAGAGGATTAAGTTCACAAAGGAAAACAGAACTTGAAGATAGAAGAGAAGGATTTTTTTTTACATTATGATAACTGTAAATATATCTACTAAATCTATCTGTAGCCAAATAACATTACAAATTGGACTCTAGAGATGAGATCAAGAACATGCACTGAAAAATTAGCTCTAAAAAGAGAAGGTGCTGTTTTTTAAATTGGGAGAGAAAGGGAGTTTTTAATGATAGCAGATTCTTTTTGGACCAACCCTCCTGCTTAAAACTAGTGAAAATATTAGATAAAAATTTAAAAAAATTTTAAAAGCAATGAGGAACGGAGAATAATAAGATAATAAGGATAATAAGGAAACCCAAAACCAAAATTAAAGGGAAAATGCGAGCCTAGTGAAATAAGCAAGCACAGAAACTTCTCTTGACCCAAGGAAGCTACTATTGTCCTGGGAACATTTTTCTGTCCTGTCACACTTTTAACTGCCATTTTTATTTAATTTGATGGGTTAGGGGACAAAAATTAGAACCCAGGACCCACATAAAATAATCTATTAGAAGACCCTCTACAATAAACTAGCTCTATTTTCAGGCTAAGGATGAAACATAAAAAATTATTCCTCATAGTCTTTTAGCCCAAATTTGTGTCAGCCAAGTAGGCCAGGGAATCCTGAACCTTGAATTGGTACTAATATTCTTCCAGATGGATAGGATATAGCGGTATCTGGAAGAGACATCCATAAATCTCTGGAATAAGATTACAATAGCCTAAGCTGCAAATCAAATTTTTCTAGTATGAAGGCCAACTCATAGTCAAAGTTAACCAAATACACAAAACCAGCAGAAACAGAAAACTGATACACAAAGACCCAAGATATTAAAATTATTAGAATAGCCTCTGAAATAGCTGTACTTTTTTTAAAGAAATTAAAGATGAGTTTAAAAATAATTGCTGGGAACATGAAACTGTAAAACATGCATATCAGATTTTTTTAAAGTAGAACTTTGGAAACTGAGTAATACAATACCAAAATTAATAGTAGATAGCTTTAACATGCCTTCAGAGAAAATTAGCAAGTTGGGGGAGATAGGCCAGAAAAAGTATACCAAATGCAATAGAGACAGGAAAAAAAGAAAATATAGAAGAGAGCATTAACACACACACACACACACACGCTAGTGTGAAAGTCTAAGATTACCAGCAGTGGATTTAAAACTGGCTTTGCCACTCACTAGCTGTGTGACCTTGGACGGATTACTTAATCTCTTTCTGTCTCATTTCCTCATCTGTAAAATGGGGTTAACAATAGAATATACCTTACAGGACTGTTATGAAGATAAGATAAAGCACTTTATGAGTATTTGTTGGATAAATAAAAGTAAACTAAATGGAATTTCAAAGATAATTAAAGAATGGGGTACAAGTAACATTTGAAGCAATAATGGCTAAGAATTTTTATGAATTATGAAAGAAACCAATTAGAAATATTCTACAGCCTACCCATACCCTAGGTATTTCAGTAGTTTGTTTTTGTTTTTGTTTTGAGATGTAGTCTCGCTCTGTTGCTCACTCTGGAGTTCAGTGGCCCGATCTTGGCTCACTGCAGCCTCCGTCTCCTAAGGTCAAGTGATCTTTCTGCCTCAGCCCCCTGAGTAACTGGGACCACAGGCATGTGCTACCATGCCTGGCTAATTTTTATGTTTGTGTGTATTTTTTGTATTTTTAGTAGAGGTGGGGTTTCACTGTGTTGGTCAGGCTGGTCTTAAATTCTTGACCTCAAGTGATCCACCCGCCTTGGCCTCCCAGAGTGCTGGGATTACAGGCATGAGCCACCATGCTCGGCCGCCTTCAGTTTGTTTTCTAATAACACAGTTTTATCTCCTAACCACCTCTTTCTCAGAATTACAGTAAAAAGATAGAAAAACAGGGAGGAGAAAAGATAAGCAACATAGAGGATCAGCCCATGAAATCCAATAGCCTATTAAGAGGAATTCCAGAAACAACAGAGAAGATGGAGGAGGGAAAGTGTTGTAAAGCTGAGAGAGAAAAATGTTCATGTCAAAAGAGTCCACAAATTACGAAGTAGAATGAATGAAAATGGCCCATATAAGATTATAATAGCTACTAAGAAGGAAAAGTGGGTCACTGCAATAGAATGACAACACTAACATCAGAATTTCATTTTCAAAATACTTAGATGTTAAAAGACAGCAAAACAAAGCTTTCAGTATTTTGAGGAAAATTATTTTGAACCCAAGATTCTGTATCTAGCCAAATTCTTAATCAAATGTGAAGGTAAAATGTTAGTTTCTGAAGTGTGAAGATTTAGAAAAATTATTTTTCATACCCTTTCTTGGAGATGTTTGCCAGTACAATGAAGATCAAGATCAAGAAAGAAGATAGGTAGTTCAAGAAATGGTGAAACTAATCTGTAAACCAATGTAAAGAAAATCTAGAAAGAAACAGTTAATTGTTGAACTTTAAGAAAAATGTCTTCAGGTAGACAAGAATCCTAGACAATTAGATAACATGAGTAATAAACTGGAAAAGATTATGTCTGTGATAAAGAAGACATATTTGTATATCTCCCCACAAGAAAAAAGAAGGACAATGGAATTCCAGGAAAAAATAGTTCTCTGCTGGTGGAATGTAAGAAAGGAGAATTCATCTAACCCAGCAAGAGTCTCCTAGGAGTGGCACAGTGGCCATAGGAGGAAACTATAACTATGCTGTACTATGCTAAAACTATAACTGTACAGAGGAAATAGAGTTTTAGTAGCTTTTCCGACTCTTCAGTGGTTAATCTTTACATTGTCATAATGAAAACTTTTTACTGATTTTCAAGTTTTAGAATCACCATAGCAAAATGCAACAATTATGTCTACTGAACTAAATGTAAATGTTATCAATATTTACAAATGCTAAAGTCAAGGTTTAATATAAGTTGGGAGGTAGAAGGAAATCATAGAAATAGTAGTGTCCTTATAAACAGATTATACAAGAGAAACTGTTGGGATTGTGGGAATAAAAAAATAAGAGATTTAAATATTATTTAAAGTGACAAAAAATACTCAATAGAAGAACCGAAGATAAACACATTACTACCAAAATTTCCAGACAAATAGGGAAAGGGAAGGGATAACGATAAGTGAGCTATTCATCTGTCATCACAAAGAGTGTATAATGTCTAAACTCTGAATTCAGAAATACTAGTAGATAATGCCTAAAGCTGATAAATTAGTAAACACAAGGGTAAGCACATTATTTAGCAATATGGAGGTAACCACTGAAGAAACTGAACAAAGAGGTTGAATTGATAGTTAAAGACCAGATTGTTTACAACATTGTGCTAAGATATTGCCTGTCTTTGGTTACTGCAACTGTCAATCTTAGATTTCTATGGGTAATCTCGCCCAATATGTTTCACTTTCTAACCATACAGCACAATATTTAAAGCAGCCAAATTCTAATCTTTTTTGCCATGCTATCTAGGTGAAAAAAGAAACAGACAAAATTAAGGAAGATATCCTTACCGATGAAGATGAAAAAACAAAAGGACTGTGGGATTCCATTAAAAGGTAATTACTAATGAATATTTTAATACATCACTAGATTGATCCAGAAGTCTAGTATGTGGAAGTTCCACAGGTAGTGAAAATTTAAGTAAGGCAAAGGTCCTCTAATCTAGGAGGGATAAGATAAATACATAAATGTTACTACTGTGTACAAGATAGGAAACTAGAGCTATAAGACAGATGAAAATAAAATACTATACAAACCAATGGAGAAAAATTATATATCCACTTACAAGGAACCTTGGGAAATACTCCTTGAAGAAGTGTGTGGCAAAGATCTGTTTTAAAGGACAGACAGGATTTCAAAAGTTAAAGATTGAGTGAAGGCAATTACATGAAGACAAAATGATTGGGTATGTTCCTCAAAGAAAAGAAAGTAGCCTAGCTAGCTGCAACTTGAAAATAAAAGGGACTGTTTATGTTAGATTGATACCTATACTGTTTTATTGTTAGTTTAAAAAGGAACACAGGCCAGGCATGGTGGCTCACACCTGTAATCCTAGCACTTTGAGAGGTGATGGCAGGAGGATTGCTTGAGCCCAGGAGTTCAAAACTAGCCTGGGCAACATAGTGAGACCCTGTATCTACAAAAAATTTAAAAATTAGCCTGTTGTGATGGCATGTATCTGTAGTTCCAGTTACTCAGAAGACTGAGGTGGGAGGATTGCTTGAGTCTGGGAGGTCAAAGCTGCAGTAAGTCAAGATTGCAACGCTGCACTCCAGCCTGGGTGACAGAGTGAGACCCTGTCTCGAAAAAGAAACATACATAAGGAATATATTGTCTCAGATATCTAAAGAATCCAGGAGTACACCTGGTGTTGGCCACTGGGTGATGTGGTGTGGAAACAATCTTTCTCCATCTCTTAGGTCTACTGTTTTCTGTGTCTCCTCCATTTTAAGATAGACTTTTGTAAGTAAAAGTTTACTGTTTCCAGTGGAAGGAAGTTGCCTCTTTCCAAACAGTACCAATAAAAGTTCCAAGGCTGACTCATGGGTCCAACTATAGCTGTGTGTCCCAAACTGAACTGATTTCTGTGACTCTGATAACCCAGCATGAGTCATATACCTACTTCTAGAACTGGTGGGAAGCCCTGTCCCACCTAAACCTCATAGAATGAGATGGGAGGAGGAATGATTCCCCCCAAAATACCAGGTTGTTACTAGAAGGGGAACAGATGTTAGGTGAGCAAAAACAAAAGCTGTCTCCTGTAGATGCACATTGTAAAGAACTTTGAATGTCCATTTTAGAGATTTGAACCCAATGTGAGCTATGATGGAAAACCATTAATCATTTTGATCAAAGATAAGAAATAGAAATGTTAGCCCAAATAGATTCAACAACTTAAATATATTTGGTTATAGTAGTCAAAAGCACTTCTATCATTTTGGATTTTGCCCAGTTTAAGCCTCTTTTTCTATAGTTGACTCCTTGTTTGGTAAGAAAAATCATGTTACTGTACAGTGTGTGCTTTGAACAAGTTACTGATAGAGAAAGGATCAAGTCCACTCATTGAGATGATTTGGAGGGTAGGTATGTTTGACAGGGGATAATGAAATAGAATCTGAGCAATTTTAAGAGTGTCTTACTAAAAGCTTCCATTAAAGTTAGAAGGTATAGATAAGAATGATTAAGGATAACTGTTCAATTATGGTATAGCCACTTGCTATATTAAAAGGATACCAAAAACAAAATGCTTTGTTAGAAACGGAGATGGTAAGTTTTTGGGACGTTAACTGCTCCAGATACGTAGTGTTGTGTGTCTTATGATGCTTTGACTTTTTTCATCTTAGTTTTAGTCCTAACTTAGAATGATTATTTTTTCTTGCCACTGAATCAACTTCTTTTCTTATTTGGGAGATTACAAGATTTGAAAAATACTTCTGTCATAACAATTTATATTTTGCAAAATAACTTTGATGGTGATTTAAGTTGTTTACCCAATTTTATTCATTCTAAATATCTGTTTATATAAAAGTATTTTGAAATAAATGTTTAGGAAGAAAAAGATGAATTTATACATTATGAATACTGTAAATAGAAGATTCAGTCATTTTTATATATGAAATGGGCCTATACAAAAATGAAATGGAGTTGGTCTAGCTCCAAAAATGTAATGAAAATGACAGCTGGGCCCAGATGACGCTACCATGATGTAAACCAGTAAGTAGACATGGTTCCCTAGTGCTTTCTTTGTCATGGAAGTCATCCAGAGTACCAAGAGCATACTC
This sequence comes from Homo sapiens, assembly GCF_000001405.40. Lineage (NCBI taxonomy): Eukaryota > Metazoa > Chordata > Mammalia > Primates > Hominidae > Homo > Homo sapiens. Next base: position 95,861,402 of record NC_000013.11, on the reverse strand, counting down.
CATACCCTGCGTGGTGGAGAAAATCTGCTTGGTCAGAGGAGCTCCAAATTGTAGATGGTTTAAAAATATTTTAGCCTGGATGAGCCCCATCAGCAGCACTCACACACCTACCCTGTTACCACATAAATTCTTGCTGTGCCGTAGTTCCACACTTAAGCATTCTGTTCCTTCCCTCATTGACCTGTTTAAACTTTCAGTACACTAGATATGGCCATGTCAAGCTGTAATTCATTCTTTGTTCTGAAAACAACCTTTGGCAACTCACAAAAATTCAAAAATACCAGCCCATTCACCTAAAGACAATATAGTTATATTCCACATTACAAATTTAAAAAAAAACTCATAAAGCTTCAAATGATATTGTCAAATATTTTAATATTAGTTTGTAAATATTATAGAGTGTTTATAGCTTAACTATTTTGAAATACATTTCTATATTGATTGCTTATATTTACTATTTAGGCATACAATGTTTCCATATGTATGTTTAAGAAATGTCAATTACTTTTTTATTCCAAGTTTCACAGTAAGCTTGCATAAAGAAAACAAAAAGGAAAAAGATGTCCTAAACATTTTTTCAGTTGCTTCTGGTCATTTATATGAACGTTTTTTAAGGTAGGTATATTTTTTAACCTTATATTTTGAAAAAGAAATATTTACATGGTTCAAATTTCAAAAAAAAATAAAGGAATATACACTGGGAAAAAAAAAACTCCCACCTCTGTTTCCTTGATACTCAGTTCCTTTTCTCACAGGAAACCCATAATATTATTTTTATATCCTGCTAAGGAGATACATACACACACACACACGTAAATATATATGTGTATATTTATTTATTTATTTCAGTTGTTTAAGTCCTTTTACCCAAATAGTAAAGAACATACTACTTTACACCTTGCTTTTTTTTTTTACTTAAAATTATGAGGTAAGTATATATAAATATGAAATTTCATGAGTTTGGCTTGATTTGGAATATTGGTTTTCTTCAAGGCTAGCAAATAGACATTTTGGATAGGTAAGAATATATATATATAGATATACTCACAATATATATATTTACAGTACTTTATATATACAATATTTATATATATATAATTTACTATAGTAAATTATCCTTTTCCAGTGAAGAAAACCTTGTTTTATAAAAAGGAAGGGAATGAGGGGAGAAATGCATATTGCAAAGTACAAAAGGCTATTTTTAAACAGTTTATATAGAAAGGTCACAGAGAATAACTCAAAAATATTTGAATTGTAGCACTGATACGTTAAAATGGAACTTCAGATTCATTTGTATCCTTTCCATTTGGAGGTTTAGGTTAGCAAACCAAATGACCCATCCAGTGAATTTGTCAATATAGATAGATCATTCAGCTCTTCAGGGTTTGTAGACTTAATATTAATCACACAGTCATGGACAGCTGGGCCCAGGTGAAGCTACCATGATGTATATGTATTCATCCTTACACATTACATACTTGATAAACCATATTTTAGTTTATTTCTTCACATTTCATTGTGAAAACCTTCTAATTCATACCTTCAATTATTTAAAAGCCTTTAAAAGACCTATGTAACAAACCTGTATGTTCTGCACATGTATCCCAGAACTTAAAGTAAAATTTAAGAAATTAAAATTAAATTTTAAAAAACACTTCAAGGTTAAAAAATATATATGAGCTCCTGTTACTGTTAATGTATATTGGGTTTAATATTCTTTTATACAGAATTATGATGCTTTCTGTTTTGCGTAACACCAAAACACCAGTGAAATTCTGGTTGCTAAAAAATTATCTCTCACCGACATTTAAAGTAAGTACATAGCTTTTTTTGTAGAATGGTTAATGTTTGAATAGTAAATTATTTGTATCATTGTAAGTTTATATGATATTTCTCTTTTCAGAATAAGCTTTTTGAAAAAATGGTATTTAGTATTTTTATGTAGCTTAAGAAAAATTCTGTACAATTTTTATTTAGAGATGTTCAAAGGAGAGGACAGAAGACTGTATATTTTTAAGTAAAATCAAAATCAGAATGGCTAGTAGTTTTTCATGATAATGAGTAATTAAATACAATTTGGCAATGGAAAATATATACAGATTTTCAATTAAAAGAAATGGATTCTGTCATTTTTGCAAAGATAGGCAGAAACAGTAGTAGTATCAAGAAAATACAAAGACTATACCTATACCGTAGAAAATAGTTTTACAGTACTGAAACAAAAAAGCTCTTTCGTCTGTGTAGTGTATTGATTGCTGGGCACCATGATCTGAGGCATTTTATATTTAGAAGATTTCAGGTGATCAACAGCTATTACCCTTTACTCAGCCCTATACTCCTGCTACAAAGTATACTCTGTTTCTTCCTATTCTCCCTACAGCATAATCAAATTCCGTGAAATTTAGTGTCTCCGCAGCAATTTGGTGTCTCATTCAACAGCATTTCAAATGAGTTTGTTTTTTCTAGACCAAAAGCAGTGGGAAAACAGAAGTAAAACTAGCCAAGCATGCTTTTATTCCTTAATATTTCTAGGCATGATGCCAAGTGTTTAACTGACGTTATTCAATTGTTTTTCATAACAATCCCACATGATAAGAAAACCAAGATTCAAAAGTTACGTAACTAGCTTGCACAGTTGAGAGGTACCTGAGACCACTTTTAGATTCAATAACTTACTATAAGGATTTATATAACTCCAAAAAACAGCTGTGCTCACAGTTACAGTTTTTATAGCAAAAGGACACAAATAAAATCAGCAAAAGGAAGAGATGCTTAGGGTAGGGTCCGGGGAGACCAGACACAAAGTTAACAGTTGTCCTCTCCCAGTAGAATCCCGTTACAGTGGATAGCACTTATTTCTTCCAGCAACAGTGTGTGAGGGTACTCGTGGAGTATTGCCAACCAGGGAAGCTCATTCAAACTTTGTGGTACAGAGTTTTTATTGAGGGTCAGCTGTGTGGACTTGGCTAACGGCCTGCATGACTAACCTTAACCTCTAACCCCTTCAGATGTTGAACTGATGCTTTGTGGCCCAAGGTCCTCACTACAAATAACATCATTAGCATACAATATCTAGTGTGGTCCGAGATCTGCAGGTAAACGTAGACATTCTTATTAGTCAGGAAATTCCAAGGGTAGAGGATATTTCCTGGGAGATAGGGTGAAGGGCCAGGGTAGGGGATATTTCCTGGGAGATAGGGTGAAGGGCCATACTTTTCTTTGAGCAAGAATCATCCTTTATAGCATAGGCCTGATATGAAACAGCTAATTAGAAACACAGCTGAGATTTGAACCCAGGCATTCAGACCTCAGGTGCTTAACCTTATGTAACAGCCCATTTGCCCTCCACCACCAACAGTGTCTCCTCCTATGCTCATTTGACAGTAGGAAAAAAAAAAAAAAACAGAAAAAGAACCTATAAATATAGATAAGAAGTTATACTATTTTTCTACTAATTTTTTAACATGCTTTCCTAGTAGTCAGACACTGAATAAGGGAGTATTTAACCCAAATAAACTGAGATAGAAAAATCTAAAGATTCTCTTAGCAGGAAAAGATATTATTCACCAGAACAATAGTGCTATGTCTGGATTAGAAAGTCTTGTTCCACTGCATGGCCAAAAGAAATACTGTATCTGAAGTAGTATTTTCCTTCTTTTTGTGATGTGTTTCTTTCATTCAAAATTTTTCTTTTGAAAACTTCTTAGTGAAATATAACATATACTCAGAAAAGTGCACAAATCATGAAATTTAGCTTTGGATTTTTACAAACTCAAACATCTGTGTAAATCAGCAGCCAGATACAGAAGCCGCTAGCTACTTTAGATTTGTTCCTACCAGTTTAGAAAAGTCAAACCTCCTCTCTTCATTCAAATATTTGCTAAAATTATACATACTTACACATAATTATTTTCTGACAGCACTATACAAACTATAATTCCCTCTCCCTTTTAATTTTTCTTCATAGCACTTTTTTCTGTAGATAATAGTTTATTTCTACCTACTTCCTCTAAAATACAAGCCTCATGAAGGTCATAATTTGTATTTCTTTTGTTCACTAATGTACCCTTAGATCCTAGAACAGTGCCCGTTTCAGTGAATATTTGGACACATATTTAATGAAGAAAAAATATTCTTTTTATTTTATCTGAATGTTTTATTTTATTTTATTTTGAAACCAAAACAATGACTCCTGGCAGCTGTTGTACCCCTAATTTCAAGATTTCACAGATAAAATTGGTGCTTCTTGCATTTAAAAAAAAGTATTTTAAATCTACATTGTTCTTACAAAGTCAGAGAAAAAAATTAAACATATAACCAGAAACTAGTTTCAAGTAAGAATCAAGTGGTAAAACGCAAATTCTATATTTATTAATTCATCTTTTCCAATTCCTTTTTCATTTTCTCTCTCAGTATTTGAGCTCTTGAACTAAATTTAGCCCACAGTATATTTCATTAACTGCTTCTGCTTTAAACAGGGAATAAGCTACTTCTAAGCCTATAAGATACTCAAATATGAAATATTCAGACCATAATCACTACTTTGTATTTTTAATCCTTGAATTAAATAATGATATATCTCAAACATGAAGCTCCTGTATAGAATCTAATTTATCAGCTTAGAACTTATTTTGTGTTTTTTGTATCCTCTCTTCATCTTTACATCTCTGACCAACCAACCTGTTGACATATACATGAACTATTTGATATGTAGGTGTTCCAAGATCCAGAGGCTTTTTTTTAAGTCAGTTTTCTCAAGTCAGATGTTAACAATAAAAGTATGGGAACATTTATCTTCCATTAATAAGTTTGTTAAATAATATAGTGCACTTATTTTTAATGACGTTAAATTATATAGTTTTATTTATACTTGTGATTTCATATTTGTTAGCATTTTAATATTTCTCATTAATAAGTATGTTATAGAAGTAGTATTTAGACATCTTGCCTATTAGTTTATAACAATTTATAGGAAGCTTTACCTTTTTAATGTTATTTTTTTCTCTAAAACAAAACTACTTTCTCTTGAACATATTGTTTGATTTTGTGTGTGTGTTTTTAGGAAGTAATTCCTCACATGGCTAAAGAGTATGGATTCCGATATGAACTAGTTCAATATAGGTGGCCCCGTTGGCTTCGTCAACAGACTGAAAGACAGAGGATTATTTGGGGTTACAAAATTCTTTTCCTTGATGTTCTTTTCCCACTAGCAGTGGACAAAATCATTTTTGTTGATGCTGACCAGGTAATAAGGTTAACTACTATTTTTAGTAATACGCAAACATTTTTTACACTTCTATCTTAATATAGAGATTAATTCATGTTGCTCATGTTTATTATCTTCATTACGGTGCTTAAGATACGATTGTGATATATAAGCAAAGTATCTTTAAAAACAAAAAGTCAGAATTCCAGGGGAAAATTGAAGGTATTGTAAGAAGTACCATTTATTATTTAGGACATGGAAGTTTTCTCTCTAAAGTAGTAGTTTTTTACATTTGAGAACTAAAACAAATACTTATATTAGTCATAATAAGAGTAGTTAATGAATTCCTGTAAATTATGTGCTGATATTTGTTTAAAACTAGGAATTTCTTCTTGCTAGAAAAGCTAGCAGTTACATACAACTCTCATTCTTCCACCTTCAACAGCATTCTTTCGCATTCAACCAATAACCAAATTCTCATCACTCTATCTCTTAAGGAAAAGAGCATTTTAAATTTGGCCAGCTTATGCCTGTAGTCTCAGCACTTTTGGAGGCTGAGGTGGGGAGGAAAGTTTGAGCCCAGGAGTTAGAAGTCACAGTGAGATATAATCATGCCACTGCACTCCAGCCTGAGTGAAAGAGTGAGACCCTATCTCTAAAAATAAAAGCAAATAAATTTGGCCAAAAAAAAAAAAAAAACACCCAAGGCCCTCTGCTTTCAAAATTTATATGTCCAAAAATTATGACTTTTCCTTTTTCCCTCCTTGCATTGCTTTTGCATCATTAGTGGGAAAAAAAAATTGAAAATACACAGAATTTCTAAGAAAAAAGTAATATGTAAATGAAAATATAAAGTAAATGGATAAGTTAGAATTTATGTGGAACAAAAAGTATATTTCAATTTCTTTTAAGAGACAGGGTCTCACTCTGTCATCCAGGCTGGAGTGCAGTGGCACAGTCATAGCTTACTGTAGCCTCAGACTCCTGCATTCGAGCCATCCTCCCACCTCAGCATCCTAGGAGCTGGAACTCCAGGTGCACACCACCACGCCTGGCTAATTTTTTTTTTTTTTTTTTTTTTTTTTTTTTTACAGACAGGGTCTCACTGTGTTGCCCAGGCTGGTCTCAAACTTCTGGCCTCAAGCAATCCTCCCATCTGAGCCCCACACATAATATCTAATATGATTCTTTCTCCTACCTTTCTTTCAATGTGTGCACTAATATTTTTCTAGAAGGCTTGAGCATATTAAAAAATAACATTTATATTATTTTATTCAAGCTATTTAGAATAATTGGGAGATTTTTCTTTATGATTCAAACTTAACATTTGCCAATATACAATAATGGAGATTTGGCATGGAATGATTTTGTTATTCATACATTGAGAAACTAAGAGCTCTGCACTTACGTAATATTTAACCCCTTCCCCAAATGTCTGATTCGTAAAATGACTTGTTTATAAATGACATAACAAAATATTCTTGTTGGTGAGTAAGACCACTGTCTTAAAGACTAGGAATATAAATTTTAGTTTACCTTTAACCTGTAAGGACAAGAGGAATAAATGTTAAATTCAGTAAATTCATATTACATGAAAGCACTGTGAGGACAATACAGCTCTTTGGATTTCTGTAGTAGAGTAATAATGATTTGAGATTCCCATAAAAAAGGGCTTATGTTATTTTACAGTCTTTATCAGACAGTCTATTTTAATTATTTAGATTGTGAGACATGATCTAAAAGAACTTCGAGATTTCGATCTGGATGGAGCTCCTTATGGGTATACTCCATTTTGTGATAGCCGCAGGGAAATGGATGGATATCGTTTCTGGAAAACAGGATACTGGGCATCACATCTTTTAAGACGGAAATACCATATCAGGTAAGAAAAGTCAGACCCTTACCATTTAGTAAATAAGTAATGTATTGAATTGCAACTTTCAGTTTTCTTAAAAATTACACAGTTTTCTTAAAAATTACACAATAAAAGCAACCAATTACATAGTGTTCATTTCATGCCAGTCACTCTTGTAAGCCTTTACGTATATTAAGTCATAAAATCTTTATGACAATCTTTTGAGATACTGTTATTACCTCCATTTTGTAGATGTGGAAACTGAGGCATACAGCATTCATGTAATTTGCCCAGGCTTACCCTGCTAGTATATAACAGAGCTAAGAGTTAAACCCAAGTAATATGGCTCCTAACTACTCCAGAAGATTTAAACTTGGTTTGTGAAATAAAATTAAGATTATGTCTTCAAAGCCTCATGGCCTTTTGTAAGGCCATGAGTTTCATGACAACTTGGAAAATCTTGGGGTGACCCTAAAAGATTATGGGTTCTACCAAAATTAAAACAAACTTAAAACTCTTGGGAAACAGTATTAGATATTAGGAGCAAATTTATGAAAGGATTAATTGTTATTAGATCCTAGGATATCTGTAGTTAATACCGTCACTGTAGACACTCACTGGAGGAAAGTAAAACTAAAACTACATAAACAACATAGGCTATCAAGAAGTAATTCATTTTTGCAGTGCTTTATATGTAGTGGATCTCAAGAAGTTCAGGAGAATTGGAGCAGGTGACAGGCTCAGGAGCCAGTATCAAGCTCTCAGTCAAGATCCAAACAGTCTTTCAAACCTAGATCAGGTAAGTAAAATGTTAACAGAATAATTTTGAGTGTGTGTACATAGACTGTTCCAACTCCGTGCTCATAAACTTTAAAGTCTTATATTTTGAGTTTTTTCTCAATTTACTGCTGTTTATGTAATTATCTATTGGATATTTCTACTTATACATAATTTTTTCACCTCAAGCTCAACATTTTCAAAACTAATAGTATTTTATCCTCACTTTTCCATTCTCAAACCTCTACTTTCTACTTTATGCCCTGTTTTAGTTACCCTTTGTATTAGTCCGTTCTCACTGCTAATAAAGATATACCCAAGACTGGGTAATTTATAAAGGAAAGAGGTTTAATTGACTCACAGTTCTGCATGGCTGGGGAGGCCTCAGGAAACTTACAATCATGGCGGAAGGGGAAGCAAACACGTCCATCTTCACATGGTGGCAGGAGAGAGAATGAGTGCCCAGTGAAGGGGGAAGCCCCTCTTAAAACCATCAGATCTCATGAGAACCCACTCACTGTCAAGAGAACAGGATGGGGGAAACCACCCCCATGAGTCAATTACCTCTACCTGGTCCCTCCCACAACAGGTGGGGATTATGGGAATTACCATTTATGATGAGATTTAGGTGGGGACACAGCCAAACCATATCACCCTCTTTTTTCTTACTCTTTTCCATCATTGTGTAAACATGCTCAAGTCTCTCTCTCTCATCTTTAAGACAAACTCCCTTCATCCAGTGCACCCCCACCCTGATATTGCCTTAATATTTTCTTTCACCTCACAAGCACTATTTTCCTAATATCCTATCAATTTCCTCATTATTGCATCTGAAACATTTTAGATAATTTAAGCAGAAACAAAAGACTCTGTATTCTTTTAGCAGAAGCAAAAGACTCTTTTTTCTTATTTTTATCACAACCATGCATGTTCATTCATTCATCTGTTGAATACCTGCTATGTGCCAGATATTCTCCTAAGACTTCAGACATCAGAAAACAAAAACAAGATTTCTTTAGCTCATATTTTCATTCTAGTAGAAAAATTTTAAAAATAATATTTAAAGATAAATGTTTTGGAGAGAAAAACCATGAAAGCATGATAGAGAGTTCAGAATAGTGAATAGGGGCTGGGGCTTGCAGGTATAAATTGGGTGGCCATATGTCCCTATGAAGATGACTTTTGAGTAAATTTTAGATGGAGGCCTAAAAGCTGACACAGATGCAGGCCAAAGAGAGTATCTGATGCAAATGTCCCAAGGTGGGCATGGGCCTTCCATGTTTGAGGAATAGCAAGAAAGTCAGTATGGTTGGGATAAAGATGGGGGGAATAAAGTAAAAATGAAGGAAAAGAGTTAACAGAGGCTCCAGATAATGTAGAAAGCTTAGTCCCTTTGTTTAAAAATCTAGTAAGTGGGAAATTATATGTCAAAATATGAATGAGTTATTCAAGACCACACTGGTAAGGAGTTGATTTTTTTAATCATTCTTGAAAATTGGGAGATCTTCAAATATATATGTGTTTACAGACTAAATAGGGTCTCTTCACTATTGCCAGTTAGTAGAAAACTGACTTAGGGTCCTCAGTAACCCTCAATAACATGCCAGATTTCGATTATGAATACATTTTTGGTAATTCTTAATAATTTTACCAATGTATTTTTAAGGAATTCTTAGTCTTAAATATGAATGAAAGTCTATGAAGTTGCCTGTTATCTGCCTATGGACAACTGAAGAAAGGATTCATTTTTCAAGCAGTTCGGAAACTGTCCGAGGTGTTCTCCCAGTACTACATTACCACATTTTGGGGATGATTGTCCTTACTCAAATGTAGTTTGGCTCCCACTCCCTCCAATCCACTTAACACTTCTCAGTAAAATCAAAATATCTTTTTTCTTAGGTAAAAATGTGTAGTGAGCACTTCTTGTTTGTTTTTATGTGCCTCTTTGCAGCACGGATGTTTTCAACCTCTCCTTTCTTGACACTCTCTTGACTCTCTATTGGCTTCTATGTCAGACCTTGCTGGTTCTTCTTTGACATCCCTGGCTTTCCCACCACAATTTTGTTGGTGAACTACTTTTTCTCTACTTTTCCTTTAAATGTTGCTATTCTCTACATCTCTGCCTTGACCCACTTCTCACTCCATACCATCTCTAGCGGCAGTCTTGCAGCCAATCATGGTTTTAATTTATATCTTTCTGTTAATAGTTCCCAAATCTTATCTCTGTCTCTTAGCTTTCCCTTGAATTCCCAACTCCTATATTAACTCTACTGGCATTGCCACATTAATGACCAAAACTTACCTCAAATTAAAAAGTCAAGAACTCAAGTTCTGTTCCTCTTCCACCATTCCCTCCATCAGCAAATACCACTTAGCTGCCTGTTACAGGTTGGATTACTCAGGAAGCCACCTAATTCTAACATGGAAATTAGGAAGTTTATTAGGAAGTACTCTCAGGACCAACAACTGTGGAGGAAGGAAGGAAATGGAATTGGGGAAACTTTACAAATTCAATTAAGACCTCAGTTGACTGACCCCACAGGGAGCTCTGAAGCTGAGATGGTCCTTCATAGTTTTCACAGGTTTGGGCAAGTCTTTATTCCTTCATATCAACCAGTCATTGGATATGGGCTGCCCCAGGTAAGGGGGTGACCTTGGGTGAGACAACTCTTTTCCTGGTCTAATACAATGTTATATAGAATCCTTTGTCAGTAGATAACTATAAATCCTTGGATAATGGTGCTAAGTTTCTGTGAGCAAGAAAGGCAAACCCATACATAGAATATGTGTATAGGTCAGTCCAGAAGAATCTATATAAAGGACATCTACTGTAGCCAAATTACCATCAAACAGCTGATTGGTCTTTGCAAAGTATAAGTGCTATATTAGAAGCTCAGTGTTTACCTCTGCTGTTGGCAGCTCTAAGAGCTAGATGAGCCTGGGTAAGTAGGAGCTCATGCTGTTGGGCCCGTACACAGTCTCCATCTCTGCCAGCATGTCTACTCCATTCATGTGCCCATTGTGTCATTGGAGTAGCCTATGATCAAGGCTAGCAGACTTCCACAAACCACATAATTTTGACTGCCTAGTTATTTAGTGCTGATTCTGTGTTGAATGCTTTCTGGTGGCTGTTTAACATGAAGTATCCAAAGGTCCTAACAGTTTATGCCACTCCCATAGGCTCATCCAGAAGCCTCTACCCCAGAATTTCTTGCCCTTAATCCTCCTATTTTTCTATTTCTTGGCCTCTGACCAATTGGTCAAGCCATTCACCACTTCTTATGAATATACTCCAACTATAGACTACTTTTCTTTCTACATTCATGTACTTCATTATTCAGTTTGTACAGAAAGAAAGGTAGCCTATGGTTGGAATATATTCATAAGCAACTAAAATAGTTCTTAGAAATAAATTTATAGCACTAAGAACTTCCATTAGAAAAGAAAAAAGATCTCAACCTCATCTTCTACCTAGAAACTAGGGGAAAAAAACAGTTAAAACCAAAGTAAGGTCTTGGCTAATGCAATAAGACAAGAAAAGGAAATAAAAGGTATACAAATTGGGAAGGAAGAAATAAAACTGCCTTTGTTTGCAAATGCCTACTTAGACAATCCAAAAAAATGACCAAAAAAAAAAACAAAAAACAGTGTACCAATAAGGGATTATAGCAAGGTCAAAGGTTAATATATAATTAATATATAAAAGTATAAATTAATATATAAAAAATTAATATATAAAAGTTAGTCATTTTTACTACCTATCAGGTACTATGCTTACTACCTGGGTGACAAAATAATTTGCACACTAAACCCCCATGACATTCAATTTACCTATGTAGCAAACTTGTACATGTACCCCTGAACCAAAAATAAAAATTTAATTAACCTGGAGCAAAAGACTGAATCCAAAGTCTGTGGGCTTAGATCAGGTGTCTGAAATAAAGAATAAATATAATAAAAGAAAGTTATTTATAAAAAATTAAATGCTATTTTGCATAAGATACTTTTTTTTTTTTTTTTTTGAGACAGAGTCTCACTCTGTTGCCCAGGCCGGAGTGCAATGGCACTATCTTGGCTCACTGCAAGCTCCGCCTCCTGGGTTCACGCCATTCTCCTGCCTCAGCCTCCTGAGTAGCTGGGACTACAGGCGCTTGCCACCACGCCCAGCTAATTTTTTGTATTTTTGTATTTTAGTAGAGACTCGGTTTCACCATGTTAGCCAGGATGGTCTTGATCTCCTGAACTCGTGATCTGCCTGCCTTGGCCTCCCAAAGTGCTGGGATTACAGGCGTGAACCACTGTGCCTGGCCATAAGATAAATTTTTTTTAAGTATATTAAAATTATTCCCTTATGTTTATAATATACATTTTTAGGGTTGTATTTTCTTTTTAATAATATCATTTGTGTAGGGATCTTTGCACATTGCCTGATGTAGATTTAAGAATATAATCTATATGACAAAGAAAAAGTCATTTTTCTGTATTCCAACAATAAACAAGTGGAATTTAAAATTAAAAACACAGTATCATTTAAATTAGCACCAAAATAATATTTAAGTATAAATCTAGTAAATGTTTCTCTACATGAGGAAAACTGTAAAATTCTAATGAAAGAAATTCAAGAACACTGAAATACATGAAGAGGTATTCCCTGTTTATGGATAGGAAGACTAAATTGCTCAAGACTAAATTGATGAATTCTTCCCAGATCAATTTATAGATTCCACACAATTCCAATCAAAGTCCTAGCAAGTTGTTTTATGATTGTCAACCTACTGATTTTAAAGTTTATATAGAAAAGGAAAAGACCTAGAATAACCAACACCATATTGAAAAAGAAGAAAGTCAGAAGACTAGCAATACCAGACTTATTTCACTGTAAAGCTATAGTAATCAAGACAGTATGTTGGCAAAAGAATAGAAAAATAGATCAATGGAACAATAGAGAGCCCAGAAATAAATCCACATAAATATAGTCACCCAATCTTTGACAGAGGAACAAAGATAGAGCAGAGATAGTATTTTCAACAAATGTCACTGGAACAACTGAACATCTCATAAGAAAAAAATGAATCTAGACACAGATCTTACACCCTTCAGAAAAATTAGAATGGTTTATAGACTTGAATGTAAAACACAAAATGCAAAACTCCTGGAAGACAATATAGGAGAAAACCTAGATGGCCTTGGGTATGTCAATGACTTTTTAGATATAACACCAAAGTCATGATCCGTGAAGTAATAATTGATAAGCTGGACTTCACTGAAATTAAAAACTTCTGCTCTGCAAAAGACAATAACAAGAGAAAGAAAAGTTTTTTTGGCAAAAATATATTTGTAAAAGATGCATCTGATAAAGGAGTGTTATCCAAAAAAATGCAAAGAACTCTAAAGACTCAACAATCAGAAAACAAACCAAATTTAGAAATGGATCAAAGACCTTAACAGACACCTCACCAAAGAACATATACAGATGACATATAAGCATATGAGCAGATGCTCCACATCATATATCATCAGGGATACACAAATTAAACAACAGTAAGATAACACCACACACCTATTAGGAAGGCCAAAATCCAGAATACTGACAACACCAAAGGCTAGTGAAGATGTGGAGCAAGAGGAACTTGCGTTCATTGCTGAGAAGAGTACAAAATGGTATAGTCACTTTGGAAGACAATTTGACAGTTTCTTACAAAACTAAACAAACTCTTACCATACAATTTAGCCATTGTAATTTTTGGAATTTACTCAAAGGAGTTGAAAACTTATGGCTACATAAAAACCTGCACATAGATATTTATAACACCTTTATTTATAATTGCCAGAATATGCAGCCAACCAAGATGTCTTTTAGTAGGTGAATCAGTAAAGAAACGGGTACATCCAGACCATGGAATATTATTAAGAGTTAAAAAGAAATGAGCTATTAAGCCATGAAAAGACAAGGAAGAACTTTAAATGTATAATAACTAAGTGAAAGAAGCCAATCTGAAAAGATTACATACTGTATTATTCTAACTATATGACATTCTGGAAAAAAGCAAAACTATGGAGACAGTATAAAGATAAGTGGTTGTCAGAGTTTGGTGGCAGGGAGGGGGCAAGTGATGAATATGGTGGAGCACAGAGAATTTTTAGGCAGGGAAAATATGTAGTGGTAGATACATGTCATTATACAGTTGTCCAAACCCGTAGAATGTACAACACCAAGAAAGAAGTCTAATGTAAACTGTAGACTTTGAATGAGTATAATGCATGAATGTAGGTTCATGTATTGCAACAAACATATCACTTTGGTGGGGGGTGTTGATAATAGGGGAGTAGGTAATGCATGTGTAGGAACAGTGAGTATATGGGAAATCTCTGTGCCTTCCTCTTAATTTGGCTGTGAACCTAAAAACTGCTCTAAAAAATAAAATTTTTAATTTAGAAAAAATTAAATAGAAAAAAGGAATAATTAAGGTTAGAATGGCAATCAGTAAAATAAAAAAAAAAAAGAAAAGAAAAGAAAAGAAAGATGCATTTTTGTAGATTTTTAAAAATGAAACCAAAGCTGGTTCTTTGAGAAAATCAACAAAACCGATGAACCTCTATCTAGACTGATCAGAAAAAAAAAGGTAAAAGACACAAATTACCAATATAGAAATGTGAGACATGACAGCACACAGATTCTACAGATACTGAAAGAATAATCAAGGGACTATTAGAATCAACTTTCTGGTAATACCTTCAACAACTTTGATGAAATGGCCAAATTACTTAAAAGACACAAACCACCAAAAGTCAGAACGTGAAATAGGTAACCTGAATAACACTGTATCAGTTGAAGAAATGGAATTTGTAGTTTAAATCCCCAGGCCCAGATAGCTTCAGTAGTGAATTCTATCAAACTTTAAAGAAAGAAATAATACCAGTTTTACACAAACTCTTCCAGAAAATTGAAGAGAAGGGAATATTTTTCAACTCATTCTATGAGGCAGCATTCCCTTGACATGAAGACCAAAGATATTATAAGAAAGGAAAATTATAGACAAGCATTTCTTAAGAAAAGTTGTAAAAATTGTTAACAAAGTTTTAAGTAATCAAATTTAGTAATATATAAAAAGGACCTCTCCCTCCTCCCCCCCTCCCCTCCTCCCCTCTGCACGGTCTCCCTCTGATGCCCAGCCGAGGCTGGACTGTACTGCCGCCATCTTGGCTCACTGCAACTTCCCTGCGTGATTCTCCTGCCTCAGCCTGCCGAGTGCCTGGGATTGCAGGCGCGCGCTGCCACGCCTGACTGGTTTTCATATTTTTTTGGTGGAGACGGGGTTTCGCCGTGTCGGCCAGGCTGGTCTCCAGCTCCTAACCGTGAGTGATCTGCCAGCCTTGGCCTCCCGAGGTGCCGGGATTGCACACGGAGTCTCGTTCACTCAGTGCTCAATGTTGCCCAGGCTGGAGTGCAGTGGCGTGATCTCGGCTCCCTACAACCTCCACCTCCCAGCCGCCTGCCTTGCCCTCCCAAAGTGCCGAGATTGCAGCCTCTGCCTGGCCGCCACCCCGTCTAGGAAGTGAGGAGCGTCTCTGCCTGGCCGCCCATCATCTGGGATGTGAGGAGCCCCTCTGCCCGGCTGCCCAGTCTGGGAAGTGAGGAGTCCCTCTCCCCGGCCCTCATCCCGTCTAGGAAGTGAGGAGCGTCTCTGCCCGGCCGCCCATCATCTGGGATGTGGGGAGCGCCTCTGCCCCGCCACCCCGCCACCCCGTCTGAGATGTGAAGAGCGCCTCTGCCCGGCCGCGACCCCGTCTGGGAACTGAGGAGTGTCTCTGCCCCGCCGCCACCCCGTCTGGGAAGTGAGGAGCGTCTCTGACCAGCCGCCACCCTGTCTGGGAGGTGTACCCAACAGCTCATTGAGAACGGGCCATGATGACGATGGCGGTTTTGTCGAATAGAAAAGGGGGAAATGTGGGGAAAAGAAAGAGAGATCAGATTGTTACTGTGTCTGTGTAGAAAGAAGTAGACATAGGAGACTCCATTTTGTTCTGTACTAAGAAAAATTCTTCTGCCTTGGGATGCTGTTAATCTATAACCTTACCCCCAACCCCGTGCTCTCTGAAACATGTGCTTTGTCCACTAAGGGTTAAATGGATTAAGGGCGGTGCAAGATGTGCTTTGTTAAACAGATGCTTGAAGGCAGCATACCAGTCATCACCACTCCCTAATCTCAAGTACCCAGGGACACAAACACTGCGGAAGGCGGCAGGGCCCTCTGCCTAGGAAAACCAGAGACCTTTGTTCACAAGTTTATCTGCTGACCTTCCCTCCACTATTGTCCTATGACCCCGCCAAATCCCGCTCTCCGAGAAACACCCAAGAATGATCAATAAATACTAAAAAAATTTAAAAGAAAGGATCTTATATCATGAATCGTGACCACATGAACTTTATCCCAGGAATGCAAGACTGATTCAGTATTAGAAAATCAATGTAACTCACTATATTAAGGACTAAAATACATATCCATATATATACATGATCAGCTAATTATATGCAAAAGAGCATTTGATATACTCCAGTATCCTTTCCTGATTTAAAACTCTCAGCACACTAGAACCGGAAGGGAACTTCCTCATCCTGATAAAGGGCATCTATGAAAAACCTACAGCTAACATCATACTTAATAATCAAAGACTGAATGCTTTCTCCCTAAGATCAGAAACACAGCAAGGATATCCACTCTTACCTTTCCTATTCAGTATTGTACTGGACAGATACCTAGTACAGCAAGGCAAGAAAAAAAATAAAAGGCATCCAGATTGGCAAGGAATAAGTAAAACTGGCTGTCTTGGACGGGTAAGGGGGACAGTCAATGTGATCATCTAGGTAGAAAACCTCATGTAATCTACCAAAAAGCTAGAACTAATAACTGCATTTCACAAAGTTGCAAGATACAAAATCACTATGAAAATCCAATTCTGTATACTAGCAATAACAATTGAAAATTGAAATTATCCATTTCTGTAGCATTTTAAAAATGAAAAACTTAGTGGTCAGACTTAAGACTTACAGATTGAAAACTACAAAACTGCTGAGAGATTAAAAATCAGCTGAATATTTAGAGAGATATACCTTGTTCATGGTTGGAAGACTGGATATTGTTAAGATGTGGTTTCTCCCCAAATTAATCACTAGATTTAATGCAATTCCAATAAAAACATTACTCTCTATTTTTTCTATATTTATTAGACTTTCTTGTACAAATTAATGAAGTTGATTCTAAAATTCAAATGGAATGCCGTAGACCTAAAATCGCCAAAACAGGCCAGGCGTGG
The DNA here is from genome assembly GCF_000001405.40 of Homo sapiens. NCBI lineage: Eukaryota > Metazoa > Chordata > Mammalia > Primates > Hominidae > Homo > Homo sapiens. The sequence goes on along the minus strand of NC_000013.11, from coordinate 95,844,249 downwards.
TGGCTCACGCCTGTAATCCCAGCACTTTGGGAGGCCGAGGCAGGTGGATCACTTGAGGTCAGGAGTTGAAGACCAGCCTGGCCAACATGGTGAAACTCTGTTTCTACTAAAAGTATAAAAAATTAGCTGGGCATGGTGGCGGGCACCTGTAATTCCAGCTACTTGGGAGGCTGAGGCAGGAGAATCACTTGAACCCAGGAGGTGGAGGTTGCAGTGAGCCGAGATCATGCCATTGCACTCCAGCCTGGGCGACAAGAACAAAACTCTGTCTCAAAAAAATAAATAATTAAAAATAAATAAAAAATAAAATCACCAAAACAACTTTGAAAAATAAGAAAGTTAAAGGACTTATACCACCTTGTTTTAAGACATAATATATAGCTACTGTAGTCAAAATAGTTTGGTGTTGGTGTAAAGATAGACAATTTGATCCATGAATTAGAATAAAGAACCCAGAAATAGACCCCATATATGGCCGGTTGACTTTTGACAAAGGTGCAAAGATAATGCAGTGGAGAAAGGATAGTCTTTTCAACAAACAGTGCTGGAACAATTAGATATCCTTATGCCAAAAAAAAACCCCAAAAACCTCTAAACCCTAATATGCCGTAAGTAAAAATTAATTCCAAACACATCATAGACAAAGGTACAATATAAAATGTTTAGAAGATAGGAGAAAATCTCTGTGATCTTGAGTTAAGCAGAGATTTTTTAGGTATGATACTAAAAGCATGATTCATAAAAGAAAAAATTGATAAATATACAAAGAGCTCCCAAAACTTATTAATAATAAAATAAGTAATCTGATTTGTTAAAGAATCAGATTGACCCATCACCAAAGATGATCAAGTGTCAATAATTCCATGAAAAGATGCTAAACATCATTAGTGATTAGGGAAATGCAAATTAAAACTATGGTGAATACACACCAATTAGAATGGTTAACATTAAAAAGACTGACCATACCAAGTGTTGAAAGGATATATACCTGCTAGAATTCGCATACATTGCTTGTGAAAATGAGTGTAAAATGGCTAAGCCCTTTTGAAAATCAGTTTGGCGATTTCTTTTACAGTTTAACTTAAACCTGCCATATGATTAGTCATTATACTTCAGGGTGTTTACCCAAGAGAAATAAAAGTACCTGGCCACACAAATGCTTGTACATAAATACTCATAGTAGCATTATTCATAAAAGCCAAAATCTAGAAACAACCCCCCTGTATTTGTTACCTGTTGCTGCATAACAGCTTATCCAAAACATAGCAGCTTAAAACAACAAACAGTTTGTGTGGATCAGTTCCTGTAGTCTGACCTAGCTCAGTGTTCTGCTTCATTGTATCTCTCAAGACTGCAATCATTGTGTCAGCCCGGGGACTGCCGTCTAATCAAAAGACTTGACTGCTAGGCAAAGTCACTCACATGGTTGTGGACAGGGTTTATTCTTCAAGAGCTATTATACGGAAAGTCTAATTTCCTTGCTGGATGTGGCTATAGGCAGTCATCAGTTTCTGGCAGATGGCCTTATCCATAAGGGCAAACATGAGAGAGAAGAATCAGAGAAAGAGAGGATGCCAACAAAATGAAAGTCACAGTCTGTTATAGTCTAGTCTCAGAATTGACATCCCATTAGTTTTGCCATATTCTGTTTGTTAGAAGGTAGTCACTAGATCCAGCCAGACCAGGAGAAGGAATTGCACGAGAGAATGGATACCAGAAGTCAGGAATTATTGGAAGCCATATCAGAAACTGCCTACTGCAAATATCTGTCAAGAGGAGAATAGATAAAAAGATATGGTATATTCATAGAATGTAATACTACTCAATAGTAAAAAGGAATGAATTATTTATACACAGACAACATGGATGACTCTAAAAATAACAATGCTGATCCATACCAAAAGTATATAGATTTATATATAATTTATATGAAAAGTCAGACCTAAAGTATTTGTATTATATAATCCTATTTATATAAAATTGTAGAAAATGCAAACTAATCCAAGGTGAAAAAAGCAGTTCATGCTTACCTGGGGACTGGATTGGGTGCATAGAGGAAGGATAGGAGGGAACAATTGCAAAAGGACACAGGGAGTCTTAAGGGTGATAGCTATATTCAATTATGTTAATTATGTGATGGTTTCACAGAAATATACATATGTAAAATTCTTTATGCCCAGTAGTGGTACTGGCATAAGGTTACACATATTGGTCACTAGAATAGAATTGAGAGTTCAGAAATAAGCCTATGCCTCTACTCTCATTTGATTTTTGTCAAGCATTCCAAGACAACTTAATGGGGAAAGAATAGTCTTTTTAACAACTATGCTAGACAACAGGAAATTCACTTGTAAAGAATGAAGTTGGACCCCTACCTCACATCATATATAAAAATTAACTCAAAATGGATCAAAGATTTAAATGTAAGAACTAAAACCGTAAAACTCTTAGAAATGAACATAGGTGTAAATCTTTGTGACTTTGGATTAGGCAATGTTTTTAAGTTATAAAACCAAAAGCACAAGCAATAAAAGAAAAAGATAAATTAGCATCAAAATTTAAAGACTTGTATGCTTTAAAGGACACAAGAAAGGGAAAAGACAACTTTTAGAATGGGACAAAATATTTGCAAATCATGTGTCTGACAAGATACTAAAATCCAGAACATATAAAGAACTCCTGTAGGATGTGAGGGCAATCTGGCTGCTACATCTGTCACCCCATTGATCACCAGGGTTGATTCAGCTGATCTGGCTGGCTACGCAACTGACCTCTTCCTCCCTCACTGCTCCATGTGTGTTCCTCCCGAAACTGCATGCTGGGTTGAAGAAGATGACCATCCCCAATAGAGGAGGACCAATCTTCAGTCAAGGGTACACTAGTAGCTGCGCTTCCCTGCCAGAACCTCCAAACAAGCTCTCAAGAACTCCCATAACTCAATAGCAAAGGAAAATAACCAATTTACAAAGTGGTCAAGGGATGTAAATAGACATTTAAGCATGTTTATTTTTATTTTTATTTTCCGTGTTTTTTATTTTACTCTAAGTCCTGGGATACACGTGGTGAACGTGCAGGTTTGTTACGTAGGTATACATGTGCCATGGTGGTTTGCTGCACCTATCAACCTGTCATCTAGGTTTTAAGCCCCACATGCATTAGGTATTTGTCCTAATGCTCTCCCTCCGCTTCCCCCAGCCCTCCAATAGGCCCCAGTGGGTGATGTTCCCCTCCCTGTGTCCATGTGTTCTCATTGTTCAACTCCCACTTATGAGTGAGAACATGTGGTATTTGGTTTTCTGTACCTGTGTTAATTTGTTGAGGATGATGGTTTCCAGCTTCATCCATATCCTGCAAAGGACATGAACTCATTCTTTTTTATAGCTGCATAGTATTCCATGGTATATGTCTGCCACATTTTCTTTATCCAGTCTGTCACTGATGGGCATTTGGGTTGGTTCCAAGTCTTTGCTATTGTAAATAGTGCTGCGGTAAACATACATGTGCGTGTGTCTTTATAGTAGAATGATTTATCATCCTTTGGGTATATACCCAGTAGTGGGATTGCTGGGTCAAATGGTGTTTCTGGTCGTAGATCCTTGAGGAATTGCCACACTGTCTTTCACAACAGCTGAACTAATGTACACTCCCACCAGCAGTGTAAAAGTGTTCCTATTACTCCACATCCTTGCCAGCATCTGTTATTTCCAGATGTTTTCATGATCACCATTCTAACTGGCATGAGATGGTATCAAAACCACTCATTGTGGTTTTGATTTGCATTTCTCTAATAATCAGTGATGATGAACTTTATTTCGTATGTTTGTTGGTCGCATAAGTGTCTTCTTTTGAGAAGCGTCTGTTCATATTCTTCGCCCACTTTTTGATGGGGTTGTTTTTTTTCTTGTAAATTTGTTTAAGTTCCTTGTAGATTCTGGATATTAGCCCTTTGTCAGATGGATAGATTGCAAAAATTTTCTCCCATTCTGTAGGTTGCCTGTTCACTCTGATGATAGTTTATTTTGTTGTGCAGAAGCTCTTTAGTTTAAATAGATCCCATTTGTCAATTTTGGCTTTTGTTTCTGTTGCTTTTGGTATTTTAGTCATGAAGTCTTTGCCCATGCCTGTGTCCTGAATGGTATTGCCTAGGTTTTCTTCTAGGGTTTTTATGGTTTTACATTGTACATTTAAGTCTTTAAGCAGAGATTTAAATGTGTTTATTTGGAGATTTTAATATGTTTATTTAAATAGACATTTAAATACGAAATATGTCTATGTAAATAGACATTGTATGTGTTTACTAGCCATTGATATATCTTCTGTGATACACAAATGTCCAATAAACACATGAAAAGATGCTCAATGCCATTGTCATTAGGAATAGCAAATCAAAACCACAATGAGATACCACTTCATACTCGCTATGATAGCTACAATAAAAAAGATTGACAATAACAAGAGTGGACAAGGATATGGAGAAAATGGAACCATGATACGCTCCTATTTGGAATGTAGAATAGTGTACCAAGTTCAAAAACAGTTTGACAGGTCATGAAAATGTTTAACAGAGTTAACATATGACCCAGCAGTTCCACTCCTAGATATATACCCAAGAGAGTTGAAAACATGTGTCCAAACAAAAATTTGTACAAATGTTTATAGAAGCATTGTTTATAACAGCTGGAAAATGGAAACAACCCAAATGCCCATCAGTTGACAAATGAATAAGCCAAATGTTGTAAATTCATATAGTGGAATATTATTTGGCTGTAAAAAGGATTGAAGTACTGAAATATGTCACAGCATAGATGGACCTTGACAACATTGTGCTGACAGAAGCCAGACACAAAAACCTGATAATGTATAATTTTACTTATGTGATATGTCCAGACTAAACAAATTCGTAGAGACAGAAAGTAGATTATTAGGTACATGGAGGTTAGGGAAGGATATGAGGACAGTGTGTGAAATAATCAGCTAAAGATCAGCTAAGTGACAACAGAGTAGACCCATATATATAATTGACAGAATTAAAGTTCCCCTAAGATTTATATTCAGGAGGTTAAAATGAAAAAACAGTCGGCATGGGGGGTAGTGTGTGTGTGTGTCCTGTACTCATGGAACTCAGCCATGTTGAGTTCCATGAGAACAGTTACAGAGATTGAGATTTAATCAGGACTATGACTTTGTCAAGAAAGTACAACTAAGTGAGAGAAGAATAAGACAGTTGAGAGTATATTCAGAAGAATAACTATATAGGGGTGAATACATCAAGGAATGAGGGACAGTGAAATAGTGGTAAAATCAGTTGATTGGAGGTTCCAAGGGGTCAAAGGATATTGATATCTGAGTACTCAGTGGAGTGAGCCAAAAATCAAGAGGTGGTCAGAGAGTGGCACCATGAAATTGAAAGTATAGAAGACTTGGTCTAGTATATAACCATTTGAGTTAGTAGCTTAGATAATATGGTAGGCCAGGTTATTTAAGGAAGGGATTCCAAGGAACTAAGGGTGTCAGAAGGGACAGTTAAGGTTTTTCTTTCTTTGATTAACGGACTTTATTTTTTTAGAGCAGTCTTAGGTTTACAAAAAAAATGAGCAGAAAGTATGGGTAATTTTCTATTTCTGGGCTCTTTATTGTGTTCCATTGATGTATTTGTCTCTTATTTTTCCAATACCACACTGTTTTGATTACTGTAACTTTATAGTAAGACTTCAAGTGTGGTAGTGTCAGCCCTCTGACTTTATTCTTCAATATTGTGTTGGATATTCTGGATCTTTTCCTTTTTCCCTAAACTTTAGAATCAGTTGGCCAATCTCCACAAAATAACTTGCTAAGCCTTTGATTGGGATTGTGTTAAGTCTATAGATAAATCTGGGAAGAACTGTTATCTTGACTATGGAGTCTTCCTATGTGTGAACATAGAATATCTCTTCATGTATTTCAGTGTTCTTTGATTTCTTTCCTCAGAATTTTGTAGTTTTCATTTTGTTGAGGAACATATTTTATTAGATTTATGTTTAAGTATTTCTCTTTTTCGGTGCTAATGTAAATGGTGTGTTTTCTTAAATTTCAAATTATGTTTGTTCATTGCTGGTATATAGAAAAGCAGTTGACTTTTGTATATTAACTTTTTATCTTGTAACATTGCTAAAATTGCTTATCAGTTCCAGAAGTTTTTTCCCTTGATTCTTGGGATTTTCTGCATAAACAATCCTGTTATCACAAACAGTGACAGGTTTTTTTCCCTTCCCAATCTATATACATTTTCCTTTTCTTGTCTTATTGCATTTGCTAGGACTTTCAGTGTGATGTTTAATAGGGATGTTGAGAGAAGAACCTTAAAATTGTGAATCTTGGAGCTTATGTAGGACAACCAGCACAAGTACCCTTCATACTCTTGGAGAGAGAGGAACATGCCTTTGCTCTTGAATATAAGCAGATCTTCTATAGGGAAAGGAAGGGAAGGACTCCACCCCTGGAATATAAACAAATATCTCTGGGGAAGATTTGTCTGATTCTCTCCAAAGGTCTCTAACTTACTAGGCTAGTTTGCCAGTCAAACATCCATTAACCCAGATGCCAGCAATCTTTACTTAGAGAGCTCTGAGCATGCAGAAATGGGAAAATATTCATGGATCATTGTTTCCAATGGGGAGATGAAAATTCACCTCAGAATCCAGAGAGCATTGTGGTGACCAATATGAACAGTAATTGCAGGCATAATGTGAGCAATAGAGGCAGATAGAGGTAGTGAGGCTGTCCATTGTGGGGACTATTGAATGGTAGGTTTCTATGCCTCCTTCTTCATCCTTGTTCCCAGGGGTAGAGTCTAGGAGAGATGTAGGTATATTCCAGTGCATGGATTCATTCATGACACAAGATGATTGGATCACCTTAGGTATTTTAAGCTTTAAAGTGTAGAGAAATCTCAGATTTGCATATGTTTTATGATCTGTTTACAGTCTAACTGATGTCTTACTTCATTCAGCTTCTTTCCTTCTGACTCTAAATTTCATACGTCTATGATTAAATCACAATTTTCTGTAGGATCTCCCCAATAATATGATTTACCAAGTCGCCATTAAGTCTCTTCCTCAAGACTGGCTGTGGTGTGAAACCTGGTGTGATGATGAATCCAAACAAAGAGCCAAAACAATTGATCTGGTGAGTGTCTTTGTTTTCATTTGTATGTAAGCAGATACAGAAATGTTTAAATAGAAATATTTTCTTTCTGTTTTACAAAGGGAGTGGCATACGTATTACTTCGCTTCTTCTGCTGTTCAGTCTATTACACATTTACTTAGGTTGGCAAGTATAGGGTTATTTTGGGGGCCCCCAAGACCACCCTGAGGTTTGATGATTCACTAAGGAGATTCATGAGATGCAAAATATAATCATATTCATGGCTTGATTTATCACAGTGAAAGGATATAAAGCAAAGTCAGCAAAGGGAAAAGGCACATGGGGCAAAGAGAAAATCAGGTGCAAGATTCCAAGAGTCCTTTCTCTGTGATATCACACGGGACAAGCTTCATTCCTCAAGCAATAAGAGATTCCACAACCAGTGTGAAGTATTACCTACTAAGGACATTTATTAGAAACCCCAGTGTCCAGGGGTTTTACTGGGGGCTGGTGACCATATAGCACTGTCTGCCTGAGACACACCTAAATTTCCAGCACTCAGGAGGAAAGCAAGTGTTTAGCATAAACACCTTTGCACAGATAATTTAGACACAGTGAGTTACTCTTATAAAGGAATGGTGAGAACCATCCTGAACCCTGTGTTCCCAGATGCCAGCGAGGAGCCAAACTTACAAGCAGGTCTTTCTAAGAATAGCAATTTCAGGCTTTCTGTATTAACTCTTTTCTGCAAAAGGACTTTTGAAAAAAAGGCTTAGAGGGCTGGGCACGGTGGCTTACGCCTGTAATCCCTGCACTTTAAGAGGCCGAGGCAGGTGGATCACCTCAGGTCAGGACTTCGAGACCAGCGTTGCTAACATGATGAAACCCCATCTCTACTAAAATTACAAAAAATTAGCTGGGCGTGGTGGCACATGCCTGTAGTCCCAGCTACTCAGGAGGCTGAGGCAGGAGAATTGCTTGAACCTGGGAGGCAGAGGTTGCAGAGAGCGGAGATGGCGCCACTACACTCCAGCCTGGAGACAAGAGCAAAACTCCATTTCAAAAAAACAAACAAACAAAAAAAAAGGGCTGAGAGCTAGCTGAAAATGTTTGTGGATTAGCTATCATCTTGACATGTCTTCAGTTTAGTTATCCTGCCAATATTTTCCCCCAAATAAAGGCAAACAAGACAATTTTGTCTACTTAAAATATATCATACATGCTTTTTTCTTACTTATTTTTAAGAGATTATTTTTCCTAGATTTTCATTTAAAGCAGTTTATGCTGTGCAGTTTAACTCTCCTAAACATAAAATATTTCAAAGTAATTTATTTGTTGTCCATTTAGATTTTATATTCCACTACTACCTTGTCTTTAGTAGGTATAATAAGTTTTTTTCCTAGTATATTGTTTTTAATGTGCTAAGTGTAGAAAATTGTTTACAAGATCTTCACTGACGAATAAGCTATTAAAATGTTAGAATTCACACAATTTTGAACAAAAAAGAGCAGGAAAACAAAATATAGGAACTTTTTCAGACATGTATAGAAATACATATTTTAAAAATAGCATGCCAGCATGTTAGAATGTAATCATAGTTGGTAGAATATAGCAGAAACAAATAAAAAGGCATTTTTAAGAGGTAAGCAAGGGAATTTCATAAAGAGAGGCCAAGAACATTATTGAACACAACTACTAATATGTTGTTAGGGTTCTGTTGTGGCTCATACAGTAGTGGTGTAGGTCATTTTGGGATCTTTAGTACTTAGACTAACATGAGCTACCATAACAAACCCCCAAAATTCAGTGGCTTCATACTCATTCCAGCAGCAGACCTAAGTGGATATCTCCGTCATTGAGTAGCCCTCCTGTGTGCCATGTCTCAGGGAGTACTTTTTGTCCACCTGTAACTGCTTCTTCCAGTGCAGTAGCCACTTGCCTTATGTGGCTGTTGAGCCCTTAACATGTTGCTATTCTGAATTGAGATGTGCTGTAAGGTATAAAGTACACACCAGATTTTGAATACTCAATACAATGAAAATAACATATATCTCATTACTAATTTTTGTATTGATTACATGTTGACTTAGTATTTTGGATATATTGGGTTGAATAAAATATAGTATTAAAATTTATTTCACCTATTCCTCTTACATTTTTATACATGGCTACTAGAAAAATTTAGTATTTTTCTAGTGAAAAAACCCACAAATTATGTGTATGGTTTTCATTGCATTTGTATTGGATAGTACCAATCTGGAGGGAAGGGGAAAAAAAGTGTGGAGAACATATATCTTGAATCCTAAAGGCATGGCCCCTTGGTGGGAGTTGGTCACGTGGCCATATCTAGATGTAACAGGAGCTGAGAAATGGCATTCCTGGATGGACAGCTACTTCCTAGCAATAGCAATACCAATACCCAGGAAAAGGAGAAGTGGCACAAATTTTGGTGTTCAGCCCGTCTCCCTCATAGAAACACTAAGAGTAGAATGAGAGAACATGCTATTCTTCATGGAGGAGAAAAGAGAATGCAGAAAATTCCCAAGGAAATGGCCTAACAGAAGAAAAGAGCATGACTAATAATATTGAAGGTGGGAATGAAAATGTTTATGAATGTCATTATACTCTCTCAACTTTCCATCTCAGAGTTTTTCAGCCTCAGTACTATTGGCATTGAGGAGTGGAGAATTCTTTGTTACAGGGGTTTTCCTGTGCATTGTTGGGTATTCAGCAGCATTTCTGGCCTCTGTCCACTAGATGGCAGTAGCACCCCACCACTCCCCGGCCATCACACATTTTCTCCAGACTTTGCCAAAGCTCCCCGAGGGGCATGATTACCCAGTTAAGAAACACTAATAAAGCTTATAGAGTGTATGCATGAGCACACACATACACACACACACACACACAAACCCAATGTAGTACAAATAGCTAAACAAAACATAATATTTTTATTTTTTTAATAGTATGACAGAATTAAAAAAAGAATTAGTCCCATTATCTTCACTATATAGAAGACATTGCCTATAAAGTTAATTTCTGCAAGGAAAATTGTGTTGTCCACTTACCTCAGGAATATGTCACTATGGAAAAGAAATCCATAATGAATCAACTGAAAATATTTGGTGAGGAAAGGGTTAAGACAACAGGCTCACGGCTCATGACTAATAGCTTTCCCCTAAGAAATAAGAGGAAAGCAAGTGGAGAAAATGTCACCAGAAGTGAGCTTCAAGTTGCTTCCTGCCTTAATTCTTTGTAAATAGTGAATGGGCTTCCTTTATTACTTGATGAAGTTTATACTGCTCCCATTGTCTTCTGTCTCAGTAAATGGCAAATCCATTTTTTATATTGCTCAAGCCAAAGGTACTGGTGGCTTTGTCTTTCTTTGATGCCTCTCTTTACTTACAGCTCACGTCCAATATATCAGCAGATCCTTTCAGCTGTACCTTCAGATACATAGTGTGTCAGACTCTTATCAACCTTCTATAATTTTTGCTTTTAACTTTAATTTCCCAAGAAACTCTATAGTAGTACTCAATAGTTTAAACTGATTGTGTATTGATGGAACCTTAGAGATTTTCCTATTTTAATTTCTTTTGCAGTTGAATAAATTAAGCTACACACCCTACACACACACATAATTATGTGATACATACACATCCTACTACTAGTAAATATGGAGTTGGAACCCTGAGAACCGAGATGCCATTTCCATGTTTTTCTACTGTGCCTACAAAGCACACTAGTCTGCTATGTTCTTCTACATAGTGGTAATGTAATTAGATCTTTTGTCAAAAAGTTTTACATAATTTTTTTTTGACAGACTTATGAGTCATCAGAATGTCTTTCAACAATTTTTATTTAAATTTCTGATTGAGGTATTTGTATTAAGCAATTATTACATACATAAGTTGTGATATATCATTTCACCTGATCCTGTGTGTATTAAACTTCCAGTACTTAGTAGGACTCTGCTTTTTATAAAATGTATTTTGTTTGCCCTAGTGACACAGCATTGTCCTTATGTTTCCAGGAGCATGGTCTTTCATTAACAAAATTTACTTAAACTTTTAGTGCAATAATCCCAAAACAAAAGAATCCAAACTAAAAGCTGCTGCCAGAATTGTCCCAGAATGGGTGGAGTATGATGCTGAGATAAGACAACTATTAGATCATCTTGAAAACAAGAAGCAAGATACAAGTAAGTCATCAACGTGTTGTGATGTCTGAAACATGCGTTGCATTAATGAGATTAGAATAGACTACAGACTCATTTCTTAGTGAATTTATAAAATGATTAAGAATTTCTTTAAGAAAGTCTGTGGCATAATTTAAAGGTGTATTTTTGTGTAGACTAAGCTTACAAGTTTAAAACATAGATAATCTGTTTCCCCATGGATACAGCTTCAGCTCATAACTCTATATGGATAGATAGTGTAACATTAGTCTCCTGACACAACATAGAGGTGAAAAATAAAAGTAAAAGGAGTGTTTGTCTTTAAGATTGCACTGAATTTCCTAAATGTGAAAATTTGAGCAAGTCCTAAAAATTAATAAAAGCTTTACATAGCTAACTAAAAATATCATTTCCTATCTCCAAAATTAATCTCATATATAACAGAGGTTTCCCCACGTGTTTGTGGTTCTAGTATGTTTAATCATGGGCTGGAGAATGACTTGGATTAGATTTGCTTCAATTCCTTTTATGAAAAAAACTGTGGCTACCTTGGCATTTCATTGCCCTACATAAGTGTTCAACAAATGTGCTGAATTTATTTTTTAAAGCTGATACAAACTTCTTGATTGTCCTGTAATTCTCTTTCCCTGTCAGTGCTGCCTGTGTCTCCCTATTCTTCACTCTTTCTTAAAAAACCCCCTGAACTCCTATTGTGTTCGGGTCAGTGTGTTAGAGACTTTCACTAGATTATATTGGCTAATACTCTCAATAATTCTTCCCAGTGGTTCAGAATACAGTTCTCATTTTCCTCAGCTTTACTGTTTAGGGAAGCCGAAATGATTATGTATAAACTGTCTCATATAAACGTGAAATTGTTTCATCTTGACTTTAAAAAAAAAAAAAAGTTTTCCTTTAAAAAAAAAAAGTTTTCTTGGTGTGTTCAAAAAGTTCATTATACACACCCATGTATGTATAATAATTTAGTATAGATAAAGATACTATTTCAATTCATAAGAAAATATTCTGTAAGTGGTATGATATGACTTTTTTTAAAGGGAGAGAAGTAGGATGACAAAGGGAGGAGGGAGAGAAGGAAAGAAAGCAGGAAGAAGGAAGAAAGGAAAATTACCTCAACAAAAAACATCTTTTTCTTATATATAAGTATTTCTTTTATCAAATTGGGAAAGAGGTAACAGTTAATAATAATGAGCATTGGTGAGAATGTTGGAAAGTTAGCATTTTTATACAAGTAAACGTATAGTAGCTGTATAAGTTAAGGAAATTTTATATGTATAAAAACTTAAAATTTGTATACCCTTTCACCCAGCAATTCACTTCAACAAACTTAAAAAAAGAAAAATGATGTCTATATTGGTGTTTATTATAGCATTATTTTTAACAATGAAATAGAAATAATCTGTCCATCAATAGACAATTGGTTACATAAACATTGATACAAACAATGAAATACAGTGTAGCCTTTCAAGACAAACAAGGTAAATGTATTTGTGCTGGCAGCATATTTTAAGTTAAAAAATAGGTTATAGAGCAATATTTATAATTGATCTCGTTTCCATTAAAGAAAAATCATAGGTCTGTATGTATGTGTTTGTGTATAGATATGTATATAAGTAAGGGAGAGAAGTTTTACAAAAGAGATTTTTTTTTATTATTATTATACTTTAAGTTCTAGGGTATATGTGCACAATGTGCAGGTTTGTTACATATGTATACATGTGCCATGTTGGTGTGCTGCACCCACTAACTCGTCATTTACATTGGATATGTCACCTAATGCTATCCCACCCCCTACCCCCACCCCACAACAAGCCCCAGTGTATGGTGTTCCCCACCCTGTGTCCAGGTGTTCTCATTGTTCATTTCCCACCTATGAGTGAGGACAGGCGGTGTTTGGTTTTCTGTCCTTGTGATAGTTTGATGAGAATGATGGTTTCCAGCTTCATCCATGTCCCTACAAAGGACATGAACTCATCCTTTTTTAAGGCTGCATAGTATTCCGTGGTGTATATGTGCCACATTTTCTTAATCCAGTCTATCATTTTTGGACATTTGGGTTGGTTCCAAGTCTTTGCTATTGTGAATAGTGCCGCAATAAACATATGTGTGCATGTGTCTTTATAGCAGCATGATTTATAATCCTTTGGGTATATACCCAGTAATGGGATGGCTGGGTCAAATGGTATTTCTAGTTTTAGATCCTTGAGGAATCGCCACACTGACTTCCACAATGGTTGAACTAGTTTACAGCCTTACCATACTGTAAAAGTGTTCCTATTTCTCCACATCCTCTCCAGCATCTGTTGTTTCCTGACTTTTTAATGATTGCCATTCTAACTGGTGTGAGACAGTATCTCATTGTGGTTTTGATTTGCATTTCTCTAATGACCAGTGATGATGAGCATCTTTTCATGTGTCTGTTGGCTGCATAAATATCGTTTTTTGTGAAGTGTCTTCATATCCTTCACCCACTTTTTGATGGGGTTGTTTGATTTTTTCTTGTAAATTTGTTTAAGTTCATTGTAGATTCTGGATATTAGCCCTTTGTCAGATGGGTAGATTGCAAAAATTTTCTCCCATTCTGTAGGTTGCCTGCTCACTCTGACGATAGTTTCTTTTGCTGTGCAGAAGCGCTTTAGTTTAGTTAGTTCCCATTTCTCAATTCTTGCTTTTGTTGCCATTGCTTTTGGTGTTTTAGTCATGAAGTCCTTGCCCATGCCTGTGTCCTCAATGGTATTGCCTAGGTTTTCTTCTACAGTTTTTATGGTTTTAGGTCTAACATTTAAGTCTTTAATCCATCTTGAATTAATTTTTCTATAAGATGTAAGGAAGGGATCCAGTTTCAGCTTTCTACATATGACTAGCCAGTTTTCCCAGCACCATTTATTAAATAAGGAATCCTTTCCCCATTTCTTGTTTTTGTCAGGTTTGTCAAAGATCAGATGGTTGTAGATGTGTGGTATTATTTCTGAGGGCTCTGTTCTGTTCCATTGGTCTATACCTCTGTTTTGGTACCAGTACCATGCTGTTTTGGTTACTGTAGCCTTGTAGTGTAGTTTAAAGTCAGGTAGCATGATGCCTCCAGCTTTGTTCATTTGGCTTAGGATTGTCTTGGCAATGCAGGCTGTTTTTTGGTTCCATATGAACTTTAAAGTAGTTTTTTCCACTGAATCTATGAATTACCTTGGGCAGTGTGGCCATTTTCACAATACTGATTCTTCCTGTCCATGAGCATGGAATGTTCTTCCATTTGTTTGTGTCCTCTTTTATTCCTTTGAGCAGTGGTTTGTAGTTCTCTTTGAAGAGGTCCTTCACATCCTTTGTAAGTTGGATTCCTAGGTACTTTATTCTCTTTGTAGCAATTCTGAATGGGAGTTCACTCATGATTTGGCTCTCTCTTTGTCTGTTAATGGTGTATAGGAATGCTTGTGATTTCTGCACATTGATTTTGTATCCAGAGACTTTGCTGAAGTTGCTTATCAGCTTAAGGAGATTTGGGGTTGAGACGATGGGGTTTTCTAAATATACAATCATGTCATCTGCAAACAGGGACAATTTGACTTCCTCTTTTCCTAATTGAATACCCTTTATTTCTTTCTCCTGCCTGATTGCCCTGGCCAGAACTTCCAACACTATGTTGAATAGGAGTGGCGAGAGAGGGCATCCCTGTCTTGTGCCAGTTTTCAAAGGGAATGCTTCCAGTTTTTGCCCATTCAGTATGATACTGGCTGTGGGTTTGTCATAAATCGCTCTTATTATTTTGAGATACGTCCCATCAATACCTAATTTATTGAGAGTTTTTAGCATGAAGGGCTGTTGAATTTTGTCAAAGACCTTTTCGGCATCTGTTGACACAATCATGTGGTTTTTGTCTTTGGTTCTGTTTATATGCTGGATTACGTTTATTGATTTGTGTATGTTGAACCAGCCTTGCATTCCAGGGATGAAACCCACTTGATCATGGTGGATAAGCTTTTTGATGTGCTTCTGGGTTTGGTTTGCCAGTATTTTATTGAAGATTTTTGCATTGATGTTCATCAGGGATATTGGTCTAAAATTATCTTTTGTTGTTGTGACTCTCCCAGTCTTTGGTATCAGGATGATGCTGTCCTCATAAATTGAGTTAGGGAGGATTCCCTCTTTTTCTATTAATTGGAATAGTTTCAGAAGGAATGGAACCAGCTTCTCTTTGCACCTCTGGTAGAATAGGACTGTGAATCCGTCTGGTCCTGGAGTTTTTTTTGGTTGGTAGGCTCTTAATTATTGCCTCAATTTCAGAGTCTGTTCTTGGTCTATTGAGGGATTCAACTTCTTCCTGGTTTAGTCTTGGGAGGGTGCATGTATCCAGGAATTTATCCATTTCTTCTAGATTTTCTAGTTTATTTGCGTAGAGTTGTCTATAATACTCTCTGATGGTAGTTTGTATTTCTGTGGGATCAGTGGTGATATCCCCTTTATCATTTTTTATTGCATCTATTTGATTCTTCTCTCCTTTCTTCATTAGCCTTGCTAGCGGTCTGTCAATTTTGTTGATCTTTTCAAAAAACCAGCTCCTGAATTCATTGATTTTTTGAAGGGTTTTTTGTGTCTCTGTCTCCTTCAGTTGTGCTCTGATCTTAGTTATTTCTTGTCTTTTGCTAGCTTTTGGATGCGTTTGCTCTTGCTTAGCTTGTTCTTTTCATTGTGATGTTAGGGTATCAATTTTAGATCTTTCCTGCTTTCTCTTGTGGGCATTTAGTGCTATAAATTTCCCTCTACACACTGCTTTAAGTGTGTCCCAGAGATTCTGATATGTCCAGGTTGCAGCAGAGAGAGAGGTTTAATCATAGGGCTGCCAAATGAGGAAACAGAATGAAAACTCAAGTCTGTGTCCCTGAGCAGTTTGTGACTAGTGATTTTTAAGGGTTTTGGAGGGGGCCAGAGTATGGAGAGCATTGATTGGTCGAAGAGTGCAAGGTGAAGTCGTGGTATAGGGAGATGAAGAAACTATATTCTCATGCTGAATTGGTTACTTTGTGGGGATCTTCAAACTGGTTGGTGTCAGCTGTTCTGCTGGAACTCACGATCTGCTTAGGCAATTCTTAAAAGCCTTATGATTCTGATGTCAGAAATCCCATCCACAAGAACAATGGGGATGCAAATGGTCAGTATCTAGTGCTAAGTAACTTTCAGTTACAAGGAAGTGGGTCAAAGTGCTGCCTGACTAATAGTTAACCATACTTCTGTCCAGAATTCTTGTTTAACTCTATAAGGATGGCTTGAGATATAGTATATCTTTTATAATTTACATTTCTCTTTTTCATTATATTAGTTTGCTAGGGCTGCTATAACACAGTTCCACAAACTGGCTGGCTTAAACTGGACATTTATTGTCTCACAGTTCTGGAAGCTGAAAGTCCAAGATGAAGGTGTCCACAGGGTTGATACCTTCTGAGGGCTGCGAGGAAAGAATTTAACACAGACGTCTCTCCTTGGTTTGTAAATGGCTTTCTTTTCCTTATGTGTCTTCACATTGTCTTCACATTCTCTGTCCTTGTTCAGTTAGGACACCTGTCATATTGGATTAGGGTCTACGCTTATGACCTTATTTTAACTTGATTTCCTCTGTAAAGATCCTGCCTCCAAATAAGGATACATTTGGAGATACCAGAAGTTAGAATTCTTGTAAATTTTGTGGGGACCAAAATTCATGTATTTTTGAAATATGAATTAAACCCATAACATGGGTGGAGTTAAGAATCTTGTCATATATTTAAAGGCCATTAGTATTTCTTCCGCTGTTCTTGTCATTTGCCTGTTTTTTTCTAGAGGATTGTTGCCTGACACTGGAAGAAATTAATTTCTGTTCCACACATTTGTATTGCCATCTTTATCATATATTAAATTCCAATATTAGGATGTCTTGTTTGGCCCTTTTTATTCCGTTCCATTGGTCTCTGTCTATACATGTGCCAAGTACATACCACTTTAATTATTAAGGACTTATATTATGTTTTAATATCAAGTAAGGCTAGCCTTTCCTTATTACTCTTCTTTTTTGTTGTTTTTCTGTGTATTCTTGTTTTTTTTCCATACAAGCCTTAGAATCAACTTAGTTTCAGAAAATTTTCTGTGTTTTTCTTGGGGGGCTGTGTGGGATGGTCAGAGAAAGGATTACATTAATTAGTTGGCTTGAGAGAATTGACATCTTCATGGAAACTACTGTCTCAGAATACATTGTCTTTCTATATATTCAAGTCCAGTTTTCCTCAAGAATCATAACATTTTAATCATATAGCTTATATATATATATAGTTTAAGCTTTTCTTTGCTACTGTTATAAATGGAATTTTTCTCTTGAAGAATATCTTCTTACTGGTGGTTGCTTGTACATAAAGACTACTTTCTATACATGGATCTTTATTTCCCATGATCATACTGAATTTTTATATTGGTTGTAGTAATGTTTCAGCTTATTCTCTTGGGTTTTTCCAGGAATACCCACATCTTATCTCCAAATAAAGATGGTTTTCCCTTTTCCTTTCTGATCATTGTACATCACACTGTTTTTGTTTGTTTGTTTGTTTATTTTACTTGCTTTGACTTATACATCTAATACGGTGTTAAATAATAAAGTGGTGGTAGTAGGCCTTTTTCCTTACTGTGGTTGACCAACTTCTATGTTTCCCCGTTAAGATAATAGTGTTGGACTGAAGAAGAATATTTTTATCATCTTGAGGAAATAACCATTGATTCCTATTTTAATATTTTTATCAAAGATGGGTTGAATTGGTTGCATTTTATCAACTTATTCAACAGAAATAGAGGTGACACATAATTTTTCAACTTATAGATTATAAACTACAACATTATTTGTAGTTTATTATAAATTATAATCTATAACTATATTAATATATTTCCTAATATCGAATCATTTTTTCTAATATTGAAGCATCCTTGTATTCCTAGAATAAACTCCACTTGGCCCTACAGGTTGGCTGGACACAGAAGAGCAGTAGCAATCACTGTAGTCTGGTTCTCAGAGACTCCTACTCCTAGGAGAAGGGGAAGAGCACCACATCAAGGGAGCAACCTGTGGGACAAAAGAATTCAGACAACAGGCCTTGAGTCCCAGATCTTTCTGCTGGTGGGAGTTTCTTTCAGCAGAGACATAATTGCAGTGCTAGGCTCAGCAGGAAAAAGTCTGGAGCTGTACCCCAACATTCAGGCAGACTTGGTGCTCTTGGAGGGTCTTGGAGAAGACCTTTCCCACCTTGTCCACCACTGCAGACACAGCTGGGGCTTCTCCCACAGGAGCTCAGTGTGGCTGAACCTATAGACAGCCTTCCTGGAACACTTCAGGGTGACTGCATTGCCGCAGGAGAGGTATCCTCCAGGTTCAGGCTTGCACAAGAGGCAGTCACAATTCCTCTCTCCTTAGAACATCAACATGCCTACAGATAAAAATACCTGAATAGCTGGACCACTGGGATAAGAGTGAGTCTGGGAGTTGGATAGCTTTCTTGCTTGGCCTGGCAAGGAAGCTGAGGTGGCTCTCACTCTTCCCCTTGTTAAGACATCAGTGCATCTAATTGAGAGCTCCCTCAGCCACCTTCATCAAGGCTGGTACCTCTGTCCACCATTGGATATTACATTTACCACCTGCTTTAGCTACAACAGGTTCCTACCCAGGGATACCACTCCTATCCTGAAGCCTGAACCATCAACTCAGTAAATAAAATACTGGGGAGAAATTAAATTAAAAAGTGCACACCACAGGGGAATGAGGTAAGCTTCAAGAGACCTCTGCCATTACAATTCCATAGGAGATAGCAAACTTGCCAACACACTGAGTACATGACTATTACAACCACATCTGAGGAAGCCATCATAGAAAGACTCTCCACAACCAAGGAATTCATAGAGTCTTCACTCCCAAAAGCACAAATAACCAAATTAAGCTATAATAAACATTAAACTCACATTCTTAAGGGGGAAAGAAGAAATTAAAAATGCTGTCAAATAAAAAATAAAGAACAATTAGAAGAAATAGTATACCCAAATGAGAAGGAACCAGAAAAGTAATTCTGGTAATATGACAAAACAGTGTTCTTTAACACCCCCAAAAAAGATCACACGGTCTCTCCAGCAGTGGATCCAAACCAAGATGTAATCTTTGAAATACCAGATAAAGAATTTAGAAGATTATTACACTACTCAAGGAGATACCACAGAAAGGTGAAAACCAACATAATTTTTTTAAAATTCAGGATATGAATGAAAAATTTTCTAGAGAGATATAAAGAAAAATCAATCAGAACTCTGGAAATGAAAGACATGCTTAGGGAACTATAAAATGCCATGGAAAGGTTCAACAATAGACTACAACATGTAGACAAAAGAATTTTAGAGCTCAAAGATAGGCTTTTGATTAATCCAATAAGACAAAGATAAAAAGGAATCAAAAGAAATGAAGAAAGTCTTTAAGAAATATGGGATTATGTAAAACATCCAAACCTAAGAATAATTGGTGTTCCTGAGGAAGAAGAGAAGGCTAGAAGTTTGCAAAACTTATTTGAGGGAATAATTGAGGAAAACATCCCTGGCCTTGCTAGAGATTTAGATATCCAAATACAAGAAGCTCAAAGAACTCCTCGGAAATTTCATTATGAAAAGATCATCACCGAAGCACACAGTTGTCAGGTATCTAAAATCAACTAGAAGGAAAGAATTCTAAGAGCTGTGAGACAAAAGCATCAAATAATCTGTAAGAGAAAACCTATCCGACTAACAGCAGACTTCTCAGCAGAAACCTTATAAGCTAGAAGGGAAATGGGGTCCTATCTTTAGCCTCCTTAAACAGAATAACTGTTAGTCAAGAATTTTGTATCCAGCAAAATGAATAAATCCAGTAAAACTAAAACCTTTCATAAACGAAAGAGAAATGAAGTCATTTTCAGAGAAACACATGCTCAGGGAATTTGCTACTACCAAACCAGCACTATAGGAAATGCTAAAAGAAGTTCTAAATCCTGAAACAAAAGTTCAACATGCACTAAAATAGAACTTCTTAAAAGCAAAAAATAAAAAATAAAAAACTCACAGAGCCTGTAAAACTAACACAACAACAACAGTTTATCTAGGTAACAACTAATATTGATGAATAGAACATTACCCCATATCTCTATTAACATTGAATGTAAATGGCCTAAATGCTCCAATTAAAAGATATAGAATGGCAGAATGAATTTAAAAATCACAATCCAAATATCTGCTTTCTTCAGGAGACTTAACTAACATATAAGAATTCACATAAATTCAAGGTAAAGGGATGGAAAAGATAAGCTACACAAATGAAAACCAAAGCAAGCAGGCGTAGCTATTCTTATATCAGACAAAACAGACTTTAAGGCATCAGCAGTGAAAAAAGACAAGGTCATTATATAATGATAAAAGGATCAATCCAACAAGAAGATACTATAATACTAAATTTATATGCACCTAACACTGGAGCTCTCATATTTATAAAACAGTTACTACTAGACCCAACAAATAAAATAGCAACACAATAATAGTGGTGGACTTAAGTACTCCACTGACAGCACTAAATAGATTGAGACAGAAAGCCAACAAACAGTGGACTTAAGCTATACCCTAAAACAAATGGACTTAGCAGAAGTTTACAGAACATTCTGCCCAACAACTGCAGAATATACATTCTTCTTAGCACATGGAACATTCTCCAACATAGGCCACAAAACAAGTCTCAATAAATTTAAGAAAGTCGAGATCATATCAAGTATCTTCTCAGACAACAGTGGAATAAAATTAGAAATCAGCTCCCAAAGGAACTGTAAACACTATACAAATACATGGAAATTAAATAATCTGCTCCTGAATGATTTGGGGATTAATAATGAAATCAAGATGGAAATTCAAAGATTCTTTGAAATGAATGGTAATAGTGACACAAGTTATCAAAACCTCTGGAATACAACAAAAGCAGTGCTAAGAGGAAAAGTCATAGCATCAAATGCCTACATCAGAAAGTCTGAAAGAGCACAAATAGACAACCTCAAGGAACTAGAGAAACAGGAACAAACTAAACCCAAAGCCATTGAAAGAAAAGAAATCACAAAGATCAGAGCAGAACTAAATGAAATTGAAACAAACAAAAAAGAACAATGAAACAAGAAGCTGGTTCTTTGAAAAGATAAACAAAATTGATAGATCATTAGTGAGACTAACCAAAAAGAGAGAAAATCCAAATAAGCTCAATTCGAAATGAAACCGGAGACATCACAAACAATACTGCAGAAATACAAAAGATCATTCGAGACCACTATGAACACCTTTACATGTACGAACTATTAGCATAGTACTGGAAGTCCTAGCCAGAGCAATTAGGCAAGCAAAAGAAATAAAGGACATAACAAAGTGGAAAAGAGGAAGTCAAACTAGTGCTGTTCACCAGTGATATGACCATCTACCTAGAAAACCCTAAAGACTTATCCAAAAAAATCCTAGTTCTGATAAACTAATTCAATAAAGTCTCAGGCTACAAAGTCACTGCACACAAATCAGTAGCACTGCTATACACGAAGGATGACCAAGCTAAGACACAAATCAAGAAGTCAATCCCTTTTATAACAGCTGCAAAGAAAAGAAAATACCTGGGCATATACCTAACCAAGGAGGTAAAAGATCCCTACAAGGAAAACTGCTGAAAGAAATCATCATAGATGACACAAATGAAAACACATGCTGTGGAAATAATCAATATTGTGAAAATGACCATACTGCCCAATGCAACCTACAGATTCAATGCAATTCCCATCCAAATACCCTATCATTTTTCACAGAACTAGGAAAAACAATCCTAAAATTCATATGGAACCAAAAAAAGAGCCTGAATAGCTAAAGCAATCCTAAACAAAAAGAACAAATCTGGAAGCATCACATCACTAGATTTCAAATTCTACTACAAGGCTATAGTTAGCAAAACAGTGTGATGCTTGTATAAAAATAGGCATGTAGACCAATGGAACAGCAGGGAGAACACAGAAATGAAGCCAAATACTTACAGCCAACTGTTGTTTGACAAAGCATTAAAAAACATAAACTGGGGAAAGGTCACCCTATTCAATAAATGATGCTGGGAAAACTTGCAAGCCACATATAGAAGAATGAAACCACATCCCCATTTCTCACCTTATACAAAAATTAACTCAAGATGGCTCAAAGACTTAAATCTGTAACCATAAACATTTTAGACAATAACACTGGAAAAACTCTTCTGGACATTGGCGTAGGCAAAGAATTCATGACCAAGACTCCAAAAGCAAATGGAACAAAAATAAGTAAATGGGACCTAATTAAAAAGCTTCTGCATGGCAAAAGAAATAATCATCAGACTAAACCTACAACCCACAGAATGGGAGAAAATATTTGTGAACTATGCATCTAACAAAGGACTAGTATCCAGAATCTACAAAAAACTCAAATTAGCAAGAAAAAAATAATCCCATCAAACGTGGGCAAAGGACATGAATAGAAATTTGTCAAAAGAAGACGCACAAATGGCCAACAAACATGAAAAAATGCCCAACATTACTATTCAGCAGGGAAATACAAGTTAAAACCACAATGAGATACCACCTTACTCCTGCAAGAATGGCCATGAAGAAAAAGTCAGAAATGAGTAGATGTTGGCATGGATGTGGTGAAAAGGGAACACTTTTACCCTACTGTTGGGACTGTATATTAGTGCAGCCTCTATGGAAAACAGTATGGAGACTCTTTAAAGAACTAAAAGTAGATCTACCATTCAATACAGAAATCCCGCTGCTAGGTATCTCCCCACCGGAAAAGAAGTTATTGTATGAGAAAGACACATGCACACACGTTTGTAGCAGCACATTTCACAATTGCAAAGAACCAACTTAAATGCCTTAACCAATGAGTAGATAAAGAAAACATGGTATATATATCCCCTGGACTAAAAGGAATGAAAATACTAGTAAGGAACAAAATAATGTATTTTATAGCAACTGGGTGGCCATTATTCTAAGTGAAGTAATTCCGGAATGGAAAGTCAAATACCGTATGTTCTCATTTATAAGTGAGAGCTAAACTGTGAGGACACAAAGATGTACAGTGATATAATGGACTTTGGGGACTTGAGGCAGAAGGAGGGAAAAGGGAGTGAGGGATAAAAGACTGCATATTAGATACAATGTACACTACTCAGGTGACGGGTACACTAAAATCTGAGAATTCACCGCTATGGAATTCATCCAAGTAACCGAAAACCACTTGCACCCCAAAAGCTATTGAAATAAAAATTTTAAAAAAGAATAAACTTCACTTGGTCATGACCTATTATTCTTATATGTGCTGGTAGTCTTGTCTCTAATGTCTAAATATTTTTGCCTCAATATTCATAGATGAAAACTGTAGAGCTCTTTTGTGCAATTTTTTCAGGTTTTAATATTTATTTTTCTATTGTTACCAAAGTTACCACCACTTCATAAAAAGAATTAGGAGCTTTGTATTCCTTTTTTGTGCTCTGGAACAGTTTACATAGCAGTGGGACATGGGGCTTTTTAGGGGAGTAGACTGCTTTGTCTGCTTCTTCTGTGGAAATTAATCTGTTCAGGCTTTATATAGCTTCTGGAGTCAGTTTTGGCAAATTATGTTTTCCAAGAAAAAGATTTATATTGGATATATTCTATAGTGTCATAAAAAGTATCCCCTTTAAAAAAAAGTCTTTGTTTCTTGTTTATTTTATTTATTTATTTTTTGAGACAGTTTCACTCTGTCACACAGGCTGGAATACAGTGGTGCAGTCTCAGCTCAAACTCTGCCTCCGAGGTTCAAGTGATTCTTGTGCCTCAGCCTTCCGACTAGGTGAGATTATAAGTGTGTGCCACCATGCCTGGCTAATTTTTGTATTTTTAGTAGAGATGAGGTTTTGCCATGTAGGTCAAGCTGGTCTTAAACTCCTGGCCTCAAGTGATCTGCCCACCTTGGCCTCCCAAAGTGCTGGGATTACAGGCATGGGCCACCACATCCGGCCTATTTCGTTCCTTATTTTGTACATTCATGCTTTCTCTTATTTTTCTCCTGTTTTTCTACATTGTGTTAGCTCAGTTTTAGTTGATTCTACCCCTTTGACCTAAGAGTTGTATAATGAAGACTGATGTTTTCCTATGTGAAAGAGCCTTTATGTTTTCTGATTTTGTTATTTCTATTGTTATTGTATTGAGATCAAATAATATTGTCTGTATTATTTCTTCCTTTTACAATCTATTGTTGTTTTCTTTGTGGCCTAATACCAGTTTTTATGAATGTTTCATGAGTTCTTAAAGAGAAGATGCATTCTCTTTACCGAAGTATAGATACATACATACATATATACATATATACTATTACATACATACATATGTATACATGTATATGTGTGTGTGTGTATATATAAGGTCTATTTTATTCATTATGCTTTTAGGGCTTCCATAAGCTTATTTATTTTGGTGGTGAGCAGTGACTAAATCAAAGATAGATGTAAGGATAACAATGGTATATAAATAAATGTTAGACAGTCTAATAAGGCAGGAATAATACAACAACAAAAAATAGAAAGGGAGAAAAAGTAGAAGAATAAACTTGCTTACTACTCTATTTGTAATAACTGGCAGTCAAGTGATGTTGAAAGTTGACAAATGTAATAGAAGCTTAAACATATTCAAGAGTATAATAAAGGGAAACACCAAGAAAGGTAATATATTATCAATATTTAAAAACTTTTTAGCTCATCTTGGAATCTTAAGTTATAATTGTCATCTACTTTGTGTGATTTTGGGGTAAGTTTTCATTAACTGTATGAATGTTAGCCTATTTTTTATTTCTCATAGTATTTTGAATGAATTTTTGAATGAAAGAGTTTCCTAGACTTGGAGCACAGGAGGATCCTAGGGAAGGTAATATATAATGGGTCATGGTTGTTTCAGCTTTGTAGTTTAGTGTTTTCTCTACTGCTGCTGTGGGAAAGGCCTAGAGGTAACTCTTCCATGTGTCCGCAGCTCTGGCTCTCAAGTCCTAGCCTGGTTGAGAAAGGCTTCTTCCTGCAGGTCTCTGTTTCATAAATCCCTCCTCTTGCCATCCCAGGTGACGCCACTATAGCTGGTATTTTGTGAGATCTTCCCCCTCTGTACCCACAGCCTGAGCCTTGATTAGCTTTCTCTCTCTGCCTCCCCAGTAATCAGTCCTGCCCTGTTCAAGCTACATCACACTCACAGGCACTTCCTCTCAGTAACAGGCTCTTGCTCTTCTGGAAGATGCTAGAGACTTCTCAGCACCTGTCAGACCACCTTTCCCTTAACATGTTTCTCTTCCATAGTACCTTTGCAACTTCCCATCCAGTTCTGCTGTACAACTCTGTTTTCAGCAGTACTTAACCACAATTTTGAGTTTGCAGGTTTTCTGTTTCTTAGTTTTGCTGAAATGTTGTTTGTGGATTTTGTTTTGTTTTCTTCTTGTTGTTATATATTATTAACAACAAGAAAGAGGGACAATTCACAAATAAGCTGCCGCCATGTTGTTCTGGAAACAGATGTCAATGCAAAGATTTTCTTTTCTTTTTTGAGAC
Organism: Homo sapiens; assembly: GCF_000001405.40. Taxonomy (NCBI): domain Eukaryota; kingdom Metazoa; phylum Chordata; class Mammalia; order Primates; family Hominidae; genus Homo; species Homo sapiens. The sequence continues at coordinate 95,818,306 of NC_000013.11, read as the reverse complement.
AGGGTCTCACACTGCCTCCCAGGCTTGCATGTAGTGCATAGTCATGGCTCATTGCATCCTCGATCTCCTGGGCTCAAGCAATTTTCCAGCCTCAGCCTCCTGAGTAGCTGGGACTACAGGCGTGCACCATTGCTCCCAGCTAATTTATTATTGTTGTTTTCAGTAGAGACGAGGGCTCACTGCATTGCCCGGGGCTGTTCTGGAACTCCCTGGCTCAAGCCATCCTCCCGCCTTGGCCTCCCAAAACGTTGGGATAATAGGCATGAGTGCCTGGCCAGGGTATTTTTGGTGCTATGCATTTTTCTCCCAGGTTCTGATTCTGATAAATACTAGACTTTTATTATAATTTTTATAATATAGTTTGGATTTAATTTTTTATTTGGTTCAAAGAGAAGTTGTTGTTTTCATTTTAATTTCCTATAGTAGTGGGTTTTCTCCTAATTTTGGTATCAATTTCTAGTTTAATTTCATGATGGGCAATGAATGTCATCTGTAATATTGCTCCCTCTTAGAATTTAAGTTTTTCATCATGGCTTTTTTCTTTAATGAAGCTTCTAATGTTATAATCTTTGCTATTTTTTAGAATTTGCTTTTAGAATTTTTAGAATTTTTTTGAATTTGCTTTTGCATGTCTTCAGCCTTTTATTTTCAACATTCGTAAGTTTTAGGTATATATTTTTTATACTTACATTGTGGTTTTTTTCCTTCCAATGTTTTTGTGTTTTAGAGACAGGCTGCCACTCTGTTGCCCAAGCTGGAATGCAGTGGCAATCATAGCTCACTGCAGCCTCAAACTCCTGGGCTCAAGCAATCCTGCCACTCAGCCTCCCAAGTATCTGGGACCACAGGCATGTGCCACCATGCCCAGCTAATTTTGTTTCTCCTGTAGGGACAGGGTCTTGCTATGTTGTCCAGGCTGGTCTCCAACTCCTGGCCTGAAGCAATCTGCCTACCTTAGCCCCGCAAAGTGCTGGGATTACAGGCCTGAGGCACTGCACGTGATCTTTCCTTTTAATCTGAGTATAAATTTTTCTAACTTTTGAGTTGTTACCCTTATACTTACTGATTATACCAGAATGTTTATGATCTTATGTTACACTTTGATTTTTTGTTTTTATTAATCTTTACTGAGGTATAAGATTCACCAATTTTAAGCTTACAGTTTAGTGACTTTTTTTTGAGACAAAGTCTTGCTTTGCTATCCAGGCTGGAATGCAATGGTGTGATCTCAGCTCACTGCAACCTCCACCTCCCGGGTTCAAGCGATTCTTGTGTCTCAGCTTCTCAAAGTAGCTAGGATTACAAGCATGTGCCAACATGCCTGGATAATTTTTGTATTTTTAGTAGAGAGGGGGTTTCGCCATGTTGGCCAGGCTGGTCTTGAACTCCTGACCTCAAGTGATCCACCTGCCTCGGCCTCCCAAAGTGCTGGGATTACAGGCATGAGCCACTGTGCCCAGCCCAGTTTAGTGACTTTTTACTAATATATACAGTCATGTAACCACCATCACAATCAAGATGTAGAACATTTTCCTTACCTCATGCAGCTCTGCAATTCACCTTTGTGGCAGAACCTTCCTTTCCACACCCAACTCTTACAATCACTAAGCTGCTTTCTGTTGTAACAGTTGTGCCTTTCCTCCAGTGCCATACATTGAATAAGTATATATTCTTTTGTTTGAATTCACAAAATTGAAACCAAAGACTTATCATGTTGTTGAATATATCAGTAGATTATTCCTTTTTATTCTTGAATGCTATTCCATTGTATAGATATACTATTCTATGCTTATCCTTTCTATTTGATGAACCTTTGGGTTATTTCCAGTTTGGGGCTATTATTAGTCTTAGTCTGGACCATATGTTTTCATTTCTCTTCTGTAAATACCTAGTAGTATGGGGGTGTTGGGTCATATGGAAAGCTTGTATTTAACCTAAGAGGCTGAGAAGCTGTTTTCCAAAGTGGTTGTAACATTCTAACTAACAACATATGAGAGTTCCAATTGCTGTACTTCCTCACTAACATTTGATATCACTCTCTTAATTTAATGGATGCATAGTGATATATTGTTGTAGTTTCAGTTTACATTTCCCTACAGACTAATTATAATATTAGTTCGTTCTTACACTGCCATTAAGAAATACCTGAGACTGGGTAATTTATAAAGAAAAGAGGTTTAATTGGCTCATGTGGTTCCACAGGCTCTACAAGAAGCATGGCAGCATCTGCTTCTGGGGAAGCCTCAAGGAGCTTTTATTCATGGTGGAAGGCAAAGCAGGAGCAGGTGTCTTACATTGGAGGAACAGGACCACGAGAGAGAAGGGGAAGGTGCCACACACTTTTAAACAACCAGATCTCACACTAACTCACTCACTATCACAAGAAGAGCACCGAGGGAATGCTGCTAACCCATTCATGAGGACTCTGCCCCCGTGGTCCAGTTACCTCCTACCAGGGAATTATACCCTCCCACCTCCAACACTGGGGATGAGATTTGGTGAGGACACAGATCCAAACCATATCGTTGTGCTTATTGGCCATCTGTATATTATAAGTTTTTTTGCAAAGTGCCTATTCAAGATTTTTGCTCTTTTTTAAGTTTTGGATTTTGAATTTCTTTGGAAAACAAAAAAGCCCACTGAGATTTTGATTGCAACTCTTGTTTTAAATCAGTTTGGTGAAGATTAATGTGTTGATTATGTTGAGCTTCCAATTCATAAATACGATATGTTTCTTGATTTATTTTGGTCTTTAATTACTCCTAGCAGAGTTTTAGTTTGCAGTGTACATATTTTACTAAGAATTTTATAACTGAATGCTAATATAAATGGTATTTTTAAATTTCTTGTTGGTTGCTAATACATAGAAATACAATTAATTTTTGTATATTGGACTTATGTCCTGTGGCTTTGCTATACTCACTTATTAGTTCTAGTAGAGTTCTTAGGAATTTTTTCATAATGGGTCCTGTTATAGTTGTAGAGTTCACAGGATTGTCTTCACAGTGGATCATATCTTCAGCAAATAAAAATAGTTTTACTTTTTCCTTTCCAGTCTTCATAGTAATGTGTTTTATTTATTTTTCTTGTTGTGCTGGACTGGCAAGGGCCTCTGGGTTGAGAACAGATACCCTTCCATGCCTGTTTTTCATCTTAGTGAGAAGGCATTTAGTTTTAGACCATTATGGATGATGTTAGCTTTGGGTCTTCATAGATGTCCTTTATCAGGCTGTAAAAGTTTCCTTTTATTCCTAGTTTACTGGGAGTTTTAATCATAAATTGATACTTGAGTATGTCAAATGCTTTTTCAATATCTGTTGAGATGATCATATGGCTTTTCTCTTGTAGTTAATATATAAATTATACTGATTGACATTACAGTGTTTAATCAACCTTGTATTTCTGAGATAAAGTCTACTTGGCTATGATGGAGGATCCTTTTTATATATTGCTGGTTTTAATTTCCTGAAATTTTCTTAAAGATTTTTGCATCTGTGTTCATGGAGAATATTGTTCTATAATTTTCTTAATGCCTTTATCTGGTGTTAATGTCAAAGTAATGCTTGTCTAATAGAATGAGTTGAAGTCAAAGGAGATTGCCTCAGATGAGACTTTGGACTTTGGAGTTTTGAGTTAATGCTGGAATGAGTTAAGACTTTAGGAGACTATTGGGAAGGCATGATTGTATTTTATAATGTGAGAAGGACATGAGATCTGAGGCAAATCCCTTCGCCTATGAGCCTGTAAAATAAAAAACAAGTTAGTTATTTCCAAGATACAAAGGAGATGTAAGCATTGGATAAACATTCCTCTTCCAAAAGGAAAAAATTGGCCAAAAGAAAGGGGCTACAGGCCCACACAGGTCCAAAACCCAGCAGGGCAGTCATTAAATCATAAAGCTCCGAAATAATCTCCTTTGACTCCATGTCCCACATCCAAGTACACTGATATGAAGGGTGGGCTCCCAAAGCCTTGAGCAGTTCCACCCCTGTGGCCTTGCCGTGTTCAACCCCCGAGGCTACTCTCACAGGCTAGAGTTGAGTGCCTACAGCTTTTCCACACTGAAGGTGCAAGCTGCCAGTGGATCTACTGTTTTGGGCTCTGGAGGACAGTGGCCCTCTTCTCATAGCTCTGCTAGGCAGTACCCCAGTGGGGACTCTCTGTGGGGGGTACAATCCCACTTTTTCACTCCATACTTCCCTAGTAGAGGTTCTCTCTAAGACTCTACCCTTGCAGCAGGCTTCTGCCTAGATACCCAGACTTTTTTTAATACATTCTCTGAAATCTAGACGATGGCTGCCAAGCCTCATTCACTCTTGCACTCTGCATGCCTACAGGCTTAACACCACATGCCAGCCACTGAGGCTAATGGCTTGCACCCTCTGAAGTAGCAGTCTGAGCTATATCTGGGGCTCCTTTAGCCGATGCTGGAGCCAGAGTGGTCAGAATGAGGAAAACAGTGTCTTGAGGCTGTGCAGGGCAGCAGGACCCTGGGCCTGGACCATGAAACCATTCTTCCCTTCTAGGTCTCTGGGCCTGTAATGGGAAGGGCTGCTGCAAAGGTCTCTGAAATGCTTTTGAGGACTTTTTCTCATTGTCTTGGATGTTAGCTCTTGGCTCACTTTTGGTTATGCGAATATCTCTAGCAAGTGGTTGCTCCACAGCTTGCTTGGATTCTTCCTTTGAAAACAAGCTTTTATTTTCTACATGGCCAGGCTGCAAATTTTCCACTTTTACACCCTGCTTCCCTTTTAAAAGTTCCAACTTTAAATCATTTCTTTACTCCCACATCTGAGCATAGCTTGCTAGAAACAGCCAGGACACATATTAAATACTTTACTGCTTAGAAATTTCTTCTACCAGATACCCTAAATCATCGCTTTGAAGTCAAACTTCCACAGATCCCTAGGGCACAAACAGAATGCAGCCAAGTTCTTTGTTAAAGCATAACATGTATGACTTTGCTCCAGTTCCCAGCCAGTTCCTCATTTCCATCTGAGAGCTCACTTCACTGTCCATATCACTATCAGCATTTTGGTCACGACCATTAACCAATCTCTGAGATGTTCCAAACTTTCCTTTATCTTCCTGTTTTCTTTTGAGCCCTCCAAACTCTTCCAGCCTCTGCTATTACCCAATTCCAAAGTTGTGTCCACGTTTTCAGGTATCTTTATAGCAGTGTCCCACTCCTTGGTACCAATTTTCTGTATTAGGCCATTCTTGCACTGCCATAAAAAAATACCTGAGACTGGGTGATTTATAAAGAGATTTATGGTTCATGGTTCTCAGGCTGTACAAGCATGGTGCCAACATCACTTGGGTTCTGGGGAGATATAATTCACATACTATACAATTCACCGATCAAAATGTATAGTTCAATCACTTTTAGGGTATTCACGGAGTTGTGCATCCATCACGGCAATCAGCTTTAGAACATTTTCACTACCTCATAAATGGGGGAGGCCTCAGGGAGCTTTTACTGGTAGCGAAGGTGAAGTGGGAGCAGGCATATCACATGGTGAAAGCAGGAGCAAGATGAGAGAGAGTAAGGTGGGTACAGTATACCACACACTTTTAAACAACCAGATCTTATGAGAACTCACTATCACAAAGACAGCACCAAGCCATGAAGGACTGCCACCAAGAGCCAAACCACCTCCCACCAAGCCCCCACCTCCAGCATTGGGAACTACAACTCAATTCAATATGAGATATAGATGGGGACAAAAATTCAAACTATACATTTAGCCTGTAATCTCTCATTCTGGAGACTGCATTATCTGATGTTTATATAGACCCTCAAGCTTTTGTGTTTTTAATGTTTGCATAGTGTATTTTTTATCCTTTTACTTAAAATCTGTTAGTATATAAGGGTGGGTTTCTTGCAGAGAGCATATAGTTGGGTCTTTTTATCCAATCTTAAAGACTGCTTGTCACTGTAGTATTTATACAAGGGTGGGCCAATTTATACAAGGGTGTTCTGTGGGTAAATCTGCTTTTATACAGCTCCTAAGAATTGTTTTTACATTTTTAAATGGTTGGAAAAAATCAAAAGAGTAATAACTTGTGGTACATGAAAATTATATCCAAATTTCTAGTTTTTCTAAAATTTCATTGGAACATAGATTTGCTCATTCATTCATGTATTATCTGTGGCTATTTTGTGCTTGCAGTGGCAGTTGCATAGTTTTGGTGGAGATTACACAGTCCACAACTAAAAATATTTATTATCTGTCTTTTTACAGTAAAAGTTTGCTAACCTTTCATTTAAAGCATTACATTTATTGTAATTATGGATATGATTGGATTTAAAGAAGCCATTTCCTATTTTTCTGTTTGATTTGTGCTCCCTATGCCTTTTTTCCTTCTTTTTCTGCCTTGTTTTGGGTTTTTTTCTTCAAATTCCGTTTTATCTCCAGTATTATTTTATTAGCCATACTCCCTTTATTTTTTAATGAAGTTTCTCTACAGTTTAGAATATATGTCTCTAACACACTATAGTCAGCCTTAAATTATATTACTTTGTTTCATATATAGTGTAGGAACCTTGCAACCTTATACTTCTGTTTTTTCCTCTTTTCTCTTATGCTATTGTTATAATGCATTTTACTATTATATATTATTAATCCCATATTACATTGTTTCTATTTGCATTTTAAACAATTATCTACCGCTTTGTTATATAATTCACATACTTTACAATTCACTAATTCAAAGTGTATAGTTCAATGGCTTTTAGTATATTCATAGAGTTGTGCATCCATCACAGCAATCAAAATTAGAACATATTCACTACCTCATAAAGAAATCCTGTCCTCTTTAGCTCACGCCCTAATTTCCCTATCTCCCTGACCCTGAACAACTGATCTATAAAGTACTACGAATCTACTTCTGTCTCCACAGATTTGCCTAGAGATTTCACATGGATAGGATTGTCCAGTGTCATAATTAGTAACTGGCTTATTTCACTTAGCATTATGCTGTTAAAATATATTCCTATGAATATTTATATACAGGTTTTAAGTGGATATTATGTTTTCATTTTCCTTGGGTTTATACTTAGTGAAATCACTGGGTCATATGGTAACTCTATGTTTAACCACTTGAGGAACTGTCAGACTGTTTTCCAAAACCACTGGCTGTATTTTACATTTCCACCAGAGGTATATGAGGATTCTAATCTCCCTACATCCTTGTCAATACTTATTATGTCTTTTTGATTAAAAATATCATAGTGGCTGAGAAGTAGTATCTCACTGTGGTTTTGATTTGCATTTCCCTGATGGCAAATGATGTTCACCATCTTATTGTGTGCTTATTGGCAGTCTGTATATCTTTTTTAGAGAAATATCTATTGAGATCCTTTGCCCATTTTTGAATTGTGTTTTCTTTTTGTTGTGTATTTGTAAGAGTTCTTTGTATATTTTACATACAAGTACCTTACCAGGTGTAATTTATAAAATTTTTTCCCATCTTTGGTTGTCTTTTCATTTTCTTGATGATGTCCTCTGTGGTACAAATGTTTATATTTTTGATACTCAGGTTTTTTTGTCTTTCCTTGCTTGTGTTTTTGGTACTATAGCTAAGAAACTACATTTGACCCTTTAACAACACAGGTTTGAACCGCACAGGTCCACCTATCTGTAGATTTTTTTCAACAAACATATTGGAAAAATTTTTGGATATTTGCAACAATTTGAAAAAACTTGCAGAAGAACCATGTAGCCTAGAAATATTGAAAAGACTAAAAAGCTAGGTATGTCATGAATGCATAAAACATATGTAGATACTAGTGTGTTTTATTATTTACTGTATAAAATATCCACAAGTCTATTATTAAAAGTTAAAATTGATAAATGTATGCACACAAACACAGACCATACATGGCATCATAGGCAGTTGAGAAATATAAACAAACATAAAATTAACTGTAGTATATACTATGCTACTGTAATAATATCGTAGCCACCTCCTGTTGCTGTTGGAGTGAGCTCAAGTGGTGTATCTGCTTAAAACACTAATCATCTCCACATGAGCAGTTCATACCGTGTTTAGTGCAATACCATAAAACTTGAATAATACCATGGGACCCAAATGAAGTCATGGATTATCACTGGTGATGCCGGAAGTGCTCCCAAGAAGCAGAGAAGAAAGCCATGATATTACAAAAAAAAGTCGAATTGCTTGATATGTACAACAGATTGAGGTCGTCACATGTGGTTATCCATTTCAAGATAAATGTATCCAGCGTAAGGACCATTGAAAAAAGAAATGAAAATTTTGTGAAGTTGTCACTGCAGCTGTGTCAGCAGCACCAAAACTTTATAATTCTTGCAAAATACCTATTTATCTCATATTAAAAATGCAGCTTTTATGTGGGTGCAGGATTACTATAAGAAAGGCTTACCTGTAGACTAATATAATTCAAGAAAAAGAAAAGTCATTATGTGACAACTTAAAGCAAAAGTAAGGTGCAGGATCTAAAACTGGAGAATTTAATGCCAGCAAAGGATGGTTTGATAATTTTAGAATGAGGTTTGGTTTTTAAAAGTCAAGATAATAGGAGAAGCAGCTCCTGCCAACCAAGAGGCAGCAGCCAGGCAGCCCAGCTTTGCTAAGGGTCTCTCTCAGTGTGCTGAGGCTGCGGAAAGGCTGCAGCCTGCAGGCACTTGGCACACACCCTCCCTGCTGCTAGGATGCCAAGAGGAAGGTCAGCTCCACCGAAGGGACAGCGAAGGAGTAGCTCATGAGAGGAGATCTGCACACTTGTCAGCTAAACCTGCCCCTGCGAAAGTGGAAACTAAGCCAGAAAAGGCAGCAGAAAAGGGTAAATCTCCAGACAGAACGTGCAAACAAAAGGGAAAGGAGGAGCAAAGGGAAAATGGGCTGAAGTGGCTAATCAAGAAAGTAAAGAAGATTTGCCTGCAGAAAATGGAGAAACAAAAACCGTGGAGAGTTCAGCCTCCAATGAAGCTAGAGAGAAAGAAGCCAAGTCTGATTAATATCCTATACCATGTCTTATCAGTGGTTCCTGTCTCCCTTCTTGTACAATTCAGAGGAATATTTTTATCAACTATTTTGTAAATGCAAGTTTTTTAGTAGCTCTAGAAACATTTTGAAGAAGGAAGGAATCCCACCTCATCCCATTTTTTAAGTGTAAATGCTTTTTTTAAAAAGAGCTAAATCATTCACCAGTTTATTTTTGGGTACAACCAGAAAATAGTGTGAGATATTGAATTATAGGAGGCTTTGACTATCTTAGGTGTCAGGTTAACATTCCATAGATGGGGGGTTAGTTTTTATATCCTATAATACAAAGCATACTAAACAGCAATATGGAGTCACGGTCCTGTACTGAATGTCTTAAACATCTTAAATTACTTCTGTTCCCTTGTTGTTTTTTAGTAGAATTGTTTCCTAAAGAAAACCACTCCATATTCGTGGATTTCCCTGTCTGAATTGTGTGCACTCTGTAACATATTTAGTTGTGATAGTCCTGTTTTCCAATAACTTTGTGAATGTGCTGTGAATGAAAATTTGAGTATGTAGTGTACATGCTATTCAGTTATGAATTGGTAGGACGTATTTAACAGCTTATCAACATGTGAAGATATTGGTACGTGATAGCCTCTTAAGGAAATTTTGCCTCCGGATATTAAGCTGGAAAGTCACTAGAGTAACTTCACAAAGAATTTGCAATACATGGCTTTTTAGATTTTTGGTACATATGTGAAGAATTGTGTACAAATTGAAATGTCTGTGTGCTGATCCTCGACCCAACCAATAAAATCTCAATTATGAAAGAAAAAAAAAAGAAAATCACTGAGGAGAAAGGATTATTTGCCTCAACAGGTTTTTAATGAAGATGAAATTTCCCTGTTTGTAGAAAAAAAAATGCCACAAAGGACATTTATTTGTAAGGAAGAGAAATGAAAACCAGGATTTGCAGGAAGAGATAGGCTATCTCTATTATTTTATACAAATGCAGTTGGTCTTAAGATCAGTAATATTCTTATCTATAAAGCTGCTAACCCCCAAGCCTTGAAGATAAAGATAAATACCAGCTGCCAGTCTTTTGGTTGTACAACAGAATGTCTGGGCAACAAGAACCCTTTCTCTGCATTGGTTCCATCAATGCTTTTGTCCCTGAGATCAGGAAGTATGTTGCCTGTAAGGGACTGCCTTTTAAAGTTCTTTTGATATTGGGCAATGCTCTCTGGCCACCCAGAACTCCATGAGTTCAACACTGGAGGTGTCTATCGGCCCCCAAACTCAACATCTGTAATTCAGCCTCTAGATCAGGGTGTCATAAGGACCTTTAAGCCTTGTTACACAAAGTACTCTTTGGAAAAGATTGTCAGTGCCGTGGAAGAGAACCCTGATAGAACATGAAAGTCTGGAAGGATGATAATATTGAAAATACCATCATTGTTATAGAAAAAGCCATGAAAGTTATCAAGCCCCAAGCAATACATTCCTGCTGGAGAAAACTGCCCAGATGTTGTGCATGACTTCACAGGATTTACGACAAAGCTAACCAAGGAAATCATGAAAGAGATTGTGAATACGGCAAAAAAAAAAAAAAAAAAAGGTGAGGGCTGAGGGTTTCAAGATACGGATTTCTAGAAGAAATTAAAGAGCTAGAAGACACCACACCAGAAGAATTAACAGAAGATGACTTGATGGAGATGAGTGCTTCTGAACCAGTGCCAGACAATGAGGAAGAAGACATAGAAGCAGTGCCGGAAAACAAATTGACATTAGACAATTGGCAGAAGAGTTCCAATTATTAAAGACTGCTTTTGCTTTTTATGACATGGATCCCTCTATGATATGGAGACTGAAACTAAAGCAAACAGCAGAAGAAGGATTTTAGAGAAATAACAAAAAAATTAGACAGAAATTACAAGGTATTTCTGTGAAGTTACACTGAGTGTGCCTGCCTCTGCTGCCTCCCCTTCTACCTCCTCCACCTCTTCCACTTCTGCCACCTGAGACAGCAAGACCAAACTAACAACTCCTCTTCCTTAGCCTACGGAATGTGAAGACAATGAGGATGAAGACCTTTCTGATGACCCACTTGCACTTAATGAATAGTAAGGTATATTTTCTCTTATGATTTTCTTAACATTTTCTCTAGCTTCCTTTATTGTAAGAATACAGTATATAATACATATACAAAATATATTAACTGTTTATGTTATCTCTAAGGCTTCCAGTCAACAGTAGGCTATTAGTAAAGTTTTTAAAGAGTCAAAAGTTATATGTGGATTTTCAACTGTGCAGGGGTTTAGTGTCCCTAACCCCCATGTTATTCAGGGGTCAACTGTATTGCCCAATCCAATTCACAAAGATTTCCATGTATGTTTTCTTCTAAGAGCGCTATAGTTTTAGGTCTTATACTTAGATTTTTAAATCTATCTTTAATTTTTAAATATGATATGAAGTAGGAGTCCAACTTCATTCTTTGGCATATGGCTATCTAGTTGTCCCAGAACAATTTGTTAGAGAGACTGTCATTTCCCCATTGAATGGTCTGAACACCCTTGTCAGAATCATTTGATCATATATGCAAGGATTTATTTCTGGGCTCTCTATTCCTTTAGTCTATATGTCTCTTCTTATTCCAGTACCATACTGTTTTAATTACTGTAGCTTTGTAGTAAGTTTTGAAATCAGTGAGTCCAATTTTTTTTCTTTTTAAAATTGTTTTGGCTATTAAGGTCCCTCAAGATTTCATATGAATTTTAGGTTTTTCTGTTTCTGCAAAAAGTGTCATTGGGGTTTTGATAGGGATTGCATCAGATATGTAGATCACTTTGAGTAGTACTGCCGTCTGATGTTCTTTCTTCCTGACAACAAATATGTAATGTTTTTCTAACACCAATTCTCCAATTCACTGGACACCAACTGGATCTCCAGTAATTCATTTCAACTCTGACATTAACTCCTGGAGTTAACCTTCAGACCCCACAGATTAAGGGCCCAGCCTGCAGGACTGCCCCACTTCAGATATCAACCATAAATCTGATGCCCAGGCTACCCATATTCCTGCCTGACCAGCTACATACAGCTCCCTAAGCTACAAAGTTGGGTTGCTGAATTGACATCTTTTTTCTTTTTTGATGTTAGTGTTTACAGCTATAAGTTTCCCTGATCACTTTTTTTTATTGCATCCCATAAATTTGTCTGCTTGTGTGTTTAATGACTCCTGTCTTTGTTTAGCCTTGGACTTTTTTTTTTTCCACTGTGTGTTTTTTTTTTTTTTTTAATAATCTCTTTCCCCCTTATCTCTGTTCTCTCTGTCCAAGATTCTAACTAGTTGGATTTTTATACCTCTTGGTTCAATCCTATACCATTTTTATGTATTTTTTCATTGTGGTTAAAAAAATCACGTAACAAGATTTACTGTTTTAACCATTTTTAAGTTCAGTAATGTTAAGTATATTCACATTGTTTTGAAATAGAACTCCAGAACTTTTTCATGTTGCAAATCTGAAACTCTATACTCATTAACAGTTCCCCTTCCCCCTCTCTCCCTGCCCCTGGCAAACATCATTCTACTCTGTGAATTTGACTACTCTAGATACTTTATATAAGTGGGATAATATAGTATTTATTTTTTTGTGACTGGCTGATTTCACTCAGCATAATATTGTCAAGATTTATTCATGTTGTAACATGTGACAGAATTTCCTTCCCTTTTAAAAGACTGGATAAAATCCCATTGTATATATATATTGCCACATTTTGTTTACCCATTCATCCATCGATGGACATTTGGTTTGCTTTCACCTTTTGGCTACTGTGAGTAATGCAGCTATGGACATGTGTGTGTATATCTCTTTGAGACCCCGCTTTCCATTATTTTGGATATGTATGTCCAGAAATAGGATTGCCAAATCATATGAATATTTAAGGAACCTCTATTTTTCATAGCAGTTGCATTATTTTACACTCCCATCAACAGTGCAAAAGAGTTCCAGTTTCTCCATATCCTCACCAACACTTCTTATTTTCTGGGTTTTTTTTTTTTATAGCAGTCATACTAATGGGTCTGAGGTAATAATTTCATTGTGGTTTTGTTATGCATTTCTCTAATGATTAGTGATATTGAGCATATTTTCTTATGTTTGCTGACTATTTGTATATCATCTTTGAAGAAATGTATATTCAAGTTCTTTGTCCATTTTTTAATCAGGTTATTTGATTTTTTGTTTTTGAGTTGCAGGGTTTCTTTATATATTGTAAATATTAATGGCTTATCAGATACATGATTTGCAGATATTTTCTCTTATTTGCTAGGTTACCTTTCCATTCTGTTGATGGTGTCATTTGATACACAAAGGTTTTTAGGTTTAATATAATCCCATCTATCTATTTTTACTTTTGTTATATTTTTGGTGTCATATGTAAGAAGTCATTGCCATGTCAGTGTCATGAAGATTTTTCCCTATGTGTTCCTCAGGAGTTTTATAATTTCAGGTCTTATATTTAGGTTTTTAATCCATTTTTAGTTAATTTTCATATGTCATGTAAGATAGGAGTTCAGCTTTATTCTTTTGTGTGTAGATATCCAGTTTGCCCAACTCCATTTATGAAAGAGACTGTTATTTTCCCACTGAGTATTCTTGGCATCCTTATCAAAGATGAATTGATCATATACACAAGAGTTTATTTCTGGGCTCTCTATTCCATTGGGCTATTTGTCTTTATGCCGGGACCATACTGTTTTCATTACTGAAGCTTTGTAATATGTTATAAAATCAGGAAATGTGAATCTGCCAACTTCATTCTTTTTCACAATATTTTCGGCATCCCTTGTGATTCTGTATGAATTTCAGAATGAGTTTTCCTGTTTCTATAAAAAGCATCATTGGGGTTTTTATAGGGATTTTGTTGAATCTGAATCTGTAGATTGCTTTGGGTAGTATAGACATCTTAATATTAAATTTCCAGCTCATGAATGTGGAATGTCTTTCCATTTATTTGTGTCTTCTTTCATTTCTCTCAGCAATTTTTTGTTATTTTCAGTATACACATGTATCACCTCCTAGATTAGGTTTATTCCTAATTATTTTGATCCTTTTGATGCTACTGTAAATAGAATTGTCTTCTTAGTCCTATAGATCTTTTGTACTTATATTTTCTCTTGTTTATCTTTTCCTTTCATTTGTGTTCTGAAAAAATTCTTTGACATTATCTTCAATCTTTCTATTCATTTATTTTAGAGGGGTAATCACTTCTTAATTTCTAACAGATCTTTCTTTTCCCTGCTTGCTTCTTTTTAATTTCATTTTGTTCTTGTTTTATGGTTTCGTGGATTTTTTCTAATATCCCCTGAAATACCAGTTAGAACTGTTTTGAATATTGCTTTAGTTCTTTTCAGTTCCTTTTTGTTTAAGCTGTCTTATGTATTCATCTTGGCCCTTTTTTCTTTTGTTACTGGTCTTCCTCAAAAACCTGGAGATCTTTGGCTGTTTGTATATATTTAACAATGAAATGTTAGATTGATCAATATAATAACTGGTGTGGGTTTCCTCTGCCAGGGTTTAAATGTGTTTCTCCGAGAGCCTTCCCCAAATGGGAGGGTTAATTACTAACTAACCCACGGTGTACAACTGGCAGGCTTCCTTCTAGGTGTATGGTCATGGAACAGATCAAAGCCCATCCTGTACACCACCCCAAAAGCCCAAATGAGGGCGCTTTACTCAAGAGCAGACACTCATATAAAAATACCCCTTTTCGGCCGGGCACGGTGAATCACACCTGTAATCCCAGCACTTTGGGAGGCCAAGGCGGGTGGATCACCTGAGGTCGGGAGTTCGAGACCAGCCTGACCAACATGGAGAAACTCCGTCTCTACTAAACATACAAAATTAGCCAGGCGTGGTGGCGCATGCCTGTAATCCCAGCTACTCAGGAGGCTGAGGCAGGAGAATTGCTTGAACCCGGGAGGCGGAGGTTGCGGTGAGCTGAGATCACGCCATTATACTCCAATCTGGGCAACAAGAGTGAAACTTCGTCTCCAAAAAAATAAATAAATAAACCAAAAACCTCTTTCCCCCTCTCTCCCACCCTTTATTTCTCCCTCTTTGTCTCTCTCAAAATTGTTCAATTTTCTTTCAAGAATAGACTTCCACTTTTTATCTTAGAATAGATACCAGGCTATCGGCTGGGCACAGTGGCTTACGCCTGTAATCCCAGCACTTTGGGAGGCCAAGACGGGCGGATCACGAGGTCAGGAGATCGAGACCATCCTGGCTAACACGGTGAAACCCCGTCTCTACTAAAAATACAAAAAAATTAGCCGGGCGTGGTGGCGGGCGCCTGTAGTCCCAGCTACTCGGGAGGCTGAGGCAGGAGAATGGTGTGAACCCAGGAGGCGGAGCTTGCAGTGAGCTGAGATCACACCACTGCACTCCAGCCTGGACGACTGAGTGAGACTCCGTCTCAAAAAACAAACAAACAAACAAACAAACAAACAAACAAAAAAGGATAGCTAATACCAGGCTGTCAGTTTCTCTTTTGGATTCAGAAGAATGAGAGTGGGGTGGGGAGCTGACAGGCACAGATTTTCCACGGACGGCCCTTTACTTGATAGCCTCACTGTGTGACTCACTGTCCACTGGCGTTTGTTATAGCCTCGTCCAGCCTCCTCCATCAGGAAAGCCAACTCATCGTTTCAGCGGTGTATCCTGGGATGAAGTTGTTTCGTGCAGTCTATCCCTGTTTCCCATTTCTTGAAATTCATTGGTAACTTTGCCCCAACAAGTGTCTTGTAACCACTTCCCTCGTTCTCATTATTGTTTTTCCTTTTTATATTTATTATCTTTCCAGTAGAATTTAGTGAAGAAATATAGTCTGCCATCTTGAATTGTGGAACAGCATGCATTTAAATTGTATTTTATTTAATTTCTGCCTGAAAATATTGAGTTCTCAGTGATTTACATCAGTTGGTATGTGACAGCTCAGTGATGCAGAAGAGACCATTTTGTTCTCTGAGAGTCTCATCAGAATTGTGCTTGCATTTATGTAGTACTTATGTCTATGTCAGAGTGCTGTGTCCTCCCATCTTAGATGACGACTATATATTAATATGTCCTCTGCTTTCTGTTGTTCCATTACATTAAGGGTAGAATACTGTATTCACAGTGAATAATCTGTTAGTATTCTTCAAGACCTCTTATCTGCCAGGCAGGATGCTAGATCCTAAAGATAACAAAGATAAGTAAGGTATGTTCCTTGTCCTCATAGACTCATGGGAGCTCACATTCTAGGTGGGTAGAAAGACCAGTAGTTATGAGACAATATAATAGACATCACAGTGTACAAAGAGCTATTCTCGTGTTGCGTAATGAAGCATATAGGTACTGAACTAGCAAATAAAGGATCCTCAGTCAGTACCGGTGCTTCCTCATCATATGTAAGTAATATTTAAGATATTTTTATGTTTAAGATGCCAGAAGCTAAATAAACTTTTCTCCCTTATAGTTTTGACACATGATGAACTCTAGCACTGGTGTATATGAGAAGGAAGGCGAAAGCATGACAGGAAACCTGCCGCCTGCTGGGGAAGTCTGGAGCCCCTGCTGAGACGATTTGGAAGTCTCGTTAAGATCAGTGACATATTCTTTAATTTTAAAAAATTGTAATTATTTAAAACAGTTATTTAATGTATTGAATGAGTTTAAGTTATATAATAAATGACCATTGAGTATTTAAAACCTGATTGTTCCTTTTTCCTGATCACCAGTTAAAGTTTGACATTTTGCCAGATAGCCCAGGTACCGGACTAGCTGGTGTTTATCAAACTATAGCCTTTTGTATCTGGTTTTATGTGCATCCACATTTCCTTATTCACAAAATGCATTTAAAATTACAGAAATGCATTTAGGCTGGGTGCAGTGGCTACACCTGTAATCCCAGCACTTTAGGAGGCCAAGACAGGTGGATCAGCTGAGTTCAGGAGTTTGAGACCACCCTGGCCAACATGGCAGAACCCCGTCTCTACGAAAAATACAAAAAATTAGCTGGGCGTGACGGTGGGCGCCTGTAATCCCAGCTACTTGGGAGCCTGAGGCAGGAGAATTGTTTGAACCCGGGAGGCAGGGGTTTCAGTGAGCCGATATTGCGCCCATTGCACTCAAGCCTGGGCGACAGAGTAAGACTGTCTCAAAAAATAATAACAATAATAATATTACAGAAATGCATTTAAAATTACAGAAACCTATTTTGTATTTTTCCTTCTGAGACAACAATAATTAATAATTAAGCCCATTTATTCCTTAACTATTGTTTTAAAATGGAAGTAATATTGTTGCATAGTAATCATTTATCTTAAACAATGTTTTAATCTTATGCGGTATTTGGATTTTTTAATGTTTCTAATTTTATGTCATAAAAAGCATTTATGGGCATGTGGGATATATGTGTATTCTCTTTTTAAAAGGACTAGGTACTTTTATGGGAACTAAGTTGAGGATGTAACCAGTTTGTTTTTCTGATGTGTATTAATAATAGATGAATAATAGTAAATGTTTAAAAACTATCCAACTATTCTAAAATCATAGGATCATGGGACTGGAAGAGAACTCAGTGCCATTTGGACCTCATCCTGTGGAGAGTCTGATTCATTAGGTCTAAAGTAAGCTTGGTAAATCATGATTGTTTAAAAAGCTCTCCAGATGGTTCTGTAATTAGACAAGTTTGAGAAGCATTTAATAGAATTGGGCCCCAGCCAGTGTGCCGGCCCCTCTTCTAAGGCCCTGCCTGTAAAGCTGAGCCTCAGGCCATCTTGGAAATTCCAGGACAACAGGGAACTCTCCACCTCTAGAGACAGGCTGGTCCATCTTTGGACAGCTCTGTACACACAGTTCCATCATGAGCCGAAGCTCACTCCTGTGAGCTTTTCAGAACAAGGCTAATCCTTCTGTGTTTGACAGAACAGCCCATAGAGTTAAAATACTACTCCTCCCATCAGCTCCATTCATTCCTAATAAGAGAGCGCCTGCCTCTCCCTCTTGCAGTCATCCTCCCTTTGTTACTTGTTCGTGTTTGTCTGTATTAAAATGGAGTGCACCATTTATGGCCTGCTCTGGTGGAACTAGGTTATTCCTGTGAGTTCAGAGTATCCTATAGGGTACACTCAGAGGCTGGAGCAGTAAATGGTCCTGGGGCGGCCAGCGTCATGGTGCTCTCCGGCTCACTCTTGGGAGTCAGCTGAAGCTGGGGATTGGTAAGAGGTGAGACTCTGTAAGGTTCTAGGTCAGGCCAGATGCTCCACCCAGCTACCCAGAGGTCTGCTGCGGTGGCTGGGGCACAAACCTCAACTATAAGATGGTACTTTGTTTTCCTTTGTTACCAGCCTGTCTTCACTTCTGTGAGAATCTTATAGAAAGGATGATCAGCTGGGCAGAGACACCGGATTCCTACTTTTATTACCTACAATGGCCTTCTCCAGTATTCTAGGTCCCATATTTTCATGGAGTATTAAGCTAAAATTACAGAACAATGTAAACACAGTCTTGATGGCCCCCCTCCCTGTTTGCATCTTGTGATCTGAGTGGCCAGTTTACATGTTACATTTCCAGGTGAGTGACACCTTATACCAGAAAATCCAGATTTATAAATAAGGTATTTCTTTACAGTGAGATGTTTTAATTAAATGGCTTGTTTTAAAAATGCTGTTATGTCAAGAGCTCTCATGCATACAAACTGCTGTGCCATACAAAAATGTACCCTCCTCAGGGACACATTACATAACTGAACCATAGGTCTTATTTGCTAACACTTGGAGAGAAAGCCATTCAGTTCCTTGTCCTGGAGATGCTGAACAAATATAGTCCAACGGCTTTCATGGTATATTCAGGATCCTAAATTCTGGTTCTCGGCTGCAGGCCCTATGTCAAGTTTTAACAAAAATCAAATCCTAGAAGTAGTGGAGGTCAGCGGAATGTGGGGGAACTAGTTTCTAACTATGGGAAGTGATAAATGTCTTCTCTTTCTGCCTTCTTAGAAAAAGTGTCAGAACAGTGTATCTAAACTAAGAATGAGAAGCATTTGTGTTTGACCCACAGTGATGTGTGAGCTTTATGTAGAAAGTAGACCCAGAATCTGAGCATTAAGACAATCCAAAGTCAGCATACCACCTCCAACACTTAGGTCCAAAAGATTGTATTTGGGAAATGCCTGTCATTTGGCTCCAGTTACCCTCAAGCTCCTAGAGAACAACATAGCTCCTAGAAGGATAGCATCAAATACTTCTAAAGGCACCTAAAGCCATGTCAGCCTGGGGTTATAAAATCAGGCTTTTAATATTAAACATGTAGTCTGACACAAGTGGGACCTGCCCACAGAACTGCTTGTTGCTGTGTGCCAGGTCCTGACTCCAGCACCTGAAAAGCAACCAGACAACAAATTGCCACTGCCCAGAAGAGGCTCCAGGGACCCAACAGAATACTTTCATGGGCAGGAGGTACGGGACAAGTCAGATGAACACGTGGATCATGTGTCTCAGATCCATAGTTACAGAGATGAAGTAAAAGGTGCTGATGGGCCCATGCTCAAACCAACAAGCAGAAGTTATGACCCAGCCATTGTCTCACTCACTTCTGTTACTTCATAGACTGAAGGGGCTCCACTCACTTCTAAAGAACCAGTTGATTGGTTAAAATCTCACCTTTGGTGGCAGAGTGAGGAAGAGGAAACATGATGGTCCAGGGCTTTGATGGCCAAAATTACAGGTAACTTTGTAAGTTAGAGGGGCTCGGTCAGGTGTGTAAGCCCATTCTAGAACCTCTCTTTTTTAAAGTCTTCAAGTGTTATCGTAATGTGACAGCTGTTCCCCATTTTCTATTTGTTAACCCCATTTACCAAATACAAACTTCTATTTTCTGAGAAATTCTCAGGTAAAGCCTCTTGACTTAGAACTAGTAACACCTCTGTTGTAAAGATCTCTGATTTGGAAAATAATCTTCTCCTCTACAGTTAATAATTACTTGAAGTGAAGAAGTTTACTTCAATCATGTGGATCTGCTCAACTATGTAAAGTTTGTATCCTACCTGATGTGATTTTACTTTAAAAAGGAAAGGTTTTTATTAGAATTGAAGAAAAATTATTCAGATTTTAAAGATGGGCTTCAAACCATTATTTGAATATGTTTAATTTAAAATTTTCAGGAAAAGGAGAGGAGGAATAATTATGGTACTACCTTTACTGGGTAAGATGAATGTTGAAATAAATAGAACTAATCCTGTAGTAGAGTGTCTAGTCTAGAGCATCAGATTGAAACTACTTTCCATACAAATGTCCTGCCACAGACCTCTGCCGTGTTTGTCTTCCTCACGCTGGTAGGTAGCTTTTCCTTTGTTTCCCCACGGTCTGCTTCCACCAGAAAACGATTTCTAAAAAGTTTCATCTAAATAAGGCCAGTAATATGGTAGGTCTCTCTGCCCTGAACAGATTGAACAAATATTTCAACAATTTAACAAATAATTTAGGTACCTACTGTGTGCCAAGCTGTCCTCTTAAGGTTACTAGACAGTATAAATGACAGACATTAATACCCAAATGAAAATGTTGTGAAGGGCAAGTGTCAAGACAGACCTAACAAGTAACATTTTAGGATGAAACCTGAAGTAAAAGTTCGTGCTAGCCAGGCAAGAAAGAATAGTATGGAAGGAGTTTTGTTCGTTTGAGGACTGAAAGAAGGCCCATGAGGTTGGAGCCTGGGTGACAAGGCAAGTGAGTTTATGAACCATGTGAAGAGCTTTTGTGATTTGATCCTCAAGCGCAGTGAAGGGCTAACATCCATTCATATAAATCCTAAACTGCTCGGTGAATATTTTTATGCCTGCATTGTTTCCTAATTCCTTATTCATAACAGCAGTACCAACTTTTTGGACAAAAGCTCTAGATTTGCTAATGCTGCTTTTTTTCATTGTTCAATGTCCATAATGAATTTCCTCTCATCTGAGGCCCTGTCCTACAGGGAGAGCCCTCCCCTCATTCCACAATTGCTTAATGTTTATGCATTCAGTAGGAGGAATAGATGCTATTTTGTTTGTACAAACATTAACCATAGAATGAAGTCTTTCCACTGTAACTTGAGATAACAAAGCCACAAACATTGCAGGAAACAAAATAGTGCAACCGGTGGTATATATGAAGTGACAGGGTATCTAAAATCCTAAGAAAACTTGACACAGTGAAATGTACGTAATTTGTTAAAAGAATTATCCTTTTTTTTTCTTTCTGAGATGGAGTCTCACTGTTGCCCAGGCTGGAGTGCAGTGGCACAATCTTGGCTCACTGCAACCTCCGCCACCCAGGTTCAAGCGATTCTCCTGCCTCAGCCTCCCAAGTAGCTGAGACTACAGGCGCCTGCCACCACGTCCGGCTAATTTTTTGTATTTTTAGTAGAGACAGGGTTTCATCATGTTGGCCAGGCTGGTCTTGAACTCCTGACCTCAGGTGATCCACCCAACTTGGCCTCCCAAAGTTCTGGGATCACAGGTGTGAGCCACTATGCCCAGCCCAAGATTCATCCTTTTAACAGATACTTTAGAGAGGATTTTTCCTTCTTATACTGGTTTCCCTAACTAGTTACTTGTAATTTTGCTCCTAAGTATGAAGATGCTTTATCTCTAAAGAATTATCCTTTTAACAGATAGTTTAGAGAAAAAGCATCTTCATACTTAGGAGCAAAACTGCATGTAGTTAGGGAAAACAGTGTAAGAAGGAAAAATCCTTTTTAACCGTACCTACAAATGGCACACTGTACTCAAAGATATACCTATACAAATCTCCTGTAATAACAAGGAAGTATATAAATACCAAGAAGACTTAAGAGCAGTTGAAATCCACTCAGAAATGCTGCAAGCAGTGGTTACTCCCTTATGCTTTTTACATATGTTCAATTCTGGTTTCCTCAGACCTTGGCACTAATGTTCCCAGTGGCCCTTCCAAGCCACGGCGGCCCAGTCCCTGGGAGTATCTGTCAGAGGGATGCTTATCCCAGTAGACTGAGTTGATCAGGAAAAACAGAACTGAGTGAAGGCTGGAAATGTGTTCAAAATAGGAATGCAAGCTGAGTTATCTCCTGTATGCTTCATTAGAAACAGAATCCTAGTATAAGGCAATAAATATGCATATTAAGCTTTTATCATAGAAGCATTCCCAAAGGATTTGCTCAGCATAAAAGGGTTTGCAGAGTTCAGGGTCTCTGAGGTGTGACCTGTAAGCTGGCATTAAGATTAAAATGATAATTTTTTTTTAAAGATAATGAAGCACTGATTTGGGCCTGGGGGTAGGGAGGGAGCGGGTTTGGTGCCTGCTCAATGAGAGCTCCTGAGGCTCTGGGAAGAGGACCTGGACCTCCCTTCTTCTTGCAGTTTCCCTACAGCCCTCATGCCTGCTCCACGTGTTCATGCTGTTTATCTTCAGACTCAGGCTGGCTGCTCATATATTGCTACAATATCATGACGATTAAGAATTTGGAAGCTTTGGCCGGGTGCAGTGGCTCACGCCTGTAATCCCAGCACTTTGGGAGGTCAAGGCAGGTGGATCACGAGGTCAGGAATTCAAGACCAGCCTGGCCAAGATGGTGAAACCCCATCTCTACTAAAAATACAAAAAAATTAGCCAGGTGTGGTGGTGGGCACCTATAATCCCAGCTACTCGGGAGGCTGTGGCAGTTAATTGTTTGAACCAGGGAGGCAGAGGTTGCAGTGAGCCGAGATCATGCCACTGCACTCCAGCCTGGGCAACAGAGCAAGACTCCGTCTCAAAAAAAAAAAAAAAAAAAGGAAGGTTTGAGCTTTCTGGAAAAGTTCTGTATACATTTACATATCGTAGCTCTCCTTGGATCTTTCTTAAGATATGCAGAATACATTAACTGAGAAGGCAGTTCCTTCTGTTTGTAGCTGGAAATTTGAGATAGATAGGCTATAGTGTCCTTCCTTCCTCCCAACTTAGGACCTTAACAGAAATGTACAAATGGGGTATAAAAGAGAAGAGAAAATCTTCAGACAAAGCCAATTTAAGTGTTACATTTTAATAGCACTGAAATGGAAGACTTGTCCACTTTTTAAGTCCTTAGTTGTCCTAGGACTTTTGAGGGTTAAGAGATTTTATTTTAGCCCTTTCTGCTTTGTGTGTTCTGACCTTCCCTGTCAACTTGTGTAAAGGAAGAGCCCTTTTGTCACCTCAGTCACTGGTTTTGCGTGAAGCAAAGCTGGAAATAATAGACTTTTCCTAAGACGGACTTTCTTAGAATTTTATACTCAAGGACAAAAATGAATCAAAAGCAAGGAAATACTGATATGACCATAAATATTTTTATTAAATGTGAAAATACACGGGCATAAAAATAGTACCCATATTTGTAGACATGTCTGAGACCCATTTCAAATATTAGGTTCCTTTTTTATTAAAACACTACATTGAGATGGATTAAGTTACTTAGTCTTTTCTCATTCAAAACAAACTAAAACCTCACAGCAAGAGTAATATTTTCACAAACATCTCCAATGTTTACCTCCTCCTTGCTCGGCTTTCCACTGCAGGTAAGTGTTTCAGCCACAGACAAGTGCAACAAAACCGGTTACTATACACAAAGCCACGCAGTGGCTAATTTTACTCTTAAATCAATCATTCAGCAAATGAGATCATCTGTAAACAAACAAAAAAAACCCCCAAATAATCCCACCTCTTAACGTCATTTGAAATTACAGGATAAACTGCCACTAACAAAAAAGGAATGATCTGATTTAGAAAAAGGATATTCGTTGTTGGCAAATTAACATTTGCCTTCTTCCTTCCTTTATAAATTTGGAAAAGTCAACTACATTCAACAAAGTTGCGTGAACTTCTCTAGGTGATACCATTGCTGTGTGCTCAGTGAAAACTTTGCAACGCCCATCACCAGGGCCGTGTCTGTAACCTCACCAGGGAGCCATTTTATGTAGTTTTTTCATGGTAAATGTCAAAGACAACTTCTGACCCATTTAAAGGTGAAATTTTTCATCATCCATTGTGAGTAGAAAATGGTATCAATTTCAAATTGTGGTTTTATTGGCTACCTTTTTTACCAAGTTATGTTTTCTCTTAAACTGTGGGTAGTTTTAAAATTCCATTATCAGGGCAACAAAAATTTGTTTTCATACCAATACTTTAAAAAAGATTTTTAATACTGACTAAAGAGAAAGGCATTGTAGAATTAGTAGTACGTTACATCTGATTCACATTAGTAAACTGTCAAGATTTTTTTCAAGTTTTCATCTATTCATGGTAAGAAAGCACAAACTTTCAGAACTGAGGAATGAATTAAATTTTGTCTCCCGTTTTGGAACCTTTTCACAATGCTTCTAGACTGATGTGTCTAATACTTCCTGCTGGGCAAAATATCCACAAAGTACAGACCACTGATAACTCCACCCATGAAGCTCACCAAAAAGGAAAGAAGAGCAGAATACAACAGCTGTGGCTAGGGTACGCCTCTCTGATTTCACTTTTCCTGAAAGAGCCATAAAGGTTACCTGATGGCCAGGCGCAGTGGCTCACGCCTGTAATCCCAACACTTTGGAAGGCCAAGGCGGGCAGATCACAAGGTCAGGAGATCAAGACCATCCTGGCTAACACAGTGAAACCCCATTTCTACTAAAAATACAAAAATTAGCCAGGCATGGTGGTGCGTGCCTATAGTCCCAGCTACTTGGAGGCTGAGGCAGGAGAACTGCTTGAACCCGGGAGGTGTCCCTGCACTCCAGCCTGGGCAACAGAGCAAGATTCTGTCTCAAAAAAAAAAAAAAAAAAAAAAAAAGGTTACCTGGCACCTGTAGTCCCCAAGGGAAAATGAAAGTAGTATGGTTTTACAGTGGATAATGCTACCCTACAGTGAGACAGGCAGGGGGAATGACTATCTCTTTACACACCCAGGCTGCTTCTCAGTCACACATTAGGGTAAGCAGGAGTGACTGTCTCTCCGTTTGGGTGGACACCAGAAAACTGCCGACAGCCATCAAGGCTGAAACTCAACAGTTGTTACTTTCTTCATGAATCAGCGAAACAACAGATTGCAGAGAATTCATTTCCCTCCATGGCACTGGCATGTGGCACCAGAGCTGCTTCTCTCTCTTCACTGAAAACAGGCAAGTAACTGCAGGTCAGTTAAGATGACTAAGTAAATCCATGATAAGAATTTAGGAGCTGAAACTATGGTTGTTACAAGTGGAGAAAAAATGAAAATGCAAACAAGCCTCTGGGCAGCAGGTGGGAGGTGGCCAGGCCCCCACACATCTCCTGTGCGGCCCTTGACCCCTTGTTGTTGGCAACTGTCGTGCTCTCCAAGTGGAAAGGCAAGTGATTTGATATTTCCTTTTTTTTCTGACTCTATGTGAAAATTCTTTTCAAAGTAGGTAAAAGCCATCACTATATTTCAAAGAGGTCACAGTGACATCATATACAAAAGGAACCAGATTGAAAAAGATATTGCTGACATAGCCAGTAGTGAGATTACTAAAGAATAAACAGAAATGCCTTGGAAATTATTTTTACACCGGCTTGAATTGAAACATTAAAGCAAAATGAAAGCTGTAAGGTGTTCACTAGTTTTCCAAATGCGTTGTCAAGTTTATTGGTAAGAAATAGACTCCTAAATAGATGCAGAAAGCACTTAAGTGTTCTGCTCAATTCAACTATGTGATTTTTGTCTCTCAGTTAAAAATTTGTCCACCTATGTTTCAGGATATGACTACAGACGAAAACGATTTGTGCTTTGCTGTTATGGATGTCCGTGGTCAGGATGCCTCCCACAGTGAATTAAAATGCTTGATTTCATTAAGAAAAAAAAATTAGACCCTTTAATGGTTAAAACACTTCAAAATGCTTTGAGGCAGAAACAAAACCTTTCCAGAATAAAGGTAGCAATTCCTATCTATCTAAAGTAATTCCTTCAGCTTTCAAATGCAGCATCAAGAGTGCCATAAATATTCAATATTCTTGATTAACATTTTTTAGGGAAAAAGCATTCAGTATACAAAGACTGAATAGTTCACTTCTTAAATAGTATCTTCTTAAAAGGTAAGAAGAACATATCTCAAGAGGAGATGCCATCTTATTAAATGAAACAACAGTGGAAATATAGCCAGACCTGACTAACCTTGCCTGTATTTTCTTGTAGGCAGGAGAAAATCAGAGGCATCAAGATCTGGTAGAAGGGCCGGTCTGCTGTTTAACACATACCAGCAGACAGGTCCCACGTGGGAGGCACCACAGACCTTTAAGATAGGGTGAAGCCTTGATAGAAGGAGAAACAGAAGCTGCCCACTGTCTTTACTTAGAAGTGGAGAACATGGCATTCTGTATTTATTTATGTTGACTGCGCAACTTTACGTTTCTAAACCAGTCTTGTTACATGAAATTCCCTATAAAAACTCAGAACTTCAGTTGTTTAAAAAGTATTTCAATCTGCACTTCAGCAATATTATTTTAAATACCACCACTATTTTATCTGAACTTATTTTACCTATAACAACTTTTAATTTGTTGTGTTTAATATTAAAAGGGTCCATAGGAATTTATAGATTCAAGTTTCAGTATTCTTCTTCAGGTACTGAACCAAAAAAATGTACATTTAACATTAATCCAAAGTCTAAGCCTGGATATATTATTATTTGGTGGCAGGGTTCCTAAAAGATGGTCTCTTGCTCCTTCAGTGACAGCCACGTTGACAGACCACAGAGGTGCAAACACATGCACACTAAAGATTTCACAGCTACTCACAAGTGACGAGACTGACCACATCGAAGCACAGTTGTCCCTAAGAACATACAGCTCAAAAATGTTCATGTTCTCTTTAAGAATACTGAAGTATAACCATCCTCATGAAGATTACAGCTCCTTCTTACACTTGTAGGCACTGACTTACTCTGCAAGGCTGTGAAGAGAAGAATCTCAGCTCCAGTGTAGAAAAATAATACAGAATACGTGAGCACTTCCACGGGTGAGCCTGCCTCAGACCACTTCCCTCCAGACAGCATAAAGCAGATGCAGGCTGCTCTGTCAGAAATAGAACCATTCCTTGCCTCCTTGCCGTTGCAAACCCATTAACCATAAATCTGACAGGGATAAGAACAGATTTTTTCCTATTAAAGCAACTCTTTGGTCATGGACAAACTGAAAAGATTTGAAATTTTTTTTCATTAGGGTCCCGGAACAAGATTTCTTTGTTTTTAATCTTTAAAAAAATTAAGAAGAGCAGAAAAACAGTTGGTTTAATTGAAGTGGAATTTAAATCTAAATGGTCCGCCTGAGCTGAAGGGATTGAACCCTTGCCATGAGTTCCAGCTTCTGTGGAAAGGGTTGCCGCCGCCTCCTTGCTGGCTCTCTGCATCCAAAGGATCTTCTCCGTCGTCAAACTTCTTTCTCATTTCTAGAAAGAAATCAGAAAATTAAGAACCAGATAATATCTAAGGTATAGGGGCAGGGGGAATGTTTTCTTTGGGCAGAGGAGGGTGGGTGGGCTTGAGGAGCTACTTACTTTTCGGTTATCAAGAGTTGTGCCTGACATTCAAATCCAGGCTCTCCCATTCCCACCCTGAAGAAACAGACTAGAGAAATTTGCCACAAGGAGGGTGAGGTTCAGGGTTGATAATAGGTATTTATTGAGATTCAGGCCCCTAAATCTCACTCCAGAAGAAGCCACCCAAGCTTGATAACTACCCAATGAAATTATTTGGAAAAAAATAATTCAAGAGAAACTTCCAAGAGTCTACAATTCTAATGAAACAGCCAGCTCACCACCCTAATCCCCAAAATAAAGTCTGTAAGGCAATGACCTCATCAAGCATCTAATGAGCATTCTAGCACTAAGGCTCCTCAGACATGAGGGGAGCGGGGCCTCCATAACATACAACTCCAGGAGGTTCACCTTTCCCTCCCATGCAATTGGTGCCCCCACAGCGGGGCCTCTGAGCCCCGAACAGAGAGAGATCAATGCAGAGACATGGGAGAAGGCAATAAAGAGGAATATTGCAGGGATAGGAAGAAAGAGCTCATGTCCTCAGAGTCATTAGAAAAACCCTGGAAGACAACCTAGGCAAATACTATTCAGGACATAGGTATGAGCAAAGATTGCTTTTGGTGTTTCCATCATGAAATTGCAACAAAAGCAAAAATTGACAAATGAGATCTAATTAAACTAAAGAGCTTCTACACAGCAAAAGAAACTATCAACAGAGTAAACAGACAACCTACAGAATGGGAGAAAATTTTTGCAAACTATGCAACTGACAAAGGTCTACAAAGAACTTAAATGTACAAGAAAACAACCCCATTAAAAAGTGGGCAAAGGACATGAACAGACACTTCTCAAAAGAAGACATATATGCGGCCAACAATCATATGAAAAAAAGCTCAACATCACTGATCACTAGAGCAAATAATTAGATCATTATTGCAAATAAAAAATGGCTATTATTAAAAAGTAAAAAAAATAGATGCTGCCAAGGTTGTGGTGAAAAAGGAACGCTTATACACTATTGGTGGCAGTGTAAATTCATTCAGCCATTGTGGAAGACAGTGTGGCAATTCCTTAAAGAAAGAAATACCATTCAACTCAGCAATCTCATTACTGGGTATACACCCAAAAGAATATAAATTGTTCCATTATAAAGACACATGCACATATCAGTTTATTGCAGCTCTATTCACAATAGAAAAGACATGGAATCAACCTAAATGCCCATCAATGATAGACTGGATAAAGAAAATGTGGTACATCTACACCATGGAATACTATGCAGCCATAAAAAAGAATGAGATCATGTCCTCTTGCAGGGGCATGGATGGAGCTGGAGGCCACTATCCTTAGCAAACTAATGCAGGAACAGAAAACCAAATACCACATATTCTCACAAGTGGGAGCTAAATGATGAGAACTCATGGATGCATAAAGGGGAACAACACACACTGGGGCCTATTGGAGGGTGAAGGGTGGGAGGAGGGAGAGGATCAGGAATAATAACTAATGGGTTCTAGACTTAATACCTGGGTGATGAAATAATCTGTACAACAAACCCCCATAACACACATTTACCTATGTAACAAACCTGCACATGTACCCCTGAACTTACAAAAAAAAAATAAAAAGACTTAGCATATAGCTAGGTTTTTTAATAAATGGAAAATAGAGAATGCAGAAAAAAATGCAAATATAAAAATAATCCCAAGTCTCGCTTTGCTCTCTCACAGTAACTTGTCCTTTAGGGGTTCAAAGATACTTAGAGAAAAGCCAGTTTACTTCATTCTGGGAGGTTAATCTGAAGCCACATATTTAGGAGGAGGAAACCCACCAGTAAAACTGAGGGTTCTTATGCTGAGTGTTAATAACTAAGCGGGTATTGTAGGTGATCTGAAACTCAGCTTTGTTTTATAAAAGCTAATGCAGTTAGACTCAGGCCCCATATCTTTGATATCTCACAGGCAAAATTAATCTAGGGTGTTAGCACTTAGAACAGTAGTGAACTCTCCGTAGGGGTGGGGGTGATAATGGCCCCAGAGAAAGGATGCTGTGAATGGAAGGGGAAGTGAATTCAGCTATATTCACATTATGTAATTACTTAAAAATTCAGTGGAGTGGTCTGCATACATCTCAAAGAATGAGGTAACCATTTTTCAATGAGAAAAAACTATAGCCAAGATTTATTTCAAGTGAAAATTAAGTTTCAGATTGGCATACATCATGTGATTCTACTAAACATATTCCTAAATATGACACGTCTTGATATATGCATAGTAAAAAACTTTAAAGTCTTTAAAAGAAAAGATAGTTCATCCTGAACAGAAGAACAGGAGGTAAGAAAAAGGACCTGCAGCTCTTTCCTCAGTGCATGCCTCTGTGCAGGGACACCCATCCCCTTGGTTGGCTCCCTGGTACCTTAAAACGTAGCACAAAGTCCCTCTCACATAAGAAGATCCTGACTCCCAGTCTGATACACTATCACACCTGTGCACTGCACAAACTAAGAGGATTGAACTGCTTAAGGCAGGTTGTAGCCACTCAGTATTTGCTAAGTAACAGGACAGTATGTATCCAACACTACTTGATAAGGGAAGTACATTTCTGTCTCCTTTACTGGATTATAAATTACTTGAAAACGAAGGATCATTTACTTTCAATTCCACTGCAAGTACATTTCTGTCTCCTTTACTGGATTATAAATTACTTGAAAACAAAGGATCATTTACTTTCAATTCCACTGCATAAGTAAGTACTCAAAAAAGATTTGACAAACATAAAACTTTCCTCTCTTTTGTTTGTTTAGCTCAGATCACAGCTGCTGTTCCCACTGACATGGAAGGCCACAAAAAAGCAGTATAAGCTTAACATGAAATTCTCTGGCAGCAGCAAAGCATTGTTCAGTATTACCTCAATGCTTAGCCTGTCTCCCTCTTAACGAAATTTCCAGGCCATATTACTGTATGGCAAAAGAACACATGTGGCCAGGTGCAGAGGCTCACACCTGTAATCTCAGAACTTTGGGAAGATCACTTTAGCCCAGGAGTTAAAGACCAGCCTGGGCAACACAGTGAGATCCCATTTCTACAAAAAATAAAAATTAAAAAAAAAAAAAACACATATAAGCCTGTGAATCTAATGATCCTATGATTCAGGGCAAGATTCCTGGTGAACACATATGGGGCAAAGCAGGCCCTAGGCCAGACAGCTGTTCTTCTCCCACTCCATGTAATCCAGCCTGGCAAGCTGGTTTCCTCATCAAGCTCCTGTAAGCTTGGTGGAGAAAATTCATCATTGACCTTTGAGGTTAGAGGGAACCTGAGAGATCCTCTTATGCTCAGTGTTGAAAAAACTGAGACCAAAAAGTTCTGATAACTTCTTTGAGTAGAAAAAAGATTCAAATTCAGGCCCTCTGATTCCACATTTGATAGTCTTTCCACTGTACCCTGCAACAGGAGGGTGCCCAACATAAGAGGGCTGAATGAGGGCAGGCATAAAACTGGACCTCTGGAACTGGGCTCAGGACCCGTCACTGCCTATACAGCCCCACGTGGAGAACCCACCACATGTTCCACCCTCGCTTCTAACACCACCTCTAGGATGAGTCAAAGGAATAAAAGCTAATAATACCTGGATCAGAGAGGACTTCTTTAGCAGCTGCTATATCAATGAACTTTTTCTCAGCTTTTTTCTTTTCTTCTTCATTCTGGAAGTTATCTGGGTGCCACTGCAGTGCTAATTTTCGGTATGCTTTAATAATTTCTTGCTTTTTGGCATTTCTGAGGGGTGGTAAAATAAATAATCATTAGTGGAAAAGTGTCTAACATACTATCATAAAAATCAGAAGAGCTGATTAAGATCCTACTGGCAATTAACAAAACTGGTTTTATAAAATAGTTCCAATGGTATCACAGGCCAAAGATCTGCATACACAGTTCTGGATGATCATTAAAGCTGACATCAGGCTTCCTTGGATACTCGCTCACTAAGATTACTGAGAATAAAGCACTCCTGATCTTTAGAACTTTCCCTTTTTTAAAAAAGGTACATCAATGAATTTTTTAACTTTCTGAATTTCCAAGTTACCATAATTCAATTCTTGGTATTAAAAAATATTTGACTCTGAATGCCACTTTCAATTATGCTTCTGCATTAGCTTACTTAATAGTAAGCACAAAGATTCCAAATTTTGAAAAATTGATGGTTTACTCAGCGAACCACTGGGAGGTATATCATTTACTTAATTTCAGAATTCACCCACAGGCACTGGGAGGTGTATCATTTACTTAGTATGTACTTTTATATAAGGTAGATCTTAATTTCAGACTTAATTCTGAAAGCACTACTTTATTTTTAGGCCTAGAGAAGGCTTTTTCTTTACTCATTCCGTCTCCTCCTCCATCCCCACCAAAAGGAATCTCACTCCTACCCCTTTACCCTTCTTAAAAAATCTAGGCTTAGGACCCATTCATGCTACAGTGTCATCTTTGTTGCCAACTACTAATTCTGTTGTTGCATTATTGGTCTCTATCAAAGAAACTTGCCTATAAAATACTCAAAGTAGCTTTCTAATGTTAAAGACTGTTAAGGTTTAATCCATATGACTGAAATTACATAAGTAAAGAAAATGAATCAGAGAGGAAAAAGAGCAATGATTAGCTTTGAAACAGAGTTGATTAAAAATAGCAAAGTAAATTTTAAATTAATAATTCACCTTTTTACTCCCAAGATTTTATAATAATCTCGTTTCTGCGACTGTTTCAATAATCTTTGTGCTTTCTCTAGACCTTCTCGAATCTGCTGATCATTTTCATTGTGTTCCTGAGCAGTTTCATAATCCTGAATAGCTGTCAAAATATGTTTAAGATAATATTGTTAAGGCAAATTATAATTTATTGCCTTTTCTTATCCTGTAAAATTGATGCTAAAGTCGTCATCCCCCAACCCCTTCACTCTTTGGCCATTATTGCCAAAAACCTTAAGTGATACCCCGTTAGTAACTTTGATCAAGAATATTTAAGAGGCCGGGCACAGGGGCTCATGCCTGTGATCCCATCACTTTGGGAGGTCGAGGTGGGCGGATCATGAGGGTCAGGAGTTCAAAACCAGCCTGGCCAACACAATGAAACCCCGTCTCTACTAAAAAAAAAAACACAAAAATTAGCCGGGCATGGTGGTGCACGCCTGTAGTCCCAGCTACTCGGGAGGCTGAGGCAGGAAAACCGCTTGAACTTGGGAGGCGGAGGTTTGCAGTGGCCGACATCGCACCACTGCACTCCAGCCTGGGTGACAGAGTGAGATTCCGTCTCAAAAAAAAAAAAAAAAAAAAAAAAGGTTTAAAAGGCATAATAATGAAAACTGAGTTTAGGTAGTTTATTATTCTCATTCAACAAAATGTACTGCTGTTTACTTGCCCACCCTCCCGCATTATCTCCCCATACCCTCTGGGTAAATATGTTAATATCAGCACTTTATCCAGAGCAATCTTACCACCATTAAGACTAAGTGGTTGTTACACAGGAAAGAAAGACAGTGATAAAGAAAATCGGCCTGGTCAGCTATGGATTGACAACAGTCCAGAAGAATTAGACATTTAGAAAGGGATCAGGAGGTGGGTTTGGCCAATGGGAAGCTAGAAAAAAAAAATTTGTAGAAAGAAAGGGAACAGAAGGAACTGTCCACAATCCGAATGACTCAGTAACCCACAGGCTTTAACACTATTACAAACCTAAGTGTCAATCAAAATACAAAATACATATAGTCCCAGTATAGGAAGTCTGCTGACTATCCACATTACATCTTTTATTTTATTACACAGTATTTTTTTTTAAAAATTTTAAGAGACAGGGTCTCTGTCACTTTGGCTGACTGCATCCTCGACCTCCCAGGCACAAGCCATCCTCCTGCCTCAGGCCCATGAAGTAGCTGGGACTACAGGCACGCACCACCACGCCCAGCAGTATTTTAAATACTTAGAAAATACAAGGCATCTGGGTATCTAATATGCAGAAGAGAGTCAACACAGCAGTCCTGAGACAACTATCCTTAGAAAAGTTTGCTGACAAGGTTGGCTTACTGCTGACGTTTGGGAAGCCAGATTTCAGGAGTGTTCCCAACATTCCATGGTAAGAATGACTCATGCCTGAACTGTTTGTATGAAAAATACAGTTTATGGTAAACATCTTTCCTTCTGGGAGTCTGGGATTTTGGTGCAGGCCAGACAGAACGTGTCTAGTGACTAGTTCCCCAAAAAAACTCTGGGTGCAGTGTCTATAACGAGCTTCCCTGGTAGACAACATTTCACACATTGTAGAATTTCTCATTACTGGAAAAATTAAGCTTGTTCTTTATGACGTCACAGGGAGAGAAGTCCTGGAATCTTCTGCCTGGTTTCCTCCAGATTTTCACCCTTGCACCTTTTCCCTGTGCTGACTTTGCTTTTTCACTGGAATGAAAGCCCTGAGTACAACTATATGCTGAGTCCTGTGTGTCTTCTTACCAGATCACCAAATCTGGGGATAGTCTAGGGAAGCCCCCACTCAAATTTTTCTCAATATTCTCCCTGCATAGATAATTCCAATAATAGATTGCTGGGATAAAATTCTTGTTTTTATGAAAATGCATTTCACTAGGATAAAAGACATGTGAACACTCATCTTCGCAACAGCTAAACATGGAGGGAATGTAAGGCACCTTGGACAGATTAAAATGAGAAAGATATTGGCCTAAGACTGAGACAGCCAAATGCAAAGGGGTTCCCAGAAAAACTCCAACTGGCCTGCACGCTGGGAGGAGTGTGCACTGGGGTGGAGCCTCGGGAAGAAGCCTGGCCCCTCCCTCCTCTTCCTGGATGGAACCTGGGATTCAATCTGCAAGGTGGGAAGCACACTAGCTGGGACTCTGGCCTTGTAGAGAGTCCTGTTTCCCTCTTTTCCTTTTCACCCAATAAGTCCTGCCCTCTTCAAATTGTCTGTGAGCCTCATTTTTCGTGGCCGTGTGACAAGGACCCCCTGTCTTTAGCTGAACTAAGGAAAGAGTCCTACAACAAGACTAACAGATTTTGACAGGCTACACACTACGTACAGAAACGAACCACCACCACCTTTGGCCCTGTGGCACTGGGGAAGGGGACCCTTCAATCTTTTATCCTAAAGTGAATTCTCGCATCAGTGCATCATTACATTAAATGTTACTATAGCCCAACCCACAGGGACATAAAAAACTTCTCCCAGTTTAGTATAAAAACAAAACCATCATAAACAGTAGTAAGGTTTAACTTTACAATGAACACCCATAACACAACACATAGCTTAGTAAGGAAACAGACCTTGAAGGAATACAATAGGAAGATGTTTCAATATACATGATTTTGCTACTTGTGCAGACTCTATATTTAAAACATGTTTTCATTCTTACATTTCAGAGTTATCTCCCCAAAGCAGTCTTTTGTATCGTATTTGTATTAAAATTTAAGGTGAACACATTTTTCCCAACATAAGACAAAAATGTAAAATTATAGGTTGTTTCCTATATTCACACAATTGCAGAAAACTAATTAGAAACCTAAGTATGGATGATGTAAGACTTCCCACAGATATAACTAGACAGACCATTTTAAGTTATACTTTCTCAGACTCCACACTCTAAGAGAGCATCTAAAAAAACAAAACAAAACAAAACACCCAATAGACAAAAAACAAGCAATGGGGAAAGGATTCCCTATTTAATAAATGGTGTTGGAAAACTGGCTAGCCATATGTGGAAAACTGAAACTGGACCCCTTCCTTACACCTTATACAAAAATTAACTCGAGGTGGACTAAAGACTTAAACGTAAGACATAAAACCATAAAAACCCTAGAAGAAAACCTAGGCAATACCATTCAGGACACAGGCATGGGCAAAGACTTCATGAAACATCAAAAGCAATGGCAACAAACGCCAAAATTGACAAATGGGATCTAATTAAACTAAAGAGCTTCTCCACAGCAAAAGAAACTATCATCAGAGTGAACAGGCAACCTACACGGGAGAATTTTGTTGCCATGAATGGGAGAAAATTTTTGCGATCTATCCATCTGACAAAGGGCTAACATCCAGAATCCACAGGGAACTTAAACAAATTTACAAGAAAACAACCCTATCAAAAAGTGGGCGAAGGATATGAACAGACACTTCTCAAAAGAAGACATGTATGCAGCCAACAGACATATGAAAAAAAGCTCATCATCACTGGTCATTAGAGAAATGCAAATCAAAACCACAATGAGGTACTATCTGACACCAGTTAGAATGGCGATCATTAAACAGTCAGGAAACAACAGATGCTGGAGAGGATGTAGAGAAATAGGAAGGCTTTTACACTGTTGGTGGGAGAGTAAATTAGTTCAACCATTGTAGAAGACAGTGTGGTGATTCCTCAAGGATCTACAACCAGAAATACCATTTGACCCAGCAATCCCATTACTGGGTACATACCCAAAGGATTATAAATCATTCTACTATAAAGACACATGCACAGGTATGTTTATTGCAGCACTGTTCACAATAGCAAAGACTTGGAACCAACCCAAATGTCTATCAATGATAGACTGGATAAAGAAAATGTGCCACATATACACCATGGAATACTATGCAGCCATAAAAAAGGTGAGTTCAAGTCCTTCACAGGAACATGGATGAAGCTGGAAACCATTGTTCTCAGCAAACTAACACAGGAACAGAAAACCAAACACTGCATGTTCTCACTCATAAGTGGGAACTGAACAATGGGAACATGTGGACACAGGGAGGGGAACATCACACACCAGGGCCCGTGGGGAGGTAGGGGGCTGGGGGAGGGATAGCATTAGGAGAAATACCTAATGTAGATGATGGGTTGATGGGTGCAGCAAATCACCATAGCATGTGTATACCTATGTAACAAACCTGTACATTCTGCACATGTATCCCAGAACTTAAAGTAAAAAAAAAAAAACACACACACACATCCAATGTTTATCCCACCATTACTGAACAGCTATGAAAAATAGAATAAGCCAGACATATATCAGCCCTAGATAAAGAATACCATGTTGCGTATTAGCCAATTCATTTTCTAACTTCTGAATCTAAAAAATCTTATCCCAAATTACTTTTCTTCTATATTCCCTTCACATTCTTGAGGAGCAATGCAAATCACCAGCTTAGGATGGGAGACGTAAGCACACACGTTTGCCTACCCTCCTTGCCACCGAAGTGACGAAAAGTAATATAATCATAGTAGCACTGAAGACAACAGCAGACCAGCAACTTTGATAAATTTCTGGAAGATAGGAAGCAGGAGCACATTAGTAATAAACCTAAGTAGAGAGAACCACAATGCAAGCACACACTATAAGAGGCCCTAGCAGATCTGGAAGCCATTATCTTTGGCCGAGGACCCTCACTTTGGCAAGCTGAAGTAGCTATAAGGCAACTGTCAGGATAGTCCGTGAGATGACTATGGGATGGCTGGGCAGGCTCTGGCCCCTGTATATGGAGCCACTGGCTGCAGCATTAATCCCTACTATAAGCAGAGTGAAAGGTGTGCCTGTGGAGGGCCCCTGTAGGACACGCAAACCTCTACAACAAACCTGGAACAAACAAAAAGCGGTCCCACCCAGACCAAAGTTAAATAGATCATTTTACTGACCCCCGATCAGTAAAATGAGTGAAGCAGGGCTCACTGGGGCAGCTGGGCAAGTGCCACTGGGGACGTTCTCCAGTGAACAGGTCCTATTTACTTACAGCCTGCCCTGAGCTCCCCAGCACAGACCAGCATTTGAAAGACAGGTGCACACAGCTACAAGCGACTCCCTCTCTCACCCTACCAATTCATTAGCAAGTTCCAAATCAGCTTTCCTTCACAATATAGCCACAGTTTAACCACTTCTCAGCATTTCCATAGTTAGCACTGTGACGCGGGCCACCATTCACCTGAATCATTAAAACAGTTTCCTAACAGGTGTTCCCAGCTTCCACCCTATTCCCCTAAAAGTCTACTCTCAATGCAAAGAAATCCTTTGAAAGAATATAGTATATCAGACCTCCAATATAAACATGTCCCATGGAACACCAACATTCTCCTGCTGCCTATCACACAAAAGAAACATATCACACAAAAGAAACAAGGTAAACAGACAGGGTGCAGCTCCAAATTCCATTTTCAGCAAAACAATACAAAGAAACTGTACAAGGGCTGCTGACAGGTGCTAATATCAGCCATGAACCTAAGACGAAGGGGGAAGCAAATAGTGAGAAAGCCAAATGGTAAAAGATCACAGAAAATGCTGACAAAATACACCTTCTATGAGTATGCGCTTACCCTGAAGTGACAACCTGTATCCCTTGCATATTGCAGGAACCAGGAAATCTAGAGCACACATAGTGGAGATAAAGCAGAGGGCTTACTGGGGCAAGACAGAGGTAAAGAAGAGAATACAGTGAGAGGGAACAGTGAAACAGCCTGTGCGGCAGATCCCAGAGAACAGCAACTCTATGCTCATCCTGAAGTGCAAAACACACACCCCTTTGGTGTAGCAAAGGAATGGGGTACAGGGGCAAGTGGGGCTGGTGGCAGATGACCTCCTGGCCATGGTTTGGTGCAGAGAAGTAGAGAGGGCAGGGCTATACAGCAAAATCATTTTAGCGGGAAGCAGAATGTCTGTGGAAACAGTGAAGCAGAGAGTACTGCGACTGTTAACTACAGAAGGCTGCCCTGGCCCCAGCACGCCTTACATGCAGAAAACAAAAAAACAAAACTGACATCCAGAGGACTAGCCCCACAAATAGCTAGGGCAGTGAACTCCAACTCATTTTATGATGAGTAATAATTTTTTTTTAACTGGCACAATATCACTTCAAAGATATTTTAAAAATCAGGAAAAGAACATGTAAAACTTATCTAATGAATGTTCATCAGAAAAACATAGCCAAAGCATACTATTTTCTGAATAGCCATCAGAAAAACAAAACCAGAGGAAATTCTGGGCAAGCATCATAGACAAATTATGTAACTTAATCCAATCACTTCCATTAAGAGTAATCACAAGGCAGAATCAGAACTCAGGAAAGAGACCAGATGACGAGGAGGTAAAAATGTGAGCAATCAGGACTCAAGAAAAATAAGAACAAATCAAAACTATCATAGACATGAAGACAAAACAAGAAAGAGGACAAGGGAGAAGATAAAAATGAAGGATCTAACAAAAGGAAATGGAAATAGAGAGTTTTAAAAGCCTGAGATTCATGTGTATTGCATATTACTTTCACAAAAATAAAAATGTTCTAGAGCTATGTTGCTAACAATGTCAATATTCTTAACTATATAATTGAAAATATTAGGCCGGGCGCGATGGCTCATGCCTGTAATCCCAGCACTTTGGGAGGCCGCAGTGGGCAGATCACGAGGTCAGGAGATCGAGACCATCCTGGCTAACACGGTGAAACCCCGTCTCTACTAAAAAATAGAAAAAATTAGCCGGGTATGGTGGCGGGCGCCTGTAGTCCCAGCTACTCAGGAGGCTGAGGCAGGAGAATGGGTGAACCCGGGAGGCGGAGCTTGCATTGAGCTGAAATCATGCCACTGCACTCCAGCCTGGGCGACAGAGTGAGACTCCGTCTCAAAAAAAAAAAAAAAAAAAAAAAGAAAGAAGAAAATATCAAAGATTATAAATTCCGTTATGTATTTTTTACAATTAAAAATAAAACAACCAAAAAAAGGAAATATACAAATCATAAAATAGGGGTAATATTTATACAGGCAAACAAACACAGAAATAATTATATTGGCTCTAGATGTATGGCTGATTCATATCTGACTTCTGTCCAAACACTGTCTTAATGTTTACAGAGTCAAATATTGGCATACAAAATTATAATACATAAATAAAAACTAAAAACACAATGTGACATAACCTACCATAAAACATGACACAGGAATATAAATTGGCAGAACAAAATTTCACAAAAAAATACTGAATAAACACAGTGTATTACTAAAAAATAATTCTAAATAGCTACAATTCTCAACTATGACTGCACATTCATAAAGGGCACACATTTTGGTGTTTTTCAATTCAATGTTTTTACTGTACAAACATCATTCTATTTTCTCTTTTTAAGGGTGTTAACTACTTTAGATATTCCATGTAAGTAGATTCATACAGTATTTTTCTGTGTGTGGCTGGGTTATTAAATTTAGCAAAATGTCTTCAAAATTTGTCTTATGGTAGATATTAGAAAACCTCCTGCTTTTTAAAAGCTGAGTAATATTCCATTTTTTTTGTATTCCAATTTATATGTATCCATTCATTTGGTAAGGGAAGTTTAAATTGCTTTCGCCTATTGGCTTTTGTGGATAATGCTTCAATAAATGGCGTGCAAATAACTCACCTGAGCATGTTGCCAGAGTTGCTGTCTGTGCTGCATTCTGCTTCACTGCTTTGGTGTTCAGCCTTTATACCAGTACCAAAGGGCTTTGGTTACCGTAGCTTTGTTTGGTGTTTGGACATTATTAAGTGTAATGTCTCCAATATTTTTCATCTTTTAAGATTGTCAGACTTTTCATGGTCCCTTGAGGTTTCATGTAATTTTGTGGGTTTTTTTCTATTTTCAGAAAAGTAAAATTGGGAATTGAAAGGTGTGCTGCATGTGTGGCTCACTCTGGGCAGCATGGCCATCTTCACAATATTATGTCTTCCAACCCTTGAGCAAAAGCATGCTCAAGAGCATGTTTAATTTTCATATTTTGTGAATTTTTCAATTTTCCTTCTGTTACTGACTTCTAGTTTTATTCCATTTGGGCCATAAATCATAGTCTATAAAATTTCAATTTAAAAAAATTTGTTAAGACTTGTGGTGTCACACGTGGTCTATCTAGGAAAATGTTTCATGAGCTATTGAAAAGAATGTGTACTCTGCTGTCTGAATACATTTGTTAGGTGTAATTGTTTTATAGTGCATTCAAGTTTTTTGTTCCCTTCTTAATATTCTATCTTGCTTTATTATTCATTACTGAAAGTGGGATACTGAAGTATCCTACCATTATTATATTGCTGTCTATTTTTTGCTTCAATTCTGTCAATATTTGCTTTATGTGTTTGGGAAAACTGATGTCAGATATATTCATAGATTCTCAATGAATGAACCTTTTTATTATAATTTAATGTCCTACTTTGTCTCTTGTGAATTTTGACTTAACTAAATTATATAAAATACTTTTTTAAAAGGCTGAGAAAAAATTATAGCTAATGATGACAAGGCAAAGGAAATACAATTCATGTATAACCTGTATGCAGAAAACTAAGCTGAAAAAGAAACAAATAGAAGAGACCAAAACAGATTAAGAAAATGTTCCTGAAGTGAAAGATGGATCTAGACTGAAAAGGTGCACTGGGTGCCAGGGCAGCCTGGCTGAGAATGGGCAACAAGAAGACATATCCTAGCATAATTCAGACTTGAAGATAAGGGCTCTTTGGACGGCCAGGCCAAAAACAAAAAACCTGGCCCCAGGTTTTCCATAACATTAGTCCCAGAAAAGAACAGAACAATAACTACGAGATACATGGCACAGGGGTGAGGGAAGGACTTTATTATCCAGCCACGCTATCATTCAGATATAAAAGGTACAAGTACAATCTGTATTGAACATAGAAGAAAGCAGGGAAAATTCTCTTAGGACCTCCCTGAGGAAACTACTATAAGATGAACTCACCAAGTGATGGCTGAAGAAACCATGGCCAAAGGAAAACCAGTAGACACTGAATTTCACGTAGAACCAAGACTAACACAAAGCAGGGGACTAACAGCGACAGAGCAGAGCGTGTGCCCTGATGGTGCAGAAGGGATACAGCTGACGAAACATGGGAAAAGAAAGGGGAAGGATGATGAGGGAGTAAGTTCATTCATTCCCACCTACATCAGCTGAAGCAATCAGAAAACATCAGCCACTGATAAATTGAGTAATATTACAAAGGCAAATCCTAAAAAATTTCCTCAACAAATTATTAAGAGGTGGAAGAACAGTGAGGAAGAGGAGGAAGTACACTAAATTTTCCCTCACAGTAGGAAACTAATGGATGTTGCCAAAATAGTGTTAATAAAACTATTTTTAAAAGTACAAAAATACAAACTTTCCTAAATATCAGGAGCGTATACAAAATACAGGCCAAATCGCAAAAAGATTTCAGCAAAACAGAATGATAGAATGTTGACCAAACATCTGTCATATCGATCAATGCAAATGTGCTAAACTAACCTATTTAAAAGAATTTCATTGGCTCAAAAAGGAAAGCCCACACAAAACATTTTCACAGAGAAAGCTGTCACTAAGCCACCTCCCAGTAAAGCAGCAGTCTTTCCAGAG
Organism: Homo sapiens; assembly: GCF_000001405.40. Taxonomy (NCBI): domain Eukaryota; kingdom Metazoa; phylum Chordata; class Mammalia; order Primates; family Hominidae; genus Homo; species Homo sapiens. The sequence goes on along the minus strand of NC_000013.11, from coordinate 95,776,400 downwards.
ATTGTTCCAAACTTTTACACCACAGGTGATTCCAGTGTCTCCAGAACACTGAAAAAAGAAAACTTCTAAACAATTGCACTGAATCCTTACCCTAATTAATAGTTTACTATACATAAAAGTCTGTGTTAAAATTCATTTTTCCTCTGAATTTCTGAGAAGCTGCAATACTCCCTTCCAGCATCAGACGCATTCATATCACTTTTTGAGGATGCACTTTAAGCAAAATAAAAAAAGAATCCAAGAAAGATGAAGACATTATATTAAATTTTTAAAAAGAAGACAGAAAAACCCAGAAAGGCAGTGAAAGGAGTTCTGGGGCAAAAGATGTGCAGCAGGCCAGGCACAGCCAGGAGTTATAGGGCTAAAGAATATCTTCAGAGTGAAAAGAAAAAAAAAGTATATATATATATATAAAAAGAGTATCTTCACAGAGAGCGGATCTCATTCATACAAACTGTCATTAAAAATCTCAAGATGTTCTTAGTAAGACAGAGGCATAGGTTTCTTCTGGCAGAGAGACAGTAACTCTAACTCGGGGTGACGCTTTCCAAAAAATCCTGCTCCAAATGAGAAGCATACTAAAAGTGTGGCCATCTGTGAACAAGAGACTCCATGTATCTGACCCTGGTTGGTGAAATGATTGCATCTCCTTCTCTAAGGATTCAAACACATGACTTGATCCTGCAGCTATACAATACATTAATCTACTAAATGGCTTTCATTTCCTTACTATACACAATTATAGTTACAGGAAATAATCTACATACTACAAACATTATAAAAGTATACTAACACATACTTAAAATGTAGCTGAAAGGTAAGATGGAAATATACTAATTTCCTTATTATCAGTAGTATACAATCGAGATGCTATCTAAAGGTGACAGGGTAAGAAAGAAACTTGGGTATATTAAAACTTATTTATATTACATTAAAGCTGTAAATATAAGCAAAAGATCAAATACTCAACTAAAACTGAAGGTGAGAAAGAACAAAAGGAACTAGTGAGGTCTACTCAGTTCTTCCTCTTCTGTAGCAGGCAGACAAGGGATACTGCCTAAAATTGATAAATCAAGAGCTAGAGGAAGACATATTTTAATTTCAATTATAGTGGTAACTAATAATTAGAAACTATTAAACTAATATTAGAAATTTATTTAAAACGTCGTTACAGTCAAGTGCAGGACATGCACCTACAGTCCCAGCTACTTGGGAGGCTGAGGCAGGAGGACTGCTTGAGGCCAGGGGTTTAAGACTACAATGCAATATAATCACACCTGTGAATAACCACTGCACCCCAGAGGGGATACTAGAAATATTCAAATAATCTAAATGACAACAGAAAGAGAGGAACAAAAAATTCAAAAACAAAAGGACAAAAAGAAAACAATAGTAAAATGGCAGACCTACATACAACCATATCAATAATCACAGTAATATTGATCAAGTAAACACTTCAAACACAGATTATAATTATAAAAATTGACAGAAACAAAGCAAGTTCCAACTACATGATGTCTATAAGAGACATACTTATAAAGGCACAAAGACACTCAAAGTAAATGAATGAAGACAGACACACCATGCAAACAATAAGATCAAGAAGGCAGAGGTGATTCTATTAATATCATATAAAACTTCAAGAAAAAGAGTATTGCCAGTGATCAACAGGAACACTGAGTAAGAATAAAAGTAAAAATTCATCAGGAGAACACTTGACAGTCATAAATATGTAGGCTGCTAATAGCAGAGCTTCCAAATGCTTGAAGGAAATATTGACAATATTAAAGACAGACAGGAAAGTTCACAATTTCCACAACAGATTATCAAAGATCTTAACAACTCTCACCTTATACCTGATGGAAAAACTAACAAATATTACACCCAACAATTGCAGAATACACCTTATTTTCAAGTGTACATAGAATATTCATCAAGGTAGATACCATGCTGGACCACAAAACAAGCCTAAATAAATTTAAAAGGAAGGAAATCACACCTAGTATGTTCTCTGACCACAATGGAATTAAATTCAAAATAAATAATAAAGTACCTAAGAAACCATCAACTATTTGAAAATTAGAACACCTATACATAATCCATGCATCAAAGAAGTCAGAAGGGAAATTAGAATACACTTCAAGCCAAGTTATAATGAAAGTAAAACAAAATGTGAAAGGTGCAACTTTAAATGCTTATATTTAAAAAGAAAGAAAGGCCTAAAATCAATGACTGTTCTAGCAAAAGCACAAGGTACAACCAAAGTAAGTCTAAGGAACTAAAGAGCAGAAATCAATAAAGTAATAAAGAAAAGCCATAGAAACCATTAACAAATCCCGAAGTTGGTTCCTTAAAAAGACCAACAAGGCCAGGCACCGTGGCTCACGCCTGTAATCCCAGCACTTTGGGAGGCCAAGGCGGGTGGATCACGAGGTCAGGAGATCGAGACCATCCTGGCCAACATGGTGAAACCCCGTCTCTACTAAAATACAAAATATTAGCTGGGTGTGGTGGTGCACACCTGTAGTCCCAGCTACTCAGGAGGCTGAGGCAGTGGAATCACTTGAACCCAGGAGGTAGAGGTTGCAGTGAGCTAAGATCGCTCCACTGTACTCCAGCCTGGCGACAGAGCAAGATTCTGTCTCAAAAAAAAAAAAAAAAAAAAAAAAGACCAACAAAATTGACCAAACTTTGTCTACAATGATCAACAGGAAAAAAAGAAAATACAAATTATTAATATTAGAAACAAAGCAGGAATAATCTTACAGACCTTATAGACATTAAATAATAAGATAATATTATGAACTTCATGCCAACAAATTCAGCAATGTCAAGAAATAGAAACATTCCTTAAAAGATGTAACTTACAAAAACTAACACAGATGAAACAGAAAATATTAATAGCCTTATACTGAATAAAACTAAATAAGGCCAGGTGCAGTGACTTAACGCCTGTAGTCCCAGCACTTTGGGAGGCCTAGGTGGGCAGATCACTTGATCCCAGGAGTTTGAGACTAGCCTGGGCAGCATGGCAAAACATCATCTCTACAAAAAATACAAAAACTAGCCAGGTGTGGTGGCATGCACCTGTAGTCCCAGCTACTTGGGAGGCTGAGGTAGGAGGATCACTTAGCCTGGGAGGTCGAGGCTGCAGTGAGTCATAATTGTGCCACTACATTCCAGCCTGGGTGACACAGCAAGACCTTGTCTCAAAAAAAGCAAAAACAAAATGAAAAAAAAAAAAAAAACTAAATTTGTCAAAAACCATCCTACCAAAAAAAAAAAAAAAAATCAAAAACCAACTTCCAAGACCAAGATGGTTTTACTGGTGAATTCTCTCAAACTTTAAAGAAGAGATGACACCAATCTTATATGACTCTTTCAGAAAATAGAGGAGGGACAATTTTGAACTGTTTGAGTCCAGTACATCCTTAACACTGAACTCTGACAAAGACATTACCAAAAAAAGTTACAGAGCAATTATCCCTCATGAACATAGGTGCACACTTCTTAAAATGTTAGCAAATCAAATCCAGCAATATCTAAATTCCTGTCCAAGAAGAGTTTATCCCAATAATTAAAGGTTGATTTAACTTTAGAAATGTCAGTTTAATTTACCACATTAATGGAATAAAGGGGAAAACATAAATATATAAATAAGTTCAACTCTGTAACAAAAAGAAACAGCAAATATTTTTAAGTGGGTAAGCATGTGCAGAATGCTTACTTCACAAAGTAAGATATTTAAACACAGAAACAACACATGAAAAGTATTCAACAACCTTAGTCATCAAGGAAACAAACATTAAAACCACAATAGATACTAACACACACCAAAATGGATAAAACTAAAAAGAATGAGAACACAAAATGTTTGCAAGGATGCAGAGCAACTAGAACTCTCATACTTTATTGTAGCTGTATAAATTATATATTACCTTAGAAAGAGTCTGGCAGTTTCTTTTAAAACTGAGCAAGCACCGTACACTATGACAGCAATTCTGCTTGCAGATAAACAAAAACATATGTCTAAAAAAAAGCCCGTTAGAATAATGTTCATAGCAGCTCTTTTTAATAACTAAAAAAGTCAGCTGAAGTGTCTGGTAATATGACAGTAGATAAAGTGTGATATATGCATGAAATGAAATATCCTTCATCAAGGATAGGATTATTGGCGAAACACTGAATGCTTTTCTGCTTTTTTATAGTGGAAAAGTGATAACAGTGCTACCAGCCCACCACCTGTTTTTCAAAATAAAGTTTTATTGGAACACAGCCATGCCTATTCATTTGCGTATTATCTATGGTCACATTTGCACTGCAATGGCAGAGCTGAGTAGTTGCAACAGAGACCACATGGTGCGCAGGGTCTCTATTTACTATTTGGCTCTTTATAGGAAAAGTCTGCCAACTTCTCTTCATCAATAAAAAGGAATAAACTGCGAAAACATGTAATAACATAAATAAATCTCAAAAACATGCTGAAGGAATGAAGCTTTATACAAGAGAGAACATACTATACATGGCTGTATTTATATGAAGATCTAGAATTGGCCAAGCTAATCCATGATGGAGAAAATCAGAACAGAGTTGCCTGTGGGGGGGTGGGATGGGAACTGATTGGTAAGAGACAAGAGGATAATAAAATGTTCTATATCTTGACAGGAGTTGGGTTAAACAAAGATTGTCTCCTTTGACCAGAAATTTGGTCAGCTCCTCTGAGTCTTCTTTCTGACTAGATCCAGACCCTAGGCTTCCCTCTCTGTTCCTGTGGAATCCAGCTTGAGCAAGAATCCTGCTAAATCAGTTTAGGGAAACCCCTCCCCACCAATATCTGTCACACTCCTCACCCTCCACTCTCCATATGACCCTGGCCTGCCTTCAACACATAGTCTGTTGACCTTAACTAGCAAGAATCCCACCCACTGACCCCCAACTCTGCTCCTTGGTTATAAATCCCCATTTGTCCTTGCTGGAGTCAGAGTCAAACCCAATCTCTCTCCCCAGTACAAGACCCCACTGCAGTGGCCCCTCTACCTGTCACCATAGTCCCCCTTGAATAAAGTCTGACTTACTGTCTTTAACAAGAGTCATTAATGATTTCTTGCTTTAACATGTCGCATGGGTATCAGACCTTAGGAATGGTATCCCTAAGACTTGTGCATTTTACCGTATCTAAAATTATCCCTAAAGAAAGAAAAAATGTAAGACAGTAAACAAATTCAAGTTAATGATATACAAGTTGAAGTATCTGGGGGAAAAGTAAACCAAATACCTTTTTTTAAATGCATCATAAAAAGATGAACTGATGGATAAATGGAGGGCTAGAGACAGATAAATGTGATAAGGCATAGTAAACTGTTAACTTCAGTATCTGTATGGTGAGGACTTGGGTGTTCATTGTGAAATTCTTTCAACTTTTCTCTTTATTTGAAATTTCTCATAATAAAATGTTGGGGGGAGGGTTTACCTGCTGTGAGACTGTCATAATATAAACAATGAAAATAAAAAATTTCCTACTACTACGTTTTATGCATATTCATCCTTAAGACAACAAAGGGAAAGATCTTATATCTAAGAACACTTAGGATACAGCCTCGTTATGAGCCCAGAAGTGTACGAGAGCTGTGAGCTCAGTAAAGAGGGCTGAACAATTTAAAGTCAGCTTCTCCCACTGAGGTAACTACTTCCTACACTAGATCACATTCTAACATCAAATCTGAGGGCAAGTCTAGCCATTATATTTTAGGCCGATTTAAACAATGAAGAGAGATAGTATGTTTAATTCTATATACAGGGGACGTAATTTGTCCTGCACACTAACTGAATCTGATACGCTAACATGCTCTATACATCTGTTTTGTTGACTTTATTTTTAGCATCTATTACATATGAGGCACTGTTAACATTTTTATAGGGGAAAAGAGATAAAAGTGCTAACAGTAAAATACAAAGAAAATAATTGCAGTTCTGTTGAATTATGAGATTTTAAATATTGTGCTGTACTTTATCAACACTTAAGAAATATCACCAACTCTATTCAAAGCACTAGAGTAGGCAGATACAAATATAGGCCTTCGTTCATATACTTAGTCTGTTTCTATTTAAGATGATGAAAAATCTTGTTTTTTTTTTTCCTTTCTTAAAGAAGCCTCTTCATTACTTGAGATCACACTCATTAGTCATAGGAAATTACAGTCTTGTCAATTAACAAAAAGCCAAAATGAACATGTATCTATGACTGTCTTTCTCTATTCAAACCTACCCTCTGCACTAAATCAAATGTGTCTTGTCACTGCTGGGAGAGGCAAAGGACCCCTCCACAGCTTTCTAAGCGTCTGTCCCAGCTATGCACCTGCAGTGACCTTCTTGATCCTTTTTCCTTAGCACTTTTTACTTCCAACACTTTAAGCTTTTCATAATTTGGAAATCTGCCTTGTATCTTTTTCTGAATAATACTGCTTGACTATTGTAACTGTTTCCTACTTCCTCACCTACATATTACGCTCATGGGTTCACAGAGTTGGCACCAGAGGGAGTACAATGTTTTACCCAGCTGATATGGTCAGCAAATGTGCTAATCCCAAACCAGCAGGTAGCTATGTAGTTTTCCTTGTAACCACACACTTTTCAAAAGAAATGAGAAGTCTGCAGCTGTGGCTGAGAGGCCCGAGTGTGAATAAAAACTGCAAGCATGACTTTACAGTTCAGGAAATGTACAGCCAAAGAACTTCATCAATCTACATGCCATATCCCACTGACTGTCTTTGCAAAGGACTAGCCATTTATTCTAACCACCTGCTTCCAACTAATTAGCTGAGCTAAGGTAGATGCACTTATTTCAAGAGGTGGAAGTTTCAGAAGCATCTGCTTTATAGATTCTGATTACATGTGTCCATGGTTATTATGATGTTGTATAAAGAATGGCAATATATAAGCAGCCTCCAACTTATAAAGTCACATTTAGTTAGGATCTTAAATACAATCAGCATCTTCCAACAAAGACCAATCTCTACCCCTTGTCCTCCACATAAACAGAAGCCAGGAACCCCTGGTTAACAACCTTGAAAAAAAGCATCAGCCATGAGAAATCTGATCTGCTAGAGGGAATGGTCTCTTTCATGCCCAGGAGGCAGGCCTGTTGCCCCAGTACCTCCCTCATAGGCTGCCTGACCTGATGGCACAAGCACTTGCCTGAAGTTCCACTATTCAGACTCCTTTGGGTTAAAAATGTTTATCTCATAAGGAATAGAAACCAATCAGTGTTTTCAACAAATATCTTAAATTTGACCACTCTTACTAAAACGCAGCTGTGTTGGTGGCTGAGACTGCTGATGCAGAGGTGGGATATATAGATATAGATATAGATTAGATATAGATATAGATATAGATATAGATATAGATATAGATATAGATAATTTTTTGGAGACTGAGTTTTGCTCATGTTGCCCAGGCTGGAATGCAATGGCGTGATCTCGGCTCACTGCAAGTTCTGCTTCCTGAGTTCAAGTGATTCTCCTGCCTCAGCCTCCGGAGTAGCTGGGATTACAGATGCATACCACCATGCCTGGCTAATTTTTGCATTTTTAGTAGAGACAGGGTTTCACCATGTTGACCAGGCTGGTCTCGAACTCCTGACCTCAGGTGATCCACCCACCTCGGCCTCCCAAAGTGCTGGGATTACAGGCATGAGCCACCGTGCCTGGCCGGTATAAATTTTGAACACAGAATACTTCTGCGGGATAGGGTGGGCCTAGGTAGTATAACAGGGTGGAGTCCCAGGATAAGCAAGAGGGCACAAGAATCTGCAAACAGGATAACACCCTAGGGAATCAAAAGATAAACTTTACCTCTTTCACAATTTTGCCCAGGCCAGCCTTCATCCAGAGAAAGCAATCTACTTGGCCCTATTCACAGAATTATTGATATTACTAGTAACACTTCAATAACAGCTGTGTCAAATGGAGTTCATGCAGCAGTCACAGGTTAGTCCAAGAAGCTAGCTAGATATCCCACACAATATTGTTTATACAGAAAAGTCAATGCAAGTTCCAAACAACCTGAAAATGAGTACAGTGGAAACCACGGATTTAGATGTTGCTGAGCATTTTCTGAGCATCATCTTATTTAATAGCCACCACAATTCTAGGAGATAAGTACTATTCTTATTCCTATTTTACAGATAAGTAGAGTAAAAAGTAAATTAAATGACTTGATTGAAACCATATAGCAAAAAATAAATGGCATACTCCAAAGAAAATATACAAATGGCATATGAAAAGATGCTCAACATCACTAATCATTAGGGAAATATAAATCAAAACCAAAACCAGGTACCACCTCAAGCCCATTAAGATGGCTACTATTGAAAAAACAGAAAATCTAAAATGTTGACCAGCTGAGCAGTGTAGCTCACGCCTGTAATCCCATCACTTTGGGAGGCTGAGGCGGGTGGATCGCATGAGGTCAGGAGTTCAAGACCAGCCTGGCCAACATGGTGAAACCCTATCTCTACTAAAAATACGGAAAAAAAAAAGAAAAAAAAAAGCCAGGTGTGGTGGTGCACACATGCAATCCCAGCTACTAAGGAGGCTGAGGCAGGAGAATCAGCTGAACCCAGGAGATGGAGGTTGCAGTGAGCCCATATTGCACCACTGCACTTCAGCCTGGGCGACAGAGCAAGACTCTGTCTCAAAAAAAAAAAAAAAACCCAAAAAACTGTTGACGAGGATGTGGAAGAATCAGAATCTTTAATACACTGCTGGTAAAATTGTAAAATGGTGTAACCATGACAAAAACCAGTGTGGAGGTTCCTCAAAAAATTAAAAAAGAACTAGCATAATGATTTTGCAATCCCACTTCTAGGTAGATATCCAAAAGAATTGAAAGCGGGATCTCAGAGATATTTGCACACCCATATCCATGGCTACACTACTCCAATAGCCAAAAGGCAGAAACAACACAAACGTTCATCAGTGGATGAATTAATAAACAAAATGTGGGATATCCATACAATGGAATACTATTCAGCCTTAAAAGAAAAAGAAATCCTGTCACATGCTACAACATGGATGAACCTGGAGGATACTATGCTAAGTGAAACATGCCAAGCACAATAAGACAAACAGTATATGATTCCCATTATGTGAGGATCTAGCATAGTCAAATTCATAGTGACAGAAAGTAGAATGGTGGTTCCCAGGGGCCGAGGGAGAGGTAAAAAGGAGCGGCTGTTTAAGGGATACAGAGATCAGATTTGCACGATGAAAAAGTTCTGAAGATCTTTTTCACAGCAATGTGAGCATATTTAACTCTACTAAATTATACATGTAAAAATGGTTAAGATGGTAAATTTTATACTGTATCTTTTACCACAATTAAAAATAAAAAATGGAATAACTGGCCAGGCGTGGTGGCTCATGCCTGTAATACCAGCACTTTGGGAGGCCAAGGCAGGCAGATCACGAGGTCAGGAGTTCAAGACCAGCCTGGCCAACATGGTGAAACCCTGTCTCTATTAAAAACACAAAAATTAGCCAGGCATGGTGGCACAGTTCCTGTAATCCCAGCTACTCAGGAGGCTGAGGCAGGAGAATTGCTTGAACCGGGACCCGGAAGGCGGAAGTTGCAGTGAACCGAGATCATGCCACTGCACTCCAGCCTGGGCTATAGAGCAAGACTCCATCTCAAAAAAAAAAAAAATAGAATAACTGCACAAAGCCAGACTCAAAGGCAGGACTAATTCTAAATTCCATACTCTCCACTATGACTTTTGTATAATAAATAAATTACCTTCATTCATTCAGCAAAGATGAGTGCCAGCACAAGCACCAGGACTGCATCAGTTAATATAACAGCCACAGGTCTCTGCCCTCACACAGCTTAAGTTCTAGCAAATATAACTGATCATTTCATAAGGACACCTGAGTTACCCCTATATTCAAAGAAACTTTGCCAATATTTTAGTACTGCTTCAATGTCAGTTTTTTCCTCTCAAAAGCTATTAAAACAGAGACATGTAGCGATCTGAAGAGTTTCCCTTGATTTTTCAAGATCTCAGAGGCATCCTCAAATAACAGTCTTACTTTACTTGCTTTCTATTGAGTGGAATCCCCTGTTTCCTGATAATTCTATCATAAGCCCCAAATTAATAAATGTCCATGTTCCATTATTCACTAACCTAAACCTATTCATTCTTTATTATGTACCTGCCATCACTTTAAATTGCTTATCTAAGAAAGGTAAAACCAGGAAGCAGAAGAATATGGAAAGCATATTTCTAACTCAAGATTTCAACTGAAGACATACTGTTATTTAGCTAAGTAAGATTATTATTTATTTACATCATTTATACTAAACCTCTGATTCCAGTCCAAACAAGTCAGGTAATACCTATCAGTTTCAGTTATACAGGCTCTTTTCCTTTCTTTCTTTCTTTTGCAAATGTAGACAGCTGGCAACTATTCTCTCTCTCTCTTTAATAAATTCCTATAGAAAAGAATTTTTTCCAGGAAACAACAGACTTCAAAGACATATCAATTGGGCAGGGCCAATTGATCCTAGCACTTTGGGAGGCCAAGGCAGGCAGATCACCTGAGGTCAGGAGTTCAGGACCAGCCTGGCCAACATGGTGAAACCCCATCACTACTAGAAGTACAAAAATGAGCCAGGCGTGGTGGTGCACACCTGTAATCCCAGCTACTCAGGAGGCTGAGGCAGAAGAATTGGTTGCAATTGGGAGGTGGAGGTTGCAGTGAGCCAAGATTGTGCCACTGCACTCCAGCCTGGGTAACAGACCAAGACTCCATTTCCAAAAAAAAAAAAAAAAAAAAACAGATCAATTATATTAAATTAGCACTAAGCATCTTTTTCTTCCAGAATTAAGCCATCAGGTTTCCCCAAAAAGCAAGTCAGTTTAACATTCAAGTTCCAAATGCATCTTTCAAATTACACTTAGCATTCTACAAGATTTAGCCTTTTTTTTTTTTTTTAACAGCTAAGCTCTTTATATTCTTCTGTAGCTTCTCTAATTTCGCAGTGAGAGCTAAGGGTTTACATACAGATGACAAAAGTATCTTTGATAAAGAGTTCCAAAAGCTAACTGGAATGCAAATCCTAGAGTAAAACCATCTCACCGAGTAGACACGGTAGCTCAAAAGGAAAGAAAACGAGTATGCTAAAGGGATTTTCTATGTGGACTACATGCCTTATTGAAGCATGCTTATAAATATTAAAGTGTCATTTTGACTGCATTCATTTCAAGCCTCATTCAGAGACCTCAAGGTCTGAATCCCCCACAAGATGTCCCACAAATAGTAGTGACCAGGTTGTCATCATTCCCTGGAAACTGGGAACTTGCTTAGGAGCAAGATTCTTTTCTAATTGAGGAAAGCAGGGAAAAAGAGATTGACCAGTTTTGCCTTAAAAAGAGTATCACAAACCAAATTTTACCATTCGAACCCTTCATTTAACTGTAAGAGAAAATTACTGTTTTTGATTTAAAATGCTTTACCTGAATTTGAAACAAAATATTTGCAATAAGGGCTTATAAGGCTCATTTATTTTTTTAAAAACCTGTATCATTTAAATGTTCATAACATAGTGTCACATGAAAAAAGGCACAAAACTATATATATATATGTATATATATACATGTATTATATATGTATATATATATATGTGTATATATATATGTATATATATATGTGTGTGTGTGTATATATATATATATATATATATATATATATATATATATGGATTCTATTTTTCAAAAACTGTATATTACTGTATACGCCGTAGTTATCTTCCAAAAACAGGACACTGCTTTTATCCAAGGACCTCACAACATCTGGCAGGAATCTCTTGTTATTTCATTTGGCTTGAACAAAATAGGGTAGCAGCTGTCCTATGTTACTAAACAGCTTGGGGTCACAGAGGATCATTTTATATTAGGGATATATGACATGTATGTATGCTTTCTGTATTTATGTTTTATACACACCGAGTATATATATATATATATATAGAGAGAGAGAGAGAGAGAGAGAGAGAGAATATGTATATGTGCATAAAATATAGAGTAATATATGTGCATAGATAAAAGCTGGAAAAGATAAATGCAAAATGAACAGTGATTACTTCCGGATAACATGAGAGCTACAATTTAAATTTTCTATTTTGTTATTTTTTTTCCTTTCTACAAAAAAAGCTAAAATATTTATTTTTCTATTGTACTGAACTGGTTTCAATGGCAGAACTCTTTCCTCACATGGTATACCTTTCAGGTTCCACTATGGAAGAGTAATTTTCAAGTTCTCTGCCATTTTTCTAAAATTGTCAACATTTCCAGGTACTCTGGTAAATTTGTTTTAAGGAAAAGGAAGCTTAAAATGTGATAATTTCCTAATCAACACTTCGGTACTGCAAATCAAATCCTTAAAGATTTACCTTCATCATACATTTCCTCTATCAAATAGGCCTCTGCTCGATCTTTCAGGGCATTCACATTGTCAGGTTCCATCTGTAAAACTTCAGAACAAACCCTAATAGCTTCAACAGGCTTCTCGTCCTAAAAGGAAATGTGAGACAAGGATTTATGGTTGGTATTCCACATGTTGAGTTTTCACATTTCTGGGAACAAGTCAACTGTTACCTTAGAAAAGCAGTGGCAAATCCTCTCCTTTGAACGAACTGTATATTCAGCAATGCTTGGCTCTGTTTTCATGACAGATTCATATTTGCTGGTAGCATCTGTGTATCTAAGAAATGAGCAAATCATGATAAGAAATGATGACATTTGATTTCCAGAGCTGTAGAAAGGCTCCTCCCCTCTTCACCATGTGTTGCTTAATCAATCCAATTGGATGAGCCCATGGCTTCAGATTCGGCTTTTCCCTTATTAATCTAGAGTCCCATAGAAGGTACACTCCATAATTAAGAGTTAGGAAATAAAAACATATGACCATAGGAGATGCAGATGGACAGAACAAAGCATACCTGTGAGTATAAGTACCAATCAAACCAGAAGAATTTCCTTACAGAAACATTGCTCAGAATTCCAAACCTGAGTAAAACACCCTGTTGAAGTCTGACTTACACTGAGCACCTTGAACAATACAGAGATCAAGTTTTATTTCTTGGTCAGTAAACACTTCCATGAAAATAATGGAACCCATTACGTGCCATTTTATATAATTAATGTCAGTATTTACAACAAAGTACAACGTAGTTCACACAAAAGGTACCTGATTAAATTCCCAACTGTATAAGCTTTCTAAGAATAAAAGCTATTTCAGCATTTTCTTTAAACCAGTAAAAAGTACTAATCCTGTTATATACTCAGTTATTTCCCTCAACAATAGTAAAGTAAAAAATATGTTTCTATGCCATGGTGGCACACTATTCCCAAAGTGCTACAATCTTCATATGTAAATATGCCAATGTATTAAAACACAGGCTTAACTAAAACATTTAAAATAAAAGCCAGCTTCTCTATCATCCTCAGCAAACTAACGCAGGAACAGAAAACAAAGCACTGCATATTCTCACTCATAAGTGGGAGCTGAACAATGAGAACACATGGACACAGGGAGGGGAACATCACACACGGAGGCCTGTGTGGGGCAGGCAGCAAGGGGAGGGAGAGCATCAGGACAAATAGCTAATGCATGTGGGGCTTAATACCTAAGTAATGGGTTGATAGGTGCAGCAAACCACCATGGCACACGTTTACCTATGTAACAAACCTCCACATTCTGCACATACATCCTGGAACTTAAAGAAGAAAACAAAAAAGCCAGCTTCTGGGAAAGTGGAATAGATGTATTTGTCCCAAGTGCTCCAGCTAAGCACAACTAAAAAACCCTAGAGATTATATGTATATTTTTTAAAATAGAAAACTTTCAAAGGAGGAAAAGAGACAGACTAGCTAGTGACTCAGGACCTGAGGAAAACATGGTAAGACGTTCCCTGGGTTCTTTTTTTTTGTTTCATATATCCCAGACTTGGAGCTGAAGATTCCAGCAATGCAGAAACGCCAACAGGTACAGAACGACAATAACAAAAACCTGCAGAAGTCTGCTCTGTCTAGCCAGAGGACCTGAAAAGGACAGACTTGCAAACAGAAAACATTTTTTTTAGAGACGGAGTTTCGCTCTTGTTGCCCAGGCTGGAGTGTAATGGCACAATCTCGGCTCACCGCAACCTCAACTTCCCGGGTTCAAGCGATTCTCCCACCTCAGCCTCCGCAGTAGCTGGGATTACAGGCATGCGCCACCACGCCCGGCTAATTTTGTATTTTTAGTAGAGACAGGGTTTCTCCGTGTTGGTCAGGCTGGTCTCAAACTCCCAACCTCAGGTCCTTCAATGGATAAATGGTTAAACAAACTGCAGTAAATCCATACCATGGAAACTACTCAACAGTAAACAAGGAGGAATTATTGATACAATATGGATAAATCTCCAGACAATTCGAATGAGGGGGAAAAAAGCCCATCCTGCCAGCTGTGGTAGCATGCATCTGAAGTCCCAGCTACTCAGAAGGCTGAGGCAGAAGGATCACTTGAGTGTACTATGACTGTATCTGTGAACAGGTGGGCAACATAGTGAGATTGTCTCAAAAAAAAAAAAAGCCAATCCCAAAAGTTTATACATTGTATGATTCTATTTATGTAACATTCTTAAAATGACAGAATTCTACAAGTGAATAGATTAGTGGTTGCCACAAGCTAAGGAAGGGATAGGAACAAGAGGGAAGTAGGTGTGGCTATAAGGGCAACATGAGGTGTCCTTGTTGGGATGGAATTATTCTGTATCTTGACTGCACCCACGTCAATATCCTGATTGTGACAATGTACTATAGTTTTGCAAGGCGTTATAGTCTGCAAGATGTTGGGGGAAACCGAGTGAAGCATTCTCATGATGGCAACTTACAAAGCTACTAAAAGTAGAGGAATTGGAGCCTATTTTCTATTAGGCAGTTTTGTCTGCAGTGCCCTCTACTCTTTTCAGTCCTCCTGCCCAGCCTATAAACCCCCTACAAACAACACTCACACAGACACAGCCTCTTACTTCTGTCCACTTTTACTTATTCTTTAGGATTAGGATTTAAATATCTATCACCTTCTCTAAAAAAAAAAGCTCCTCTTTTACTCCTTGCCTTTACCATCCTGGTTTGGAGTAAATACTCCTCTTTGGTACTCCAATTATCCTATGTACATTCTATCACTTTGGTATCATATTGTCTTTTAATAATCAATTCATATATTTGTCTCCCACGCAATGCTATAAACTTCTTAAGAACAAAAACTATTGTCAAGTTTAAGTCTGCACCCTCAGTACATAGCTCAGCCTGATATAGGAGATAATAAATATTTGGTATAGTACAAGTAATTCTGCTGGTAAGGATACTACACAGTTACTATTATTTATATTCTTCCCTATTCCAAAAATGTCCAATTCTGGTAGTTTTGCTAAGGCCCAGGGCTATCTAGAATACCCCACCCTCAATGGCTGAGAAGTAAAAGAGCAGTTCTGTAGTTCACTTGTGCCCACAGCCCCGCACATAAGGAATGGCTGGACAGTTGGAACAACCATATTCTCACCTGCCATCTCTGATGAGCTCTTCAGCTGACTCAATCAGCTTATTAAGTTTCTTTACTTGTTTATAGTGTGCAAAACACCTTTTATGATCCTGGTCAAGTTTAAGACATTCCCGAACTTCACTGTTCATGTATTTAAAAAAGGAAAATACTCCATGTCAAAACAATCAATGAGTAGTTTTCCACAGAAATCACAATAAAAGTATTTTTTGTTTGCAACGATTAAACAAAAACCATACTGAGACTTATAATTTACTATATACATTTATACGTGGCATTGTACCATGCATACATTTGTTAATTCAAATTAAAATGACTTACTAGCATTATATAGTAAACATTCCATTTTGTTTCTATAAATATAAGAGCCTTCCTGTTTAATAAGCAGCTTCATGAAAACAAACTATGTGGAATTAAAGTAACTTGGGAATAACACAAAATATATAAATGGATATACAATATAAAAACAGCCTTAACTACCATCATCTTATTAATTTAATATTAAAATGTTAAAACAAGATGAGGTAATCTTACTGCCAACAATTAAAAAAGATCAGACATGTGTGTCACTAGAACTGACCTGAGGGACAGTTCGTGGTCTCCTAGTTGGTAGTACAGTGTGCTTATTTTATAAAACGCTTCAGTATTATCATTCTTCAACTTTGACGCAGCTTTTAAGTCACTTATAGCTTTCCTAGGTTCTCCTTCTTTTATAAAACATTCAGCTCGAAGTTCCCGTAGTTCTGCATCCCAAACACAAACCTTGAGGAACAAAAGAACTAGACTTTAAGAAAGAATAAATTATGCACATTCATTGTTGCATTCCACGTATTTTTTATCTACGTATTTATCAACATAAAACATTCTCAATTGATGTGATGACTTATATAGTGCAAATATTATTTTAAAATCTGATACAATTTAAATGTGACAAAACTGATGTGACAAAATAGTTTCTCCAAAAATGTTGTAAATGAATTCTAATGGGGGAAGAGATATATATAATAACAAGGCCCTTTTCTTACCTCCTTCGATTATATAATTCTAAGACACTGAAAATAAGAAAACATAGCATTTACTATTGGAGGGTTGTTCCTAGTGAAGCATATTTGAAGAGAATATTCTGTTATCAGATTTTTATACTTAATCAACAATTCTAATTTGTAGTCAAAAAAATAAAACCTAGGTTCTACATTGGCAAAATACTTTTTTCTGCTAATAACCACATTATGTTCTTAGCTGGGCACATTGACTCATGCCTGTAATTCCAGACCAGCTTAGGCAGCAAAGCAAGATCTCATCTCTATAAAAAGTTTAAAATTATTAACTGGGTGTGGTGGAACACACCAGTGGTCCCAGCTACTCAGGAGGCTGAGATGGGAGGATCACTTGAGTCCAGGAGTTCAAGGTTACAGTGAGCTACAATCGCACCACTGCACTCCAGTCTAGGTAACAGAGAGAGACCCAGTCTCTAAACAAAAACCTTTTTTAAGAAATTATCTTCTGTAAATGTCACCGCCTTAAAAGTAAATCCTCATATCAAGAAAAAGAAAGAAAGAAAGAAAAAATACCGTGAGAGGGCAGGAGGTTGAGGCTTCACCATTCCTATTTTATCAAAAAGTCCATAAGGGTTTAGGAAACACAATAGTATTCTTCAAATCATAAACCCAAGAGCTCATCAATAAGGCTGGTGGAAGTATCTTTGCATATTTCTTAGAGCTGCTCTAAAGTCGTATCGACTTTTCACATATACAAAAATATCAAAACCAACATTATACATAAATATCATGGACAATGAACTAAGTTCAAAATGGATAGTCTATGGGAATGTAAAAATGTAAACTATATTTCCTTAAAAAAGCATAAACAAAATAACCCAGTAAAACATGAATTCTACTGGACCATATCACAATATCTTCTGTAAAATTATCAACAAATTGCCCATTCTACATACATCATAAGTTTAGAGCCAAAATTAAATGAAACTGTATATCAAAATACTGTGAAAATCACAAATAAATGTGAATTACGACTGCTTCCATTTGAATATTTCAGTAGACTTCCTTCGGAAATCAGTTGTCATTAAATCCTTCAGAGGCAAGGAAACCTAGACTCAGGTTTCCCTAGCTAGAACTCTCTGGATCCTATCAACCATTATTATTATTAACTTTTTTTTTTTTTTTTGAGACGGAGTCTCACTCTGTGGCCCAGGCTACAGTGTAGTGGCTCACTGCAACCTCTGCTTCTCAGGTTCGAGCGCCTCAGCCTCCCGAGTAGCTGGGATCACAAGCATGCACACCACACCCAGCTAATTTTCTTTTTTTTTTTTTTAGACACAGGATTTTGCCATGTTGGCCAGGCTAGTCTCAAACTCCTGGCCTCAAGTGATCCACCCACCTCGACCTCCCAAAGTGCTGGGATTACAGGCATGAGCCACCACACCCAGCCAATTATTAATATTTTTAGAGGCAGGGTCCCATTCTGTCGCCCAGGCTGGGGTACAGTGGAGCAATCACAGCTCACTGCAGCGACAAATTCTTGGGCTCAAGTGATCCTCCAGCCTCAGCTCCCAAGTAACTAGGACTACAGGCACATACTATCAACTCTTTATCTGCCTTATTCTCTAGAAATTTTTCTCTAAACATTCCTCTTTCCTCCCGAACATCATTTTTCCTTTTACTCCAACCATCTTTTTCATCTTTTATCCCATTATCTAACCGCTAGAGTTTTCTTCCCAAAAAAATACAAAATCAACTAAAATAGCAAAGCAAGCAATTTATAAACATATTTAACTCTCATGCCACAGCACATTCAGTACATTTACTGAAAACTTCAGTCCAAATTTTGTTGTCTAGGAACACTATTTTATACTTAAGAGGCAAAAGCCCAAGGACCAACCTGATTTTCTCCTGTCTAGGTCTTTGTGGTATGTGACATGTCGAAGTATATAAATGTGCCTTACAATAAGTGTCAGGCTGGTCAACTGCAGTATCTAAGAAACTTACCTCTAAAATCTTATCAAGGAAGGCTATAGCAGCAGTATAATCTCCACTTCCAAAAGCGTTAAGTGCTTGTGAACGCAAACGCTGCATTTCATCAGATTTTATAAGTTGAGACTGTGCTTCCTTTTCTTCATTTTCACTTGGATTAGATTTGAGCTATAAGGAAAATAAAAAACTAAGCAGAGTTTTTAATCTCTTAAATCTGATACCTGTAATATACACAAGGGTAAACCATTCCAAATACTTAAGTTCATTGGGTAAAAAGGGTAAAGAGATACTGGAAAAACTGGCTTGTCTGATGACTGGATGCAGCAGGGAAGGCCCTTGATTTCTACCGATATGGTCCATGAGCATGAACAACAGATCTAGACTCAGAAGACCTGGGTCCCAAAAACTTACCGGGAAGCAAATACATGTAGGCACGTGAAAGGACAGAGAAGAACGGAGGAAGGAAAGCACGTTTTTCACTTTCTTACATATAGCTCTGCAGAATAAATTAACTTGAGTTTTATTTATTTTGCCTTCTACTTATAGTTCCTAAGTATTTTTTTAAGTATAAAATAACCAAAATAATGAAACACATAGGGAAACTGAAAGAAGGGGCCAGCTTTTTTAGAGGTTGTAAGATTTAAAAAAAGATCTGATACCAAAAGGGTTAAAGTACAAGAAAGAATTTAGAAGGAAATAAGAGTAATACCTTACTAAAAGGTGCATGATGTGGCTTTAAGAGATCTGCACACTGCCTCTTTTTAAAATAACTTTATAAAGACATAATTTATATAGCATAAAATTGCTCATTTCAAATGTACAATTCTATGATTTTTTAAAAAATAAATTTACCAAGTTGTGCAGCCATCACCACAGTTTTAGACCATTTCCATCACCCCAGTAAGATCCCTTGTTTTTACTTACAGTTCATCCCCACTCCCAACCCCAGCCCTGTGCACAGGGACTCTTAACAATTTCTTCCTCCAGACAAAAAATAATTATCTCAGAAAACCAGGTAGCTACATTTTTTTAAGCCTGAGGGAGGGGAGGTTAAGATTGTAGTTTATATTTAATAATTTTTGAAATCTTAATATTCTTACTAAGATGCAAACTATAACT
This sequence comes from Homo sapiens, assembly GCF_000001405.40. Lineage (NCBI taxonomy): Eukaryota > Metazoa > Chordata > Mammalia > Primates > Hominidae > Homo > Homo sapiens. The sequence goes on along the minus strand of NC_000013.11, from coordinate 95,756,692 downwards.
AAAGGGTTCCAATTTTGGGTTAGGTACAGACAAGGGAAAGTTAATTCTAGAAATCTCCCTCCTCAATGAGTCAATCATATTCCTCCTTTCAGTGGATTAATTTTTAAAATATACTCCCACTACCAACCTGGTGGGACAGAACACTCCAAATGAGAAACTTTATCAATATTATTTCTTGGTAAGGGTTTTATACTTGTCCATTTTGTGTTTTAGGATATTTTAGCTATTCTATTTTAGCTATTCTATTTTGTCTGTTTTAACCCTTGACTTGTGAAGAACAGGACTTGAAGTACTCATTGGTAACTAGGAATTGGTAACCTCCACTCACTCTGGGGGAGGGTTTCCCGGAATGATTGCATCATCCAGTTTAAGGGTGTTGTTTGGAGTCAGACATGCTTGTCTCTGTCTGTTTTATCATCCTTAGGGTGGTCTTGAATACTTCGGATAAACCCCATCGGAGAGAGTATGAATGTGTGTGCACTGTCACTTTGCTCTGGGTAAAAGTTTATTGATAACGTGTTTCCTATGAGTACACTACTGACCCTCTTAGATAGAATGTATCAAAGACTGACTGCCTCTTCAGGATCGTATTTGCACCTTTTTTTCCTCTCAAACATTGGAGTCTAATTTCTTCCACACAATTTTTCTTGTTGGAAGGTGAGAGGAGAAGCCCTAAATCTCGGGACAGAGGCTGGAGGGCTCAGGTAATGGAAACAGGAAAGAGGGAGTGAGCTCAGGTCATCTAGGCCTCTGTGAGGCCAGAAGAGAGGTGGGGAAGAGGGAGAGAGGATTCTTCCAAGGAAGTAAGAAAGGAGTTGGAGAAACGAGGGGCTTCCTTAGAAGCCTGAGAGTTTCAAAGAGAGTCAAGCCAGATGAAATTAGGGTTTTGGGGGATTTTTTTTTATTCTTTTTTTTTTTTTTTTTTTTTTTTTTTTTGAGACGGCGTCTCGCTCTGTCACCTAGGCTGGAGTGCAGTGGTGCAATCTCAGGTCACTGCAACCTCCGTCTCCTGGGTTCATGCAATTCTCCTGCCTCAGCCTCCTGAGTAGCTGGGACTACAGGCATCCGCCACCATGCCCGGCTAATTTTTGTATTTTTAGTAGAGATGGTGTTTCACCATATTGGCCAGGGTGGTCTCGAACTCCTGACCTTGTGATCCGCCCGCCTCAGCCTCCCAAAGTGCTGGGATTACAGGCGTGAGCCACTGAGCCAGGCCCATTTTTTTATTCTTTAAAGAGACAGGGGACAGGGTCTTGCTCTGTCTCCCAGGCTGGAGTGTAGTGGCATGTTCTTAGCTCACTGCAATCTCCAGCTCCTCAGTTCAAGCAATCCTCCAGCCTCAGCCTCCCAAGTAGCTGCAACTACAGGTGCATGCCACTACAGCCAGCTAATTTTTTATTATTTTTTGTAGAGACAGGGTTGTCTCACTATGTTGCCTAGGCTGGTCTCCAACTCCGGGCCTCAGGTGATCCTCCTGTCTCAGCCTTCCAAAGCACGGGATTACACATATGAGCCACTGTGCCCGTCTGAGATGAAGATTTTTATTATTACCATGAGGCTGTTGACTCCTCTCAATCACCCCCTTGTTTTCTCTACACCTGCATGTAGAGAATGGCCCTTGCTGACAATTCCCTCATTCTTCCCTTTTTCATGTTTCTTGACATCCTTTCTCTTCCTTAGGGCTTTCACATTTCTGACTCTTTCTGCCAAATCCCTTCCTGTAACAATATTTTATATTTTTTACTTCTCACTATGTATCCTGGTCACTGAGCTTCTGGAAAAATAACCCGTAATAGCTACGGGATGGGGGCTTGTTCAAAGAGATGATCTGCCTTCTGTATGACTGCACCTCTACTTCTGGCGCCTCAAATAAAAACACCAGGTTGGCAGTTGTGGTAAGCAGCCTTCTAAGATGGCCCCCAGTGATCCTCGCCTCATGGTATTCATGCCTTTCTGGAGCATGAGGTGGACCTGGTAACTCCTTTTAACAAACAGAATAACCCGGCTAATTTTTTCTGTTTTCAGTAGAGACAGGTTCTCACTATGTTGTCCTCCTGGACTCATGTGATCCTCCCACCTTGGCCTCCCAATGTGCTGGGATTACAGGCGTGAGCCACTGCACCCAGCCCATGCCTGGCCTTTTTTTTTTACATTTAAATCTTTGATGCATTTTGAATTTATCCTACTATAAGGTAAGAGAGGTATGAACCTAGGCCTATTGTTTTGCAGTATAAAAGTTTGTTAAAAAACAGAGTATGACCAAAGTGATAAGCTGTCACGTCCTTGATTAGGTCACAAAAAACTGACTTCCATGGTGCTAGCACTCCCTCTCACCTTCTCACTTGCTGGCTCTGATAAAGCAAGCTGCCATGTTGTGACATGTGAGAGGCCCGTGTGAGAAGCAACCAAGGGAAGACTTTGGCCAACAGTCAAACACCTCAAGAGGAACTAAACCCTGCCAGCTGAGTAAGTTTAGGGGCGGATCGTTTACTGGCCAAGCCCTCAGCTACTATTGCAGCCCATCTCACATCTTGACTGTAGGCCATGACCCTGCAGTAAGCAGCAGACCCTGCTACACCATGGCCAGATTCCTAACCCCATAAACTGTGAAATCATATAAATGTGTGTTACTTAAGCTGCTAACGTTGGATAATGTGTTATCTAGCAGCAGATAGCCAACACAGGAGTAACACAGTGTGGAAGTTTTACCATTTCTCAGTGACCGGGCTGTGAATATTTCCAAACAGATATTGCTTTTAAATAAAGTCTAGATGAATGAATTAATTAAACCCCATTCCTGGCAATCAGTAATTACCTATGTGTTTTCTGCATTTTCTTTACCAATAAAAGAGGGATAATAATACCAATATCCTGTAGGGCAGTCACTGAGAGATTAAGAAGATACTCTATGTAACACATAGCAAGTACTCCAAAAAGTGCTAATACACACTTTAAAAAGATGCTCAATTTATTTTCCATTGCATTAGATATTAGCCCACTTAAACTGGGTCCCTTGTATTAAAGTTACAGTGATTAAGGTCCTAGAATAATAGAACCTTTCTTTGACTTCTCTGAATTCAAAATAAAATTAGACTTTGGCATAAAATATATTCAATGAATTGCTAATTCCTCAAGAAATTAATATTTCTAATTCTATTTAATTAATGTTTTGGGATAAGTAGCAAAAATTTAAATTTTCATTTGATATTATTTGATAACATAGAAAAATATGTAACACTTGAGGTATATGCAACATTACATTCTGCAGTGACTTCTAGAATTTGCCTTCACATATTCTTTCTGCAGTCTTTGTTAAAAGAACTATATAAAAATAACACTAATTTGAATGTCCAAAAAAAAGAAAAAGAAAAAAACATAAAGAACTGTTTTTGGAAACAATAGTATACAAGTCAGGGGGTGAGCGACTGAATTAAAGCATTCTAAAATCCTTGTGTTTTGATTACCTTGTTAAACATGCATATTAAAATTCCTGAGGTAACGAGTATGAGAAAAACACACAGCATGTACAACCATACGGAAAGAACAGACTAAGGAAGAAGCAGCTAAATCCATTAGGGGTGGGGAGAGAGCAGGAGGGAAGAAGAAGGAGGATGGACGAATGGAAAAGAAATAGTTGGATAACTAGAACCCAACAGAAATATACACAAGAGACCTCAAAGGGCCTTTCTCACATTAACAGGTTAGCAAAATTCACACTATCTGTTCACATGAAGTGTTGAAGAAGTGGCATACCTAGAACTCCCCTATGCTGCTGGTGGGAATATAAATTCACATAACCACTTAACAGGACAGGCCAAATTTCTCTGCCACGCTAAAAATACCCATAACCTTAAAGTAGTAACCACTCTCTGAGGCAGATAACACTGTAGCAGTGATTCTCAAAGTGTGACCTAGGAACCCCTGGGATTCCTTAGTGCCCTTTCAGGGGTCTGTGAGTACAAAAGCATGTATGGATAAAAGATAAAGAACCCATTCAAAGGGCAAGATAAACCAATGCATTTTATTATAACAGAGAGTGCTGTAAGTTAATTAATAAGGATTCAGAGTCCATATGTAACTAACCTATATAATCGCGAGTGGAGTTTTGTGGAACATCAAAGAAGAATACTCGTAATTATCTAAAAAGAATACAAAAACATTCTTCCTTTTCTACCTGCATATCTGTGAGGCCATAGTATCTTCAATATACTTCAACCAAAGCACAAATCACAACAGATTGAATATAGAAGCAGATATGAGAATTGTTATCTTCAATTAAGACAGATATTAACAAAATTTGCAAATATGTGAAACAAATACTACTCTTAATAATAAAATTTGGTTTTTGAAAAGTTATTTTTACACAAAAAATACATTAACATGTAGTAACTTTTCATTAAGTTATTTTAATTTCTCAAATTTATTTCTAATATAGTAAATACCGATAAACAAAGCTCTTTGGTGACCTCAGTAATTAACACTATAATGAGATCCTGAGGCCAATCCCAAGAACCACTGTCCTAGACACACCCTGCACAAGGAAAACGGACACAGAGGATGAGCTCAAATAGTTGATTAATTCATAACTAATGAAGCAGGAAAATGTAAGGATATAGCTAATTGATGTGGTTTGGCTGTGTCCCCACCCAAATCTCATCTTGAATTGTAGCTCCCATAATTCTCATGTGTCATGGGAGGGACCTGGTGGGAGGTAATTGTATCACGGGAGTGGGTCCCTCCCATGCTGTTCTCATGATAGTAAATAAGTTTCATGATCTGATGGTTTTATAAAGGGCAGTTCACCTGCACATGCTCTCTTGACTGCTGCCATTTAAGAAGTCCCTTTGCTCCTCCTTCACCTTCCACCATGATTGTGAGGCCTCCCCAGCCATGTGAAACTGTGAGTCTATTAAACCTCTTTCCTTTATAAATTACCCAGTGTCGGGTATGTCTTTATTAGCAGCATGAGAACAGACTAATACAGCTAATGTCTCCTAATTGTAACACATAAAACAGATACCTTCAAAAATTCCAAAAGACTCTTGTGCCATCTTGTAGTTTTTAATCAAACCACTCTGTTTTCTCAAGTCCCACCTCCTCCAAGCTTTCTGGAGTAATCGCCTTTCCTCTAAATATTTATATCACTTTAAGAAACCCTTCAAAATGGAGGTATCCTAAGAAATCATCTTGTCCAATTAACTCTCACATTATAAGTGAAAATCCTGAGTCTCACAGACAGTAAACAACTGGCCCAACATCACACAGTTAATCAAGAGAAAAACTGAAGTGGGTCTCCTATGTAGTTCTCAATCTTATCTTGTTACCTAGACAGCTCATATGTCAACTTCTCACAAGTTTCTCTGTATTGTTCATCTTGCACATACATGTTTAGGACTTATTTCCTGCAACTAAAGTGTAAATTGCTAAAGAGCAGAATATATGTCTTTTTTGTTAAATTAGACAGGGTCTCCCTCTGTCACTCTGGCTGGAGTGCAGGAGCATGATCAGAGCTCACTGTAAACCTCAGAGCCCTGGGTTCAAGTGATCCTCCTGCCTCCACCTCCCAAGTAGCTAGGACTACAGGTATGTGTCACCATACCCAGTTAATTATTTTATTTTCTGTAGAGACATGGCCTCACTATGTTGCCTAGGTTGGTCTCAAGCTGCAATCCTCCCACCTTGGCCTTCCAAAGTGCTGGGATTACAGGTGTGAGCCTCCTCAACTGGCCCTAGAATATATGTCTTAAGTCTATTTTGTATACTTACTACAGATAACTTCCCACTAGAGATGCTTCCTTGCTTTTCTTTTTCATCTAGTACTAAGAATACTACCCATGAGCTTGGTTTTACTATTTCCAGTTTACAGACAAATTGAATAATTGGGCCAGGTGTGGGGGCTCAGGCCTGTAATCCCAGCACTTTGGGAGGCTGAGGTGGGTGGAATACTGGAGGCCAGGAGTTTGAGACCAGCCTGGCCAACATGGAGAAACATCATTTCTACTAAAAAATACAAAAATTAGCTGGGAGTGGTGGCGCAGGTCTGTAATCCCAGCTACTTAGGAGGCTGAGGCATGAGAATTGCTTGAACCTGGGAGGCAGAGGTTGCAGTAAGCAGAGATCACACCACTGCACTCCAGCCTGGGCAACAGACCAAAACTCCATCTCAAAAAAAAAAAAAATTGAATAATTATATAACTTGCTGTAAGTCTTGCTTAAATTCAAACTAAGGTCTCTATCTCTAAAGCCCATGCTATAGATGACGATGGAGATCAATCATGACAGCAGAAAACACTTATTGAGAGCTTTCTGTGCTCCAGGCACTACTCTAAGCTAAACCTAAAACCTTAAAGGGCAGATCAGATTATCTCCCTTCTATACAGGAGTAAACTGTGGGGTTTGTTTTCTGGGTTTTTTTTTTTTTTTTTTTTTTGAGACAGGGTCTTGCACTGTCACCAGGCTGGAGTGCAGCCATTTATTGAAGAGATTGATGGGAGAGGGGTAGCAATGGGTCGAAGACGGGAAACGGAATTCCACATTGTCCCTGTTACTGAGATGCCATTTAGGCGTTCGATTGGAGACATCTAAATGTCAAGTAGGCAGCTGCCTGCCTGATATTGGATGTGTACATAAGAGGACTCTGGAAACAGCTATCTGAGTCACAGCATAAAGTGCTATCTTTAAAACACTAATTAGAGGCTCACTACAACCTCCACCTCCCAGGTTCAAGCAATTCTCCTGCCTCAGCCTCCCGAGTAGCTGGGACTACAGGCATGGGCCACCACGCCCAGCTAATTTTTTTGTATTTTTAGTACAGACAGAGTTTCATCTTGTTGGCCAGGATGGTGTCAATCTCCTGACCTGATGATCCGCCTGCCTCGGCCTCACAAAGTGCTGGGATTACAGGTGTGAGCCACTGCACCTGGCTGAAACTGTGGGTTTTAAAGATAGCACTTTATGCTGTGACTCAGATAGCTGTTTCCAGAACCCTCTTATGTACACATCCAATATCAGGCAGGCAGCTACCTACTTCACATTTAGATGTCTCCAATCCATCACCTAAATGGCATCTCAGTAACAGGGACAAAGTGGAATTCTGTTTCCCATCTTCAACCCATTGCTATCCCTCCCCATCAATCTCTTCAATCAATGGCTCTACTTTATCATTTAAGCCATGAATCCTAAAAGTCAGTAGTTCCCTCTTTTCCTGATGTAATAGAGTCTTACTCCATTTTACTGCTGGCATCTTTTAGGCTCACCCCTTCCTCTTTCCCTTTGGCCCATATCTCAGCAAGCTGATAAGAAAACACATTTGAATCTCTCTCAAAGAGGGATGAATCTAAAAATTGATGGAGTCTTACCATCAGCCAGTCAGCATGATCATACATACACAAGAATGGTCTAGCACACTTCATTTGTGTTATGGGCATTTTTGGTACTTACTACACATGCTGAGTTTAAATTCCACTTAAAATCTTCAAGAAATTAATGTATGCAGGAAGGCAATGAATACAGCAGTATGATATAACAAAAATGCATATCTAAGTCTCAAACAGTTCTTTCCATAAGCATAAATTAAAAATATTGTTATAAGATGGCTTTAATTGGCAGCATTTATTCTTCTAGTAGTACATAAAATAATTTGTCTTATAATTGATAGCTCCTTACAGTTGGTGAATTACAGTATGTGATCCAGTATTAAATCTGAACCAATAAAAACCAGAACAGTTATCTGAATCATAGCATAAAGTGCTATCTTTAAATTATAACCAAAATGACTTTATGACTTAAAAGTACCATTCTCCTTTATTCTCAGTTCACAATACTTTGAGTATTCTTTTAAAACTTTGGGTTTTTTTGTTTGTTTGTTTGTTTGTTTTGAGACGGAGTCTGGCTCTGTCACCCAGGCTGGAGTATAGTGGTGCAATCTCAGCTCACTGCAACCTTTCCCTCCCAGGTTCAAGCAATTCTCCTGCCTCAGCTTCCTGAGTAGCTGGGATTACAGGCGTGTGCCAACATGCCCAGCTAATTTTTGTGTTTTTAGTGGAGACAGGGTTTCGCCATGTTGGCCAGGCTGGTCTCAAACTCCTGAGCTCAGGTGATCTGCCCACCTTGACCTCCCAAAGTGCTGGGATTACAGGCGTGAGCCACCTCACCCAGCCGAAACTTTGGTTATTTCTGAGTTAGCTATCCTGAAACAATATAATGATCCTTTCTGCATTAAAGAATTAAAGATGGAAAAAAAATGATGACAGTTATTTTGATGTATAATAGATATAATTATGTTAGTTTGAATTGTTTACAATTGATACAGATCCACAGACTACCAAAGGAGAGTTTATCAAATGTCTTACCAAAGGTTTATACTTGATTTAAAAATTAAATTGCAATTGGCACCATTATTTACCTAATATATGGTTTCTCACAATCAAAATGCAAGTTTCTGCTCTGTCAAAGTAAAAAAATACAGTTATATGAAAGGACTATTTAAATTGAATTAAATATAATTGATCCAATTATATTTGGATCTCATGGAACACTGCCTAAATTTAAATATTATCCACGTAAGCCCAAAGCATGAATAGCAAAGATATAGTAAACAATGAAGACCAAGAATAGATGAGTTTAAACTGCACTTAGGAAAGTATGTTGGATTTGAGATAAAAGGGAAGAATTCACAGATTACAAATTATTACATAAAACAAGTTAGTGAGAACCAGGAAGTTTTTATAGAAATAAGACAGTCATATTTTCTCTACCTGTCCCTCTCCCCTAAATGATTTTTCTCTGGACTATCTCAGGGAATAGCATGGACAATTTGAACAATCCAGAAACCTGGATATCATAATTCCTTTTTTTCCTATCACCCCAACCAATGAATCTCTCTAGAGCCGACCTCCTAAACGTCTACCCCACCTACATTAGCCTACTCTTTGACCACTGTAAGGTTACACTTGGATTACTTATTTACTGCAACAGTCTCATTTAGCAGACTCTCTGCTTCTCCCCTTGTCTTATTCCAATCCATTCTTCAGAGCAACCAGTCGATCACGCTAAGCAAAAAACTGTTCATAATACTTCCAACATAAACCTTCAATGGCCATAAAGAGCCAATTCCTGGCACTATATAATGTCCTCCTTATAATCACGATCCCCCACATGCCTGTCAAGAGTCTCATACTCCAGCTTACTGGACATTTCCTAAATGACAGGCACATGCTTGCCTCTGATTCTTACACAGGCTCTCACCTTTGCCCTGGATGGTCCTCCTACCCACCTTGCTTACACGGATGCATCCTTTTAAAATTCAGATTTCAAGCAAGTAACCTCCTTTAGGAATGCCCTTCTTGAATCCAGACCCTTCCTCCCCCAGTTAAGTTAGATGACCCTTCCATATGTTCCCAGAGGACTCAATCACACACTTATCATATATCATATTTGCCTGATTAATTCTTACTCTAGTATCATTTCTTGGAAGGCAGAGACTAGCTTCTTTGCAAAGAACATGCACTCAAATGCTCACTGAACTAACAAATGATTGTATGCACTGATTAAGAGTAACTGACAGCTCAAAGACAAATTAAATGATCTAAGTTATATGAAATGACTATTTAAATTTATCGTTGCTTTTTTATATTTGGATCTCATGGAAAACTGCCTAAATTTAAATATTATCCACGTAAGCCCAAAGCATGAATAGCAAATATATAGTAAACAATGAAGACCAAGAATAGATTAAGACTAAGTCAAATCCAATTTAAGACTAAGACAGCAATTATGAACCTGAGGAGATACTTTTATGCAGGCAACCCTCACCCCAGCTGAGTAATCAGTATACAGTACATAATAAAGAATGAGATTCTCACTGGAGCCCAGAAAGAGATTACACCTATTCAAATTTTTGTTCTTTTATATAAAATGTAGCTAAACATATCCACCTGGCTGTATCCAGCACCACATTAGTAAGATGAAATGCTTAGTACATTTTATAGCCTGGTAAATGATCATTACACAAAAAGCTCATTTAACCAAGAACATATAAAACAATCAAACTTTTATATATCATTTATACTCACAAATCTTCAAAAATTAAAGTATAAGAATCCTGTAATTGGTAAATATAAAATAGGCATAACATAAATTTGATCTTTTCAAACTAGACTCAGAAATCATCCATTATATAGTATCAACAATAAAGATAGGAATATGTCATCTATTCAACTTCTACACTTCACAATGAGGAAAATAAGGTCCTTAGAAGGCAAGAACTTTCAAGGCCACTTACACAAAATGTATAAAGTCTACACTTTACACTTTTTTTGAGAAGGTAATAAGGTCACATGGTGTAATCTTCCTCCAGAAGGTAATCAGTGTTATCAGTTTCTTGCATATCTTTCCAGGGGTATTTTATCCACATTCAAGCAAATATGTATGTTCTTACATTTATGCAGATAGTAGCAACTATCCTATTCTGCACTTTGTAAAACTGTCCATACAGTTGAGACCTGTGCCCATATTCTACAGAAGTCATCTTCAAAGGATGCATATGGACAATTACTAATTATAACAGAGGGCAGAACAGCGCAGTGCTTCAGAGTGCAGGCCCTGGAATCTAAAACCTACTTGCCAACTACTGGTGTAATCTTGAGCAAGTTACTAAACTGCTCTAAGCCTCAATTTCCTCTGCTGTAAACTGAGACTACGAATATAGCAGTCCTCTGCCCCTAGAGGTGGAATAATCCATGCAAACCACTCAGCAACACACCCAGTACATGGTGAGTGCTGCACAAACCATGGCTGAAGTACAAAGTCAAATCTAAAACTCAAGGTTCCTACCTCTTGTTCCAAAGCTTTTCTTTTTTCTTCAAAGTGTATTGAATACAACTTTACAAAAGAGTGTCAACCTAAATAACAAGCATTCTTCAAAGAGTTTATTGAACTGAGTTTATTCTGGAGTGTGCAGGGGATTTGCAAATCCAGCATATGAGGGCTATAGGGACCACAGGCATATCCAAACAGGTTGAAGCCAGGAGAAGCTTTTAAAGGCAAAAGGGAAAAGCATAAGGAATTTGTTTGAAAACAAAGAGAACATTGGATACAGGGGAGACTGTGTCAGTCAAATGTTCTTATGCATCCAGCTAGCTATCCTTGTGACTCACGTAGCAAGCTGCAGTTTGAGCTGCAGTGGCCGCTGCAGGTGGGGAATGTCAATGGGGCTCCATGGATGTAGAGATGCAGGGACTGCTGGCAAAAGTTCTTATTACAGGCATATGTGCAGAAGAGCCCTTCAGAGATGCTTTGTAGCAGTTCTTACGATAGACGTGTGTGAGAGCTCCCTTCTTAACCTCCTGGCTTTATTTATTTTTTGTTAGAATTTAATACAAGTGACTTCATTTTGATTCTGACAACTCTCACAAGGGAAAAGAGCTAGAAACTTCAAATAATTGTCATTCATATCATATTAATTTAACAGACATAAAAATTTTATGTAGTTATCAACATTTACAATTTTTATATTGCCATTTAATTGACATTATTATGTATGCCCAAGTTTATAAACCAAACCTTAAATAATTCTTATTAATGAATATTATTCTATTATATAGATACAACATTCTCTAATAGTTTCCAGAGCAAATAGAGCCCCAGTAAGTGTCTCTGGGCAAAATGTTTTTCTCTCGTAATACTTAATGCCAGACTGTACCGCAAAAGCTCTGCTTATGTTTGCAGTGTCAACATATTATATGACTGAAAACATTTCCTTTAAGACCTATCAATATTACGCTGTAAAATACGTCTTGATTTTTGCTCAACTTAATGACCAGTGGTCTCTGAATAGTTTTAACATTCATCTCTTCATTTGGAAGACTGCGCACTGTATGCACTGATTTTGAATTTGTATTTCTTGTGTTACCTGCCTGATAATATTCTTTTATCTTCTGTCCTGTGGAATCAAGGTTCCGAATGCTTAAAATTTAATCAATTTTTTAATATGTTAAATAAATTTTTCTCAGCATTCCAATTCCATGACCCTGTGTCTCCCTCTCTACCGTCCTTGAGCAGGACTATACATATTGATCAAAGTACATACATATGAATTTGCCAATTGTTAATCTGAATTTTAAGTCCTACAATGAGTTTGGACAAACTATTCCAGGTACCCTAAATTTACTTCAAACAAAGCTTAACATAAAATGATTCTGAAATATATGAATCCTGTGCTTGTATTTTTCTCTAAACCAAATCCAATCTAATTATAATTATTCTTACATGCATACAAAATTGTTTTAATATAACTTTTAAAAATGACTTGTAGTTTTGAAATTTAACTTGGTCTCCCATCTGAATGCCCACTAAGATTTCTCTCATAGAATTAAGTACAAGGTGAGTACTTTCCTATGAAATAATCACAAAAATATTATCCCATGCAAAAGTTGGAATTTAAAACATACCATTTACAATCACAGTAAAAATATAAAATACTTAGGTATACACTTTTTAAAAAAATGTAAAAAACACATACAGTATCTGTATATTAAATTAAAAATTGCTGATGAAAAATACTGAAGGAGACCTCAACAAATGGAGACATCCCTACTATGTTCATGCACTGGACTCAACATAATAAAGGTGTCAATTCTCCCCAAATTAATCTGTAAGTTTATTACGACTCCTAACCAAATATCTCAAGACTTTTTATAAACACAGACAAGTTTATTCTAAAATGTATATGGAAAGACACCAACCTTAAAATATCTAAAACAATTTTGACAAAGAACAAAAGAAGAATCACTTTACCCAATATTAAGGATAACTACTATTAAATAAGCAGGAGGCAGCCGGGCGTGGTGGTTCAGGCCCATAATCCCAGCACTTTGGGAGGCCAAGGTGGGTGGATCATTTGAGGTCAGGAGTTCAACACTAGCCTGGCCAACATGACAAAATCCTATTTCCACTCAAAACACAAAAAATTAGCTGGGTGTGGTAGCGGGCACCTATGATCCCAGCCACTAGGGAGACTGAGACAGGAGAATTGCTTGAACCCAGGAGGCAGAGGTTGCAGTGGGCCGAGATCATGCCACTACACTCCAGCCTAGGTGAGAGGGCAAGACTCTGTCTCAATCAATCAATCAATAAGCAGGAGGCCAGTGGCCTGAGGCTGTCTCCATACTTTCAGTTCCCACTTAATGAACTACAACCTAACTTAAACTGAAAACCTAACTTAAGAAGGTAATAACAGTGGTGTCTCGGCCAATCATAAGCAGCCAAACCGCCACTAATCACAGGCAGGTAACTGACCAGACCATATCCAAATAAGGCAAAGGCCTAGCTGTAACCAGTCAAACGATTTCTGTACCTCACATTTTCTGTCTATAAGTACTCACTGCCCACATTGCAGAGCCCAGCTCTCTGAACCTTTTCTGGTTGTGAGGAGTGATGACTTCATTGATCATTCTTTGCTCAAATAAACTCTGCTAAGTTTAAATTCTCAAAAGTTTTTCTTTTAATACTATCTATAGTAATCAACAGAGTGCAGGAATGACAAAGGGACAGACACACAGATCAAAGGAACAGAATAAAGAACCTAGAAATAGTCCCATAAAAGTACAGCCAACTGATTTTTGAATAAGGTGCAAAAGCAATTCAATGAAAGAAACAAAGTCTTTTCAAAATATGGTGCTGAAGCAATCTGATACCTAAAGGCAAAACAAATGAACTTCGACCTAAACCTCATACCATCATACAAAAATTAACTCAAATAGACTATGGGCTTAAAAATAAAACACAAAACCATAAAACTTTTAGAAGATATGAGAAAAGTTTTAGATCCTACGGCGTAGTGAATACTTCTTAGACATGACACCAAACGCACAGTCCACAGAAGTAAAAAGGAAATCAACAAATTGAACTTCATCAAATTTAAAGACTGAGGAAGGCATTCAGAGATGGCTGACGAGAGGCATCTGAAAGTCACCTTCTTCATAAGGAAGAACCAAAATAGCAAGTATAGATCATCTAGGAGAGAACGCTGGAGTCCCAACAGAGAAGGAACAGGAAACACCTAAGAAGAAGAAGAAGAGAGAAGTGAGGCAGCCTGCTTGGCTGGGATAAGAGCCCAAAGAGGCTCTGAATGTGGGGAAAAAGTAAGTAAGTGACCCCCAGCAGTCCACATTGCCACTGTGGACTCCTCCAATCCTAGCTGGAGATCCTCTCAACCCTTGTGGGCCCTGAAAGTAACCAGCTGCATGGAGACTGCATGATGGCATTGCTTCAAAGAAGGAGATCACACTGGATCCTACACACCTTCCAAGTCCTATGCACCTACAACATGGTGCCTCTGTAAGAATACAGCCCTTACCAGGCAGCATCCTGCCCTGGGGCCCACCCCACAGTTTCTGCATCTCCACATCCATTGTGCCCCATTGACATCCCCCACCTGCAGATGCCACTGTAGCTGGTTGCTGCCACCAGAGCCAAGCACAAGACACTAGCAGCAAGCCCACCACCCCAGGAGAAGGATTGCTACACATTTTAAAATGTACTGAGCACAGGCTCTCTTGCCAGCAGCCGCCACCTAGGGACAAAGTGTGTGCTCCCCAGCCACCTGCCTACAGCTGCTGCCACTGAAAAAATCCCCGCCTTACCCAGTAGCAGGACTGCAGCACAGCCACTGCTGCCTCCACCCAAGCACTTCACTGAAAGTCTGGGGATCACCCCACCCTTACCCACCACAGCCAGCACCTGTACACATCACTGGAAGGGCCTGAGGATAGTTCTGCCTGGCATGGCTCACTACCCCTGCCTCTGCCCAAGTGCCCAAGCACACTATCCTGGGGCCTGAGGATTTCTCTGCCCAGTCTATACCCATTGGCACCTGAGCACTCCTTCCTGGAGCCTGAGGGTGAGCCCACCCAGCTTGCCATGCCACCACAGTAGCATACACCAGGACACACCACCTGTGGCCTGGGACTGCCCCACTCAACACAGTGTAGCCATCGCCAAGACCACCTCAGACCAGCTGGGATCCAAAGGGTTGTCCCACCAATGCTACTGTCATTGCCCAGGCCACAACTGCTGCCCAGGGACCCACGGACCCACCCACCTGTCCAATCCACTGCTGCCATTCCCGTACCAAAGTAGGCCACCCGGAAGCCCAAGAATTGGTCCACGTGGACCCACTAACATAAATGCCAGCATACGCCACCTTGAAGCCCTAAGTTAGGCATGTTTGGCCTGTTATTGCCCCCACTAGGGCCCAAGAACTGGCTTATCTGACATCCCCATCCCCAGCAAAACTACAAAACAGCTTCCAATAACAACTGCACCCTAAGCCACTGAAGAAATCACAGATACCACTGACACTGATTACAGCCAGCCAAATTATATGGAGACTATACTACTACATACACCAAGAATCAAAGCCAAAGTGCTCTACCCAACCAAAATCACAAACACATCTTAAGGAAAAAGTCCTCTCCTACAAAAACAAATCCAAAAAATTCAAAGACATGACAGTTACATTATTAACAGATGCACAAATATCAACATGAGAACTTAAACATGAAAAAGCAATGAAATATGACACCTCCAAAAGAAAACAATAACTCTCCAGCAACAGATTCCAATGAAAAAGAAATTTGTGAAATACCAGAAAAATGATTCAATATAATGACACTAAATAAGCTCAGGGAGATATAAGAGAACAGAGATAGACAATACAAAGAAATTAGAAAAACAATCCAGGGTATGAATGAAAAATGTATAAAAGAGATACATATCATTTTTAAAAAGAATCAGACAAATACTGGAACTAAAGAATTCACTGAATGAAATTTTAAAATACACTTAAGAGCTTCAGGGGAGGAGCCAAGATGGCCGAATAGGAACAGCTCCGGTCTACAGCTCCCAGCGTGAGCGACGCAGAAGACGGGTGATTTCTGCATTTCCATCTGAGGTACCGGGTTCATCTCACTAGGGAGTGCCAGACAGTGGGCGCAGGTCAGTGGGTGCGTGCACCGTGCGCGAGCCGAAGCAGGGCGAGGCATTGCCTCACTTGGGAAGTGCAAGGGGTCAGGGAGTTCCCTTTCTGAGTCAAAGAAAGGGGTGACGGACAGCACCTGGAAAATCGGGTCACTCCCACCCGAATACTGCGCTTTTCCGACGGGCTTAAAAAACGGCGCACCACGAGATTATATCCGGCACCTGGCTCGGAGGGTCCTACGCCCACGGAGTCTCGCTGATTGCTAGCACAGCAGTCTGAGATCAAACTGCAAGGCGGCAGCGAGGCTGGGGGAGGGGCGCCCGCCATTGCCCAGGCTTGCTTAGGTAAACAAAGCAGCCGGGAAGCTCCAACTGGGTGGAGCCCACCACAGCTCAAGGAGGCCTGCCTGCCTCTGTAGGCTCCACCTCTGGGAGCAGGGCACAGACAAACAAAAAGACAGCAGTAACCTCTGAAGACTTAAATATCCCTGTCTGACAGCTTTGAAGAGAGCAGTGGTTCTCCCAGCACGCAGCTGGAGATCTGAGAACGGGTAGACTGCCTCCTCAAGTGGGTCCCTGACCCCGACCCCCGAGCAGCCTAACTGGGAGGCACCCCCCAGCAGGGGCACACTGACACCTCACACGGCAGGGTATTCCAACAGACCTGCAGCTAAGGGTCCTCTCTGTTAGAAGGAAAACTAACAAACAGAAAGGACATCCACACCAAAAACCCATCTGTACATCACCATCATCAAAGACCAAAAGTAGATAAAACCACAAAGATGGGGAAAAAACAGAACAGAAAAACTGGAAACTCTAAAAAGCAGAGCGCATCTCCTCCTCTAAAGGAACGCAGTTCCTCACCAGCAACAGAACAAAGCTGGATGGAGAATGACTTTGACGAGCTGAGAGAAGAAGGCTTCAGACGATCAAATTACTCTGAGCTACGGGAGGACATTCAAACCAAAGGCAAAGAGGTTGAAAACTTTGAAAAAAATTTAGAAGAATGTATAACTAGAATAACCAATACAGAGAAGTGCTTAAAGGAGCTGATGGAGCTGAAAACCAAGGCTCAAGAATGCAGAAGCCTCAGGAGCCAATACGATCAACTGGAAGAAAGGGTATCAGCGATGGAAGATGAAATGAATGAAATGAAGCGAGAAGGGAAGTTTAGAGAAAAAAGAATAAAAAGAAATGAGCAAAGCCTCCAAGAAATATGGGACTATGTGAAAAGACCAAATCTACGTCTGACTGGTGTACCTGAAAGTGATGGGGAGAATGGAACCAAGTTGGAAAACACTCTGCAGGATATTATCCAGGAGAACTTCCCCAATCTAGCAAGGCAGGCCAACGTTCAGATTCAGGAAATACAGAGAATGCCACAAAGATACTCCTCGAGAAGAGCAACTCCAAGACACATAATTGTCAGATTCACCAAAGTTGAAATGAAGGAAAAAATGTTAAGGGCAGCCAGAGAGGAAGGTCGGGTTACCCTCAAAAGGAAGCCCATCAGACTAATAGCGGATCTCTCAGCAGAAACCCTACAAGCCAGAAGAGAGTGGGGGCCAATATTCAACATTCTTAAAGAAAAGAATTTTCAACCCAGAATTGCATATCCAGCCAAACTAAGCTTCATAAGTGAAGGAGAAATAAAATCCTTTACAGACAAGCAAATGCTGAGAGATTCTGTCACCACCAGGCCTGCCCTACAAGAGCTCCTGAAGGAAGCACTAAACATGGAAAGGAACAACCAGTACCAGCCGCTGCAAAATCATGCCAAAATGTAAAGACCATCGAGACTAGGAAGAAACTGCATCAACTAACGAGCAAAATAACCAGCTAACATCAAAATGACAGGATCAAAATCACACATAACAATATTAACTTTAAATGTAAATGGACTAAATGCTCCAATTAAAAGACACAGACTGGCAAACTGGATAAAGAGTCAAGACCCATCAGTGTGCTGTATTCAGGAAACCCATCTCACGTGCAGAGACACACATAAGCCCAAAATAAAAGGATGGAGGAAGATCTACCAAGCCAATGGAAAACAAAAAAAGGCAGGGGTTGCAATCCTTGTCTCTGATAAAACAGACTTTAAACCAACAAAGATCAAAAGAGACAAAGAAGGCCATGACATAATGGTAAAGGGATCAATTCAACAAGAAGAGCTAACTATCCTAAATATATATGCACCCAATACAGGAGCAACTAGATTCATAAAGCAAGTCCTGAGTGACCTACAAAGAGACTTAGACTCCCACACATTAATAATGGGAGACTTTAACACCCCACTGTCAACATTAGACAGATCAACGAGACAGAAAGTCAACAAGGATACCCAGGAATTGAACTCAGCTCTGCACCAAGCGGACCTAATAGACATCTACAGAACTCTCCACCCCAAATCAACAGAATATACATTTTTTTCAGCACCACACAACACCTATTCCAAAATTGACCACATACTGGGAAGTAAAGCTCTCCTCAGCAAATGTAAAAGAACAGAAATTATAACAAACTATCTCTCAGACCACAGTGCAATCAAACTAGAACTCAGGATTAAGAATCTCACTCAAAACTGCTCAACTACATGGAAACCGAACAACCTGCTCCTGAATGACTACTGGGTACATAACGAAATGAAGGCAGAAATAAAGATGTTCTTTGAAACCAACGAGAACAAAGACACAACATACCAGAATCTCTGGGACGCATTCAAAGCAGTGTGTAGAGGGAAATTTATAGCACTAAATGCCCACAAGAGAAAGCAGGAAAGATCCAAAATTGACACCCTAACATCACAATTAAAAGAACTAGAAAAGCAAGAGCAAACACATTCAAAAGCTAGCAGAAGGCAAGAAATAACTAAAATCAGAGCAGAACTGAAGGAAATAGAGACACAAAAAACCCTTCAAAAAATTAATGAATCCAGGAGCTGGTTTTTTGAAAGGATCAACAAAATTGATAGACCACTAGCAAGACTAATAAAGAAAAAAAGAGAGAAGAATCAAATAGACACAATAAAAAAATGATAAAGGGGATATCACCACCGATCCCACAGCAATACAAACTACCATCAGAGAATACTACAAACACCTCTACGCAAATAAACTAGAAAATCTAGAAGAAATGGATAAATTCCTGGACACATACACTCTCTCAAGACTAAACCAGGAAGAAGTTGAATCTCTGAATAGACCAATAACAGGAGCTGAAATTGTGGCAATAATCAATAGCTTACCAACCAAAAAGAGTCCAGGACCAGATGGATTCACAGCCAAATTCTACCAGAGGTACAAGGAGGAACTGGTACCATTCCTTCTGAAACTATTCCAATCAATAGAAAAAGAGGGAATTCTCCCTAACTCATTTTATGAGGCCAGCATCATTCTGATACCAAAGCCAGGCAGGGACACAACAAAAAAAGAGAATTTTAGACCAATATCCTTGATGAACATTGATGCAAAAATCCTCAATAAAATACTGGCAAAACGAATCCAGCAGCACATCAAAAAGCTTCTCCACCATGATCAAGTGGGCTTCATCCCTGGGATGCAAGGCTGGTTCAATATACGCAAATCAATAAATGTAATCCAGCATATAAACAGAGCCAAAGACAAAAACCACATGATTATCTCAATAGATGCAGAAAAAGCCTTTGACAAAATTCAACAACCCTTCAGGCTAAAAACTCTCAATAAATTAGGTATTGATGGGACCTATTTCAAAATAATAAGAGCTATCTATGACAAACCCACAGCCAATATCATACTGAATGGGCAAAAACTGGAAGCATTCCCTTTGAAAACTGGCACAAGACAGGGATGCCCTCTCTCACCACTCCCATTCAACATAGTGTTGGAAGTTCTGGCCAGGGCAATTAGGCAGGAGAAGGAAATAAAGGGTATTCAATTAGGAAAAGAGGAAGTCAAATTGTCCCTGTTTGCAGATGACATGATTGTATATCTAGAAAACCCCATTGTCTCAGCCCAAAATCTCCTTAAGCTGATAAGCAACTTCAGCAAAGTCTCAGGATACAAAATCAATGTACAAAAATCAAAAGCATTCTTATACACCAACAACAGACAAACAGAGCCAAATCATGAGTGAACTCCCATTCACAATTGCTTCAAAGAGAATAAAATACCTAGGAATCCAACTTACAAGGGATGTGAAGGACCTCTTCAAGGAGAACTACAAACCACTGCTCAAGGAAATAAAAGAGGATACAAACAAATGGAAGAACATTCCATGCTCATGGGTAGGAAGAATCAATATCGTGAAAATGGCCATACTGCCCAAGGTAATTTATAGATTCAATGCCATCCCCATCAAGCTACCAATGACTTTCTTCACAGAATTGGAAAAAACTACTTTAAAGTTCATATGGAACCAAAAAAGAGCCCGCATCGCCAAGTCAAACCTAAGCCAAAAGAACAAAGCTGGAGGCATCACACTACTTGACTTCAAACTATACTACAAGGCTACAGTAACCAAAGCAGCATGGTACTAGTACCAAAACAGAGATATAGATCAATGGAACAGAACAGAGCCCTCAGAAATAACGCCGCATATCTACAACTATCTGATCTTTGACAAACCTGAGAAAAACAAGCAATGGGGAAAGGATTCCCTATTCAATAAATGGTGCTGGGAAAACTGGCTAGCCGTATGTAGAAAGCTGAAACTGGATCCCTTCCTTACACCTTATACAAAAATCAATTCAAGATGGATTAAAGACTTAAACGTTAGACCTAAAACCTTAAAAACCCTAGAAGAAAACCTAGGCATTACCATTCAGGACATAGGCATGGGCAAAGACTTCATGTCTAAAACACCAAAAGGAATGGCAACAAAAGACAAAATTGACAAATGGGATCTAATTAAACTAAAGAGCTTCTGCACAGCAAAAGAAACTATCATCAGAGTGAACAGGCAACCTACAAAATGGGAGAAAATTTTTGCAACCTACTCATCTGACAAAGGGCTAATATCCAGAATCTACAATGAACTCAAACAAATTTACAAGAAAAAAACAAACAACCCCATCAAAAAGTGGGCGAAGGACATGAACAGACACTTCTCAAAAGAAGACATTTATGCGGCCAAAAAACACATGAAAAAATGCTCATCATCACTGGCCATCAGAGAAATGCAAATCAAAACCACAATGAGATACCAACTCACACCAGTTAGAATGGCAATCATTAAAAAGTCAGGAAACAACAGGTGCTGGAGAGGATGTGGAGAAATAGGAACACTTTTACACTGTTGGTGGGACTGTAAACTAGTTCAACCATTGTGGAAGTCAGTGTGGCGATTCCTCAGGGATCTAGAACTGGAAATACCATTTGACCCAGCCATCCCATTACTGGGTATATACCCAAAGGACTATAAATCATGCTGCTATAAAGACACATGCACACGTATGTTTATTGCGGCATTATTCACAATAGCAAAGACTTGGAACCAACCCAAATGTCCAACAATGATAGACTGGATTAAGAAAATGTGGCACATATACACCATGGAATACTATGCAGCCATAAACAATGATGAGTTCATGTCCTTTGTAGGGACATGGATGAAATTGGAAATCATCATTCTCAGTAAACTATCGCAAGAACAAAAAACAAAACACTGCATGTTCTCACTCATAGGTGGGAATTGAACAATGAGATCACATGGACACAGAAAGGGGAATATCACACTCTGGGGCCTGTTGTGGGGTGGGGGGGAGGGGGGAGGGATAGCATCGGGAGATATACCTAATGCTAGATGACGAGTTAGTGGGTGCAGCGCACCAGCATGGCACATGTATACATATGTAACTAACCTGCACAATGTGCACATGTATCCTAAAACTTAAAGTATAATTAAAAAAAAAAAAAAGAGCTTCAACAATAGACGACAGCAAGCAGAACAAACAATTTCAGAACTTGAAGACAGGTCCTTTGAAATAAGCCAATCAGAAAAATATAAAGAAAAAAGAATGAAAAAGAATAAACAAGCTTACATGACACACAGAACTCCATAAAGTAACCAAATATTTGAATTTTTGTTGTCACAGAAGGTAAAGAGAAAACCACAGTGATAAAAAACTTACTTAACAAAATAATAGCTGAAAACATCCCAAGTCTAGCAAAAGATTTAGACGTCGATAGACAGAAAGCTCAGATAACCCAAAATAGATACAGTTCAAAAAGGACTTCTCCATGGCACATAGCAATCAAACTGTCAAAAGTCAAAAACTAGGAGAAAGTTCTGAAAACAGAAGATAAAAACATTTAGTCATTTATAAGGGAAACCCCATTGGACTATCGGGATTATTTCTCAGCAGAAACCTTACTGGCCTGCAGGGAATGGAATGATATACTCAAAGTGCTAAGAGAAAACTGTCAACCAACAATACTACACCCAGCAAAGTTATCCTTCATAAATGAAGGAGAAAAATAAAGCCTTTCCCAGACAGGTTCATCACCACTAGACCAATTCTACAAGAAATGCTTAAGGGAGTCCTAAACCTAGATGCAAAAGGACAATATCTACTGTCATGAAAACACACCGTATAAAACTCACTGGTAGAGCAAACACACAAATGAGAAAGGATTCAAATGTTACCACTACAGAAAACCACCAAACCAAAAAGATAAACAATAAGAGAAAAAGAAAGGAACAAAGGATATACAAAACATCCAGAAAACAACAAACAATATGACCAGGATGAAATCTCACATATCAGTAATAACTTTTCAAGGTTATTTAAACAGATTAAATTTTCCCCTTAAAGGACTGACTGAATGGATTTTTAAAAAATGGATCTAACTATATGGCACTTACAAGAAACTTCCTTCACTTGTAAAGACACACGAAGACTAAAAGTAAAGGGACAGAAGACATTCCACGCAAATGGAAACCTAAAGCAAACAAGAATAGCTATATTTAAATAAAACGTATTTATCGGTTTAAGACAGAACTGTTAAAAAAAAAAAAAAAAAAAAAAAAGACAGGCCAGGCACAGTGGCTCACACATGTAATCCCAGCACTTTGCGAGGCCAGGGCAGGCAGATCACCTGAGATCAGGAGTTTGAGACCAGCCTGGCCAAAATGGCAAAACCCCGTTTCTACTAAAAACATAAAAATTAGCTGGATGTGGTGATGTGGTGGTATGCGCCTGTAGTCCCAGCTACTCAGGAGGCTGAAGCAGGAGAATTGCTTGAACCCAGGAGGTGGAGGTTGCAGTGAGCTGAGATTGCACCACTGCACTCCAGCCTGGGTGACAGAGCAAGACTCTGCCTCACAAAAAACAAAAAGACAAAAGTCATTATATAATAATAAACGGATCAGTTCAGCAAGAGGATATAACAATTCTAAATATATATGTACCCAACACTGGAGCACCCACATATGTTAAGGCAAATATTATTAGATATAAAAGGAAAGACAATCTCCAAGATAATAATAGTGGGGGACTTTAATACCCCACTCTCAGCATTACATAGATCATATAGACAGAAAATCAACAAAAAAAGTTGGCTATAACTGAACTTTAGACCAAACAGACTTAACAGACATTCACAGAACATGTTACCCTAAAACAGTAGAATATACATACTGCTCATCAGCATATGCAACATTCTCAAGGACAGACGTATATTAGGCCATAAAATAAGTATCAACAAATTTTTAAATATCAAAATCATGTAAGTACTTTCTCAGACCACATTGGAATAAAACTAGAAAACAATACCAAGAGGAACTTTGGAAACTATACAAATACATGAAAACTCTGTCAAGAAATTAAGATGGAAATAAAAAAATTTTTTTGAAACAAATGAAAATGGAAACACAACATACCAAAACCTATGGAATACAGCCAAAGCAGTGCTAAGAGGAAACTTTGTAGCAATAAACACATATATAAAAAAAAAGATTTCAAATAAACAATCTAACATGCATCCCAAGAAACCAGAAAAGGAAGAACAAACCCAAAATTAGTAGAAGGAAAAAAAAATAAAGATCACAGCAGAACTAAATGAAATTGAGACTAAAAAAACAATGCAAGGGATCACAAAACAAAAAGTCGGTTTTACGAAAAGATAAACAAATTGATAAACCACAAGCTAGATTAACCAAGAAAAAAACGAGAAAAGGCCCAAATAATCAAAATCGGAAACAAAAAGGAAATATTGTAACTCATACCCAAGAAATATAAAAAAATCCCCCAAAGACTATTATTAATAGCTATCTAATAACAAACTGGAAAATCTAGAGGAAATGGATAAATTCCTGGAAACCTACAGCCTACCAAGGCTGAACCTACCAAGGCTGAAACAGAAAACCTGAATAGACCAGTAACAAGATTAAATCAGTAATTAAAGTCTCCCAACAAAGAAAAGCCCAGGACTGGATGGATTCATTGCCAAATTCTTCCAAACATATAAAAGAGAAATAATACCAACTCTCCTCAAATTATTACAAAAACTGAAGTGGTGGGAATTCTCCCTAACTCATTCTATGAGGCCAGAATTACCTTGAAGCCAAAACCAGACAAGGACACAACAAAGAAAGAAAACTACAGGCCAATGTCTTTGATGAACACAGATGCAAACATCCTCAACGAAATACTAGCAAATGAATCCAATAGCTTGACAAAAAGGTAAGACACCGGCTGGGTGCAGTGGCTGATGCCTGTAATCTCAGCACTTCGGGAGGCCAAGGTGGAAGGATCTCTTAAGCCCAGGAGTTTCAGACCAGCCTGTGCAACAAAGTGCGACCCAGTCTCAAAAAAAAAAAAAAAAAAAAAATTAGCCAGGCGTGGTGATGCACACCTGTGGTCCCAGCTACTCAGGAGGCTCAGGCCAGAGGATCACTTGAGCCCAGTAGGTTGAGGCTGCAGTGAGTCATGTCTGCACCACTGCAGGCCAGAGGATCACCTGAGCCCAGCAGGTTGAGGCTGCAGCGAGTCATGTCCGCACCACTGCACTCCAGCCTGGGCAACACAGGAAGACCCTATCTCAAACAAAAACAAAACCAGAAAACATAAGACACCATGATCAAGTGGGATTTATCCCAGAGACGCAAGAATGGTTCAACATTTAGAAATCAGTATGTGATACATCACATGGACAAACAAAGGGCAAAAACCATACAATCATCTCAAAAGATACAGTAAAAACATTTGATAAAATTCAAAGCCTCCTCAGGACAAAAACTCTAAACAAACTAGGCACAGAAGGAACATACTTCAACAAAATAAAGACCATTATGACAAATCCACAGTTAACATCATAGTGAATGGGAAAAAATTGAAAGCCTTTCCTCTAAGAACTGAAACAAGACAAAGATGCTCACCTTCACCACTCCTACTCAATGCAGTCAGTACTGGGATTCCTAGGCAGACCAGTCAGGCAAGAGGGAGAAATAAAAGGCATCCAAATTGAAAAACATGAAGTCAAATTGTCCCACTTTGCAGATGACATGATCTTATATTTAGAAAACCCAAAATCCAAAATAAACTCTCAGAACTATTTTTTTTAATTCAGTAAAGTGCAGGATACTAAATCAACATACAAAAATCAATAGCATCTCTATACACCAATAATGAAATCACTTAAACTAAGAAGGCAATCCCATTTACAACAGCAATAATAAAAATAAAATACCCAGGAAAAAATTTAACCAAGGAATTGGAAGACTTCTACAAAGAAAACTACAAAATACTGATGAAAGAAATTTAAAAAGACAAAAACAAATAGTAAGACATCCTATGCTCACAAATCAAAATTAACATTGTTAAAATGATCATACTACCCAAAGCAATCTACAGATTCAAGGATATCTGTATCAAAATACCAATGTCATTTTTCACAGAAATAGAAAAAACAATCATACAATTCATATGAAACCAAAACAGAGCCTGAATAGCCAAAGCAATCCTGAGCAAAAAGAGTAAGGAGGCATCAGGCTACCTGACTTCAAAGTATATTACAAGGCTATAGTGACCAAAACAGCATGGTATTGGTATAAAACCAGACACATACATCAATGGAACAGATTAGAGAACCCAGAAATAAATCCATGTACTTACAGCAACTGATTTTTAACAAAGGGGCCGAGAACATACATTGGGGAGAGGACACACACCCTCTTCAATAAATGGTGCTGTGAAAACTGGATATCTATATGCAGCAGATTGAAACTGGATCCCTGTCTCTCACTAAGTACAAAAATCAACACAAACGCCTTAAAGACTTAAACGTAAGACCTAAAACTATAAAGCTACTAGAAGAAAACATGGGAAAAATGCTTTAAGACATTGGTCTATGCAAAGTTTTTATGGCCAAGATCTCAAAAGCACAAGCAAGAAAAACAAAAATAAACAAATGGTATTATATTAAACTAAAAAGCTTCTGGGCTGGGAATGGTGGCTGACACCTGTAAACCTACCACTTTGGGAGGCCAAAGTGGGAGAATCACTTGAGGCCAGGAGTTTAAGACTAGCCTGGGCAACATAGCAAGATCCCATCTCTACAAAAAATGTTTTAAAATTAGCCAGGCCTAGTGATACATACATGTAGTCTCAGTTACTTGGGGGGCTAAGGCAGGGGGATCACTTGAGCCCAGGAATTTGAGGCTGCAGTAAGCCACGATCATGCCACTGTACTCCAGCATAGGTGACAGAGACCCCAACTCAAAAATGTAAAAATAATAAGCCTCTGCACAGCAAAAGACACAATCAACAGAGTGGACAGACAAGCTGTTGACTACAGAAAATATATGCAAACTATTCATCCAACAAGCAACTAATATACAGAATATACAAGGAACTGAAAGAAGTCAGCAGTAAGAAAACAAATAATCCCATTTAAAAATGGGCAAAGGACATAAACAGACATTTCTCAAAAGGCATATAAATAGCCAACAGGTATATGAAAAAATGTTCAACATCACTAATAATCAGGGAAATGCAAATCAAAACAATAATGAGAACACCTCACCCAGTTAGAATGGCTACTATAAAAAGACAAAAAATAATGGATGCTGGCAAGAATGCAGAGAAAAGGGAACTCTTATACGCTGTTGGCAGGAATGTAAATTAGTACAGCCACTATGTAAAACAGTATGGAGATTTCTCAGAAAACTAAAAATAGAACTACTATACAATCAAAATCAGTATATCAAAGGGATACCTGTATCCTCATGTTTATTGCAGCACTATTCCACAATATGGAATCTTACCAAATGTGCTCATCTACAGATGAATTAATAAAGTTAAGTATGGGGTATGTGTGTGTGTATGGAGAGAGGGAGAGGGAGAGGGAGAGGGAGAAGGATAGGCAGAGGGAGAAGGATGGGGAGAAGGAGAGGGAGAGGGAAAAGGACAGGGAGAGGGAGAAGGAGAGGGAGAGGGAGAAGGAGAGGGAGGGGGAGGGGGAGAGGGAGAGGGAGGCGGAGAGGGAGTGGGAGGGGGAGAGGGAGAGGGCGGGGGAAAAGAGAGAGAGAAAGAGAGAGAGAGAGAGAGAGAATGAGTGAATGAGAATGGGATACTATTTGGCCATAAAAAAGAATTAAAATCATGTTCATATGCAGCCACATGGATGGAACTGGAGGTTATTAGTGAAATACAAGCCAGGCACAGAAAGTCAAACATTGCATGTTCTCACATATATGTGGGAGCAAAAAAAAAAGTTACTCTCACAGAGTTAGAGAGTAGGATGACAGACATGATAGACATTAGAGACTGGAAAGGGTGTGTCAGTGGGAGGCGGGGATGAAGAGAGGTTAATGGGTACAAACACACAGCAAAGAAGAATAAGAGGTAATGTTTAATAGCAAAGTAGGGTAGTTAACAATATATTGTCTATTTCAAAATAGCTGGGAGAACGTGAAATGTTCCCAACACACAGAAATGATAAATATTCAGTGATAGATATTCTGAATACCCTGACTTGATCATCACACAGTCTATGCATGTAACAAGGCATCACATGTTCCTCAAAAATACATAAATATGCACAAATATTCTGTATTAATTTAAAAATTAGACATTTTGTTCTATAAAACATCCTGTGAAGAGGATCAAAGGAAAAGCTACAGACTGAGGGGAAAATATTTGTAAACTACATATCCAACAAAGTATCTAAAATATATAAAGGACATTTAAAACACAACAATAAAAAAGCAAACAAGCCAATTAGAACATGAGCAGAAAACATGAACAGAAATTTCACTGAAAAGGATTTACAGATGGCAAATAAGCACAGGAAACGATGTTCAACATCATTAGTAATCAGAGAAATCCAAATTAAAACCACAATATAGTAACACATCTATGAGAATGGCCAAAATAAAAAATAATGACAATACCAAATGCCGGCAAGGATGCAGAGGAATGTAAAATGGTACAGTCACTCTGGAAAGCAATTTGGTGCTTTCTTACAAAATAAACATGCAATAACCATACAACCCAGTAACTGCACTCCTGGACATTTATCCCAGGGATAACAAAAATTCACGTTCACACAAACATCTGTACGAGAATGTTCACGGCAGCTTTATTTGCAATAGCCAAGAAATGGAAACAACCCAAATGTCCATCAGCATCTAAAAGGAACAAACTAAGTAGGATATGTAAAAATCTAGATAAATCTCCAGAAAATTACACTGAGTAAAAAGAGTCAATTCTAAAAGATTTTTGTATAACATTTGATTCCAGTTATGTAAGATTTTTGAAATGTCAAAATTTAAGAAATGAATATCAAATTAGTGGATGCCAGAAAGTATGACTAGGGGGCCAGAGCAGGGTGGGATGGAAATTGGTATGGTTACAAAGGGTAACAGGAGGGATCCCAGGGTAACAGAATACCAAGTCAGTGTCTTGACTATGGTGGTAGGTACATGAACCAACACATGTGATAAAGTATATGGAATACATGCAACAAAGAAATGAATACTACTAAAATTGAGGAAATCTGAATAGATTGATAGATTGTATCAGTGTCAATATCCTGGTTGTGATACAGTGCTATAGTTTTACACTACGGATAAATTCATAGGTACAAAAACAATTTTCTTATTGGAGGAAACTGGGTAAATGGCACCTGTCATCTATTTGTATTATTTCTTACCACTGCATGAAAATCTACAATTATCTCAGTAAAAAGTTCAATTAAAACTAAAAGATTATTAAAGACAGATATGCATTCTCATGGAAGAATCCCTATAACAATAGTAAGAGCTAAAAAAATAGTTTGCTTTAAGAACACTCTACAAGTATGACTGCCAAAGAGCAATCTAAAAAGTAGAAGGTCTGTGAGAGTCCACCTCCTTGTTTCTGAGAAGTTTTAATACTGATCACAGAAAAGACATTAACCCAAGGCATATCCAAGGTACCAAGATCTCAGTTATCCAGAAGAAACATCCAATGCCCAATAAGGATTAATTTGTGCTAAAACTATATCCTAAATTATTTCTAAAAAACTACTCTCAAGTTTAATTGGAAAAAAAAAAAACCTAAGTAACAGATTTAAGCATCTGCTAGAAGCAGAAACACATTCTCATGTTTTATAATTCATTCATCCATTTGACAAATGTTTATGCAACACGTTCTTTGAACAAAGGCCTGGGCTAGGGAAAGATTACTCCGGCACTATCACCTCCCCACCACCCAGTCTTCAGCCTGCTCTCAAGCATCTTCCCAAGTAGGAGGGGAGATAGATAAAAAGAAAATGACAGCCGATTTTATTGAGACCACAAGGCAGTTTCTGATCCAATACAATTAAATCTAATGTTTTTGGATTTATCCACAGATGACAGAGTATTGTGACAAGTGTTATGATAATGTTAGAAATTTTAGTTTTCTTTTCATAGTGGTTATCATCATAGTAACTAAGCATTTCCATAAACTATAAAAAATGCAAATAATAAACAGTGGCTTATATACCCTTTCTAGACCATTCCAGAAGCAAACCCATGTAAAACAAAAATGCTGGTCTTTAAAACAAGCCTAATGAGGGCATAAAAAGACCAGCTAAGTGTCTCTAACCAAATCATTTTTTAGTATATACCCCCTTCAATGACACAAAATCTGTAACATTCCCTAACAAATCCAAAGCACTTTACACTTTGTAAAGCAGCCATAATGGATGACTGCAAAATTCCCTTTTAAGAATGTGTTTCACAAACAACCCCATCAAAAAGTGGGTGAAGGATATGAACAGACACTTCTCAAAAGAAGACATTTATGCAGCCAAAAAACACATGAAAAAATGCTCATCATCACTGGCCATCAGAGAAATGCAAATCAAAACCACAATGAGATACCAACTCACACCAGTTGGAATGGCAATCATTAAAAAGTCAGGAAACAACAGGTGCTGGGGAGGATGTGGAAAAATAGGAACACTTTTACACTGTTGGTGGGACTATAAACTAGTTCAACCATTGTGGAAGTCAGTGTGGTGATTCCTCAGGGATCTAGAACTAGAAATACCATTTGACCCAACCATCCCATTACTGGGTATATACCCAAAGGATTATAAATCATGCTGCTATAAAGACACATGCACACGTATGTTTATTGCGGCACTATTCACAATAGCAAAGACTTGGAACCAACCCAAATGTCCAACAACGATAGACTGGATTAAGAAAATGTGGCACATATACACCATGGAATACTATACAGCCATAAAAAATGAAGAGTTCATGTCCTTTGTAGCGACATGGATGAAACTGGAAACCATCATTCTCAGCAAACTATCGCAAGGACAAAAAACCAAACACCGCATGTTCTCACTCATAGGTGGGAATTGAACAATGAGAACACGTGGACACAGGAAGGGGAACATCACACTCCGGGGACTGTTGTGGGGTGGGGGGAGGGGGGAGGGATAGCATTAGGAGATATACCTAATGCTAAATGACGAGTTAATGGGTGCAGCACACCAACATGGCACATGTATACATACGTAACAAACCTGCACATTGTGCACATGTACCCTAAAACTTAAAGTATAATAATAATAAAAAAAAAGAGAAAAAAAAAAAGAATCTGTTTCATTACTCCTCTCAAATCAAATGAAGGATCTCCAAAAGGACAGATCCAAAGCCTAATAAGGATTAACAAGGGCTTTAAAAGTAGTTCAGCTGACATCTTTAGATTCTCATGGTGGACAAAGCAGAACAAGCAAGCTGTATAAACTGAGTTAAGATTATATATCTATTGGGTACGCTTTACCTTCCAACTGTTAACAGGATTCTTTGATGTCTGCCATCAAATAGTAATTCAGGATTTGTGATTCTTAAATATATAAATCTGGCTATTCTCTATTTACTGTCTAAGACTATTGACTCTTAGCTATAAAATTACTATTAACTGTCATAATATAAAAAAGGTCAAATACGTTCTCTCAAAATAACATCTTCCTAGAGTCAAATACATATTGAACTTACCACTTTTTTAAAATCATCTTCTGCTTCATCAAGTTTTCCTTGTTTGAGTAATAAGTGACCTCTCTGTAATCTTGCCTAGAAAAAAAGGGGGCAGAGGATTATCTTGAATATTATAGATTTCTAAATCTTTTTTAAACACGAAGAATAAAACTAAATAAACAAATTATTAATAAATATTTATTTTTCCAGTGCACATCTGACTTGACACCAAGAATAATTCCTGGAACCAATGAATGTGTATAATTTTTCTTAAAGTATGCTTCCTTAAAAATACTTTTTGTTCTACCCAAGAAAACTGAAAACATGTCCACACAAAAACTTGTACATGTATGTTCACAATGATAGCCAAAAAGTGGAAATAACCCAATTCCCATCAACTAAATCAATATACAAATATAATATATCCATACAATATTACTCAGCCATAAAAAGGAATGACATATTGATATGTGCTACATGAATGAACCTTGAAAACACTATGCTAAGTGAAAGAAGTCAGACACAAAAGGCCAAACATTATACGATGTTACATTATATGAAACAAATCTATGATAAGTGGTTGCCAGGAGCTAGGGGAGCAATGGGGAGTGACCGCTAATAGGTACAGGGCTTCTTTGGGGGTCGATAAAAGTGTCCTAGAAGTAGCTAGTGGTGACCACTGCACAACTTGTGAATATACTAAAAACCACTGAATACTTTTAAAGGGTAAGTCTGATGGCATATAAATTATATCTCAATTTTTAAAAATACTTTTTGCCCTACAATAAAAGTTGCGTAAGTTGGGACTTTACCAATGACTCTTCCCTTCTAACATGCACCAGTTTCTCCCCCTTCATCTGATATTCCTCTTCTTCTAATGTGTGTAATCCCGTTTCTTTCAAGAATACCAACTCTGGATGACCAATGAAGCCACATTAATATTCCACTTAACCCTATATACATTACTTTTACAGTAAATAAAATTTTCCTAACCCTGTTAAATTCATCAATACAATAAAAAGCAAGATTAAACTATCATAAAAAAGCCACTCCAACTATCATAATACTAAGAAAATGAGCCATTTAACCTTTGTGAAAGGTTGTGCTTGCTTAGCTGTGTAAGATAAATTTGAAAAATATTTGAGATTTGGGAATTCCATCTTAAAATATTAGTAATATTTCAAATCAAACATTCACCCCATATCTAATCAGTTATCTCAAATCCTTCTCGAAATACAGTAGGAAATAAATAATAAATGGCTATCAAATTACTTCTGAAACCGTCTAATTGATCAGTGGTTGTCAATTCTGCCTCTGAAAGCCCCACCTGAGTTCTACCTCATGAGTCCCTCCCTGTTCACACATCTGTCACAACCTTTATGGTGACCTGCCAATCATCAGGATTTCCTACTAGGCTACAAGTTTCTCCACCTCTGAAGCTTGTGGATTGGTTCCAGGGGATGTCTCTGCTAATTTAGCATTTTATTGTCACCACAAATCATAGCCCAATTAAGTAATCCCCACTTTATTCTTCCTGGTACAGCCTTAAGTGCAACTGCTGCCAGTCACCTGATAGCATCTTAATTCAGCCTCTTCATCAACTCATGTCTCAGCCTCACATCTTGCCTCACACTCCAGCCTCCACACAGATTTGTCTTTCTAAACCACAAAGCTGACATCACTGCCAGACTTCTGAAAAAAAAACATCTAATGTACCCGCTGTTCTCTTTCACACAGATCTTTGATTCTAGGGACTTTGAATTTCTCTTGTTCCTCAGTCCACAACATCACTGTAGCTTTGATCTCTTCCAGCTATGTCTAGCATGCCAGTCCTCACCTTATGAAACAAATTATCTCTCCCCAAGTTCTGTTAAGTTCCCCTTTAAAGAAAGTTGAGATATACTTACTGCAGTGAAGTCCATCTTCAATTGAATCACTTTAGTTAAATCAGGAAGTGCAGCTTTTGATTTGCCCATAGCTAAAAAGACAGTAGCCCTCCGATAATAAGCAATATAGTTATCAGGGTCACCATCTGAAAATTAAAATAATATTACCTCTTAGTCATTTATTCAAAAATAAAAATTTAAAAAAAAACAAATCACCTGGACAGTATCAGCACTTGCAACTCTACTAAGATGGACATTAAGAAAAGAATCTCATCATCAAAAAAGAGTCATGTTGCCTAGCAAGATCAGTGCAAATAGACCTAGAATAGGGGTCAGCAAAGTACAGCCCAAGCCACATCCGACCTACAGACTTCAATTAAGAATGTTTTT
Organism: Homo sapiens; assembly: GCF_000001405.40. Lineage (NCBI taxonomy): Eukaryota > Metazoa > Chordata > Mammalia > Primates > Hominidae > Homo > Homo sapiens. The sequence goes on along the minus strand of NC_000013.11, from coordinate 95,722,997 downwards.
TACATTTCTTAAAAGTTGCCCAAAAAAAAGAAAGAACAAAAGAAAAACATAAGACTGTGGCCGCAAAGCCGAAACTACTTGTCTAGCCCTTTAGAAAAAAAGTTCGCAAACCCCTGGTCTAGAATATTAACTATATTCAACTTATAACCTTTTTCGGCGGGGGGGGGGGGGGGGGGGGGGGGCGGACAAGGTGTCTGTCACCCAGGTTGGAGCGCAGTGGCATGATCATGGCCCTCTGCAGCCTTGACCTCCCACGCTCAAGCAATCCTGCCACCTCAGCCTTCTGAGAAGCTGGGACAACAGGCGTATTCGCCACCTCAGCCTTCTGAGAAGCTGAGACAACAGGCGTATTCCACCACGGCTGGCTAATTTTTTTTTTTTTTTAATTTTTTGTAGAGAGTCTCACCATGTTGCCTAAGCTGGTCTTGAACTCCTGGGCTCCAGCAATCCTCCTACCTCAGCTTCCCAAAGTGCTAGGATTACAGGCATGAGCCACTGCACCCAGCCTCAACTCATAACTTTTGTTAAGTATGCAATTCAGTTTGTCTCTATGGAGATTCTCCTAAGTGAAATACTAAGAATGTGGACTATGCACATTGGTGTCCAGGGTTTTAGAAATGTATAAACCTCTGACTAAATTGATATATTGAATGTATAATCTCTGCTCCCTCACAAACTCCAACTAGAATGGAGGTGAAGAAATAAAGGTACAAGGACAAAGGAGGAGAACAGAAATGAGAGTGAGACTAGAGAAAGGGGCTAGAGAAGTTAACATTTGTAAGGAAAGCAGACAGATGAATTAGGTTTCCGAGCTAATTTTACTCTGCTTATCAGCACCTACGAAGTACAGAAAAGAGTGGATTCAGTCAGAAGCAAATCTGCTGCAGAACAATCCTTCTAAAAAGCATTTGGAAATAGAAGCATATAAAGAATTCTAAAACTAACCTTGACAAAAGCCAGCCATCAATCTTTTAAAAATAAAAGATTTATCTACTCAGGTGTTCATCATCATAAGATATACAATTAAACTCCCTAAAAGTTCTACTCCTAAAGTTCTTGTCATTTGGAAAACATTACAATAGAAGAATCTATACGGCAGGACAGTCCATAATCATTCAAAATTATGGTTGTGAACAGTTGTTAATGGCATTGAAAATGCCAGGGGAAGGTGGGTCAGAAAAAGAGATTAGGCTATACAACCAAACATGAAAGAAGACATACAAATGGCCAAAGAGCACATGAAAAGATGCTCACCATCACAAGTTTTTAGGAAAATGCAAATCAAAACCACATTGATCTGCATGGGGGAACAAAAATACTAATAAAAACTAAAAAAGCAAAACCAAAAAAAAAAAAACACACACATTGAGATACCAATTCACACCCATTAGGATGGCTATTATGAAAAATAAAAAGATAAAATAACAAATGTTCGCAAGGTGTGGAGAAACTGGAACACCTGTGCGCTGTTGGTGGGATGTAAGATGGTATGGCACTGTGGAAAACCGTAAGATGATTTCTCAAAAAATTTAATGTAAAATTACAATGTGGGCCAGCAATTCTACTCCTGTGTATATACCCCAAAGAAATAAAAAGAAGGGTCAAATATGCATTCAAACACACATGTTCACAGCAGTATTATTCACAATAGTCCAAAGGCAGAAACAACCCCGAAGTCCATCAGTGGATGAATGGATAAACAAAAGGTGGGATATACCATACATACAGCAGGTTATTCATTCAGCCTTACAGAGAAATGAAACTCCTAGGCATGCTACAACATGGATGAACCTTAAAAACATTATGCTAAGTGAAATAAGCAAAGACACAAAAGGAAAATACTGTATGATTTCACTAATATGAGGTACCTAACATATTCAAATAATAGAGACAGAAGGTAGAATAGTGGTTGCCAGGGGCTGGTGTAAAGGGTTAGGAATAGGGCCCTAATGTTTAATGGATGCAGAGTTTCAGTTTGGGATAATGAAAAAGTTCTGGAAATGGATAGTGATGACTGCACAACAATGTGAACACAATGCCACTGAATTGTACACTTACAAATGGTTAAAATGGTAAATTTTCATACATTTTACCACAATAAAAAAGTAAAAACATGAACCAGTCAGAAAAAAAAAATGTATTTTTTAAAAAAGGAATTAGGTATTTTAACAACAAAAAAAAACCTTCTTTTTCTTAAATCTAAAAATAAAAATATATGATCCCAGCTAAGCGTCACTAACATTTCTTTACTAAATAACTTCCTTTAGGAGGCAAGGACAGGACAGCAAAATCAGTAGCCTGAATATAGGATATTTCTTACAAAATACTGTAATTAACTTGAGGAAAGAGTAGGAATCAGAGTAACTACATTTAGAACTTGCTTGATATACAGTATTTTTCAGTTCAGCTTATATTTTATTTGTAAGGTACAATAAATTAAAATTTTATGGGTCTGGTTTGTGAACTGGCCATAGAATGATTTCATACTTAAGAATTACTAACATTTAAGTGACGCACCAGACAGCAAAGGCAGTTCACTGCGTGTCAACAGTGGCTATCCAAGCAGAGAGATGGGGTTTCTTCTTTCTGTAGTCCATGTATTCCAAAATGTTTCACAATACATATGGATTACTTTCATATTCATTAGTTTTTTAAAAAATTTAAGTTATCCATGGCTTATTCACACTAAGCAAAGAATAATACTGGAAATACGATGATTTAAGGCCTAAAGTACACAACCCCATCAATTTCATATGTCCAAATCCTACTCAATCTTTGAGGCACAGCTCAAATGACTTATTTGACTATACATGGAAAAATAAACCTTTCCTTCTCTCAAATTCCATAACATTCTATAATACATATCCCTTACTGCACCTAACCCTAAGCACTGATTATTAATTATTTATACACATTTGGCCCTCTGTATCCATGGGTTCCACATCTGTAGATTCAACCACCCTCAGACTGAAAATATTTAGGAAAAAAAAAACTGTGTCTGTACTGAACATGTACAGACTTTTTTCATTATTCCCTAAAAAGTACAGTAAAACAACTATTTACACAGCATTTACATGGTATACGGTAAACTACATTAGATTTCTATTTGGAAAAACCTGACCATTCCAATCCATGAAGAAAAAATCTCCACAGAGGACTGTGTATAACTTTTGTATTAAGGATCCCATCATACACAAAAATTGTCTACATACAATATTTCTGGAGTGCTCACTAATTCTACTGTTCAGTTTTTAGGCATTTTAAGACAGGAAATGGAATTGGAACCCCAATTTATAACACCAAATCTACATAAATAAGGAATCTGTTGTACTATAAGATATATATTTGGTCTTCTTCCAGCTTCCTGACATATAGCTCCTACAACCCGTGGGATCTCTGGAGTGATTACTTTTTTGTATACTAACGAAACGGCTGGTAGCTGGGCACCAGCTGGGCACTAGATAGTTTCAGGATGGGAGCTGGTTGCCAGGGGAACCTACCAGGTGAAAAGGTTGGAACTTTGAGTACTCTGTACCCTCCTCGGGTTGTTGAAGGTTGAGTTGGTTACCAATAGCCAACGATATAATACATCATGCCTAAGTGATAAAGCCTCGGGTTGTTGAAGGTTGAGTTGGTTACCAACAGCCAATGATATAATACATCATGCCTAAGTGATAATGTGTACACAAAAACCTAAAAGGACAGGGTTTGGAAGAACTTCCATGCAGCCAAAAACATGGAGGCTCCTAGAGGGTGGTACACCCAGAGAGGGCAAAGAAGCGCCATATCCCTTCCCATATGCCTGGCCCTATGCATCTCTTCCATCTATTTGGTTGTTCGTCTGTATCCTTTGTAATATCACATAATAAACCAGTAAACGTAAGTGTTTCCCTGAGTTCTGTGAGCTGCTCTAGCAAATTAATTGAACCCAAGGAAGGGGTCATGGGAATCCTCATTTACAGCCAGTCAGTCAGAAGTACAGGTAAAACAACCAGGGCCTTATGAATGGCTTCTGAAGTCAGGAGTGGTCTTGTGGCACTGAGCTCTCAATCTGTGGGATCTTAGGCTACCTCCAGATAGACAGTGTCAGAACTGAACAGAATTAGAGGACATCCAGCTGCTGTCTGCTGAAGAATCTGTAGGATTACTTGGTGGAGAGAAATTCCCACACATTTTGGTGACCAGAGGTCACAGAAGAATTCTGCACGGGGAGAATATAATAGGAGAAACTGAATTTTTTTGTCCACTGAGAATCAAATGACAATAGTTTAACACATGAATCAAGAATCAATTTTCTGGCTAGGCACAGTGGCTCATGCCTGTAATACCAGCATTTTGGGAGGCCAAGGCGGGTGGATCACTTGAGGCCAGGAGTTCGAGACCAGCCTGGCCAACATGGTGAAACACCGTCTCTACTAAAAATACAAAAATTAGCCAGGCATGGTGGTGCACACCTATAATCCCAGCTACTCCAGAGGCTGAAGAGGAGAATCACTTGAACCCGAAAAGTGGAGGTTGCAGCGAGCTGAGATCATACCACTGCACTCCAGCATGGGTGACACTGCGAGACTCCGTCTCAATTTTCTTAGAGGCATGGGGTCACCTGCACAGTAAATCAAAATAGCCTTCCCTGGTTCTTCATCTTAAAATACCAACAGTTAATGGAACTAGAGTCCATTCCTACATCACTGTGCATGAAGTAGCAAGTGAAACAAGAATTGGTTTAGAAATGCATGCTTAGTTTTTACCAATACAAGACTGGATAACCTTGAAAATAAGTATTTTTCCTATTATCCATCCAATATATAATATTGTTCATTATGTAAATTATTTGCAAGTCTACATGTGGAAATATGGAAATACTATATTTCATTTTAAACCACATAATTCAAATCCTTATACTAGCTTATTAGAAACTTGAACATGGGAGATGGATTTAACCTCTACCCAGAATCCTAGAACTATCAAACAATTCAAATATGAGAAAATTAGCCAGAATAAAACAATACAACTACTATCTGGAGAAAACACATCAGAAAGCCAATTACAAATGATGTTGTAAATGGTGGTAGTGAGAGGCATAGGAAAAACACACTGGACTGGTGCGTTAGTCCGTTTTCATGCTGCTGATGAAGACATACCCAAGACTGGGTATTTTTTTAAAAAAAGAGGTTTAATGGACTGACAGTTCCACATGGCTGGGGAGGCCTCACAATCATGGCCGAAGGCGAAAGGCACATCTTACATGGCAGCAGACAAGAGAGAATGAGAGCCAAGCGAATTTATAAAATCTTCAGATCTCGTGAGACTTATTCACTACTGTGAGAACAGTATGGGGGGAACCATCCCCATGATTCAATTATCTCCCACCAGTTCCCTCCAACAACATGTGGGAATTATGGGAGCTACAATTCGAGATTTGGGTGGGGACACAGCCAAACCATATCATCTAGATACGGAAAATGTTTTACTCATTCTCTCAGCTCACCCAACTGAACTCCTTCATTCAACAATTTACTGAACTGACCAGACATTAAAATAGTAGCATAGCTCAGAATCTTTTGAACTGGAATATCACCTTCAGAAAGTTGCTAGAGCACTTTTTGTTTCCTTTTGTCTAAATGTAAACAGTAATGTTTGTCCTCATTTCAGAAGTGAGGTTGAAATGTGATGAGAAAGCACCATAACAAGTTTAAGTGATATAAAAATCTAGAAATGGATTTTGTTTTTGGATTCAGCAAAACTATGTAAGGGTTGTGCTAGTTTTCTTACCAAGCAAATGAAGAAATCGATCATTTCACACTGCCCACCATTTAATCTACCACTTAAGACATTTGTTCGTGCCAGATATACCTAAGACCCTCTGTAAAGTCTATTAAATTTAGGGTTTCAGATCCCAGGATTCATTATCCCCATAGTTCTCTTCTGATAAACGCACATCTCTTAAGAGTTTCAAAAGGTCACAACACCCCATCACCACCTACTGCATAATCCTATTGATATGGGAGGGGGGCAGGGAAGTGCTGGGTAGAGAGGGGTGGGGTCCCAGGTAGGGCTGCACCCTTGGGCCTGTGCCCACGGACCTAAGTGAGAACAGGCACTCCTGTTTTCATGCCCAAATGTTGCATTTTCCGAGATCACTCTGGCCAGCCACGCACCCCATACTGTGCCCATATAAATCAGAGACCTTAAGCAGACACAGATACAAATGGCTGGATGTCTAGAGGAGAAGAAGAGCATACCAGCAGACACTGGCAGAGCAGCGATGGCAGAACGACGTGGATGCTGAGGGGAGTTCAGCCAGGAGTGGCCATAGAAGAGTCTGGCCGCTGGGCAGCCCGACTCCAGAGGAAGACCACCTTACCACTCCATCCCCCACTTCCGGCTCCCTATCCATCTCGCTGAGAGCCACCTCCACCACTCAATAAACCTTGCACTCAACCTTCCAGCCCATGTATATGATCTGATTCTTCCAGTACAACCGAGCAAGAACTCAGGCTGTCACACTGGCCCCGTCCTTGCAATAAGGGAGAGGGTCTACTGAGCTGACTAACACAAGCCGTCTGCAGATGGCGTAGCTGAAGCAGCACACTGTAACACACACCCACTTGGGCTTCAGGAGTCCTAGACATTGCCGTGGGGCCGGAGCCCAAAAGCACTCCCCACGGCCTCTGCACCTGCCCATCTGCATGCTCCCAGTAAGGGTCTGAGCAGTGGGGCCCCGAAGACAGAAGCCACAACCCTGTTGCACGCCCTGCAAGGGAGATATGAAAACCCTCCCATTTCACTATGATAGAAAATTTAAACTTTATTTTCTGGGGATTTTTTGTTTTTGTTTTTTTGAGGCAGAGTCTCACTCTCGCCCAGGCTGGAGTACAATGGCATGATCTCAACTCACTGCAACCTCCACCTCCCAGGTTCAAGCAATTCTCGTGCCTCAGCTTCCCAAGTAGCTGGGATTACAGGCACCTGCCACCACGCCCGGTTAACTTTTTGTATTTTTAGTAGAGAGGAGGTTTCACCATGTTGGCCAGGCTGGTCTCGAACTCCTGACCTCAGGTGATCCGCCCACCTTAGCCTCCCAAAGTGCTGGGATTACAGGCATGAGCCACCACGCCCAGCCTTAAACTTTATTTTCTATAGTTTGTTATGAACAATGTGTTCTACATGAACTAAAATGATAAATGGTCTTCCTAGAAATCATGATGTGTGGCTGGGCGCAGTGGCTCATGCCTGTAATCCCAACATTTTTGGAGGCCAAGGGGGGGTGGATCATCAGGTCAAGAGATCGAGACCATCCTCGCCAACATGGTGAAACCCCGTCTCTACTAAAAATACAAAAATTAGCTGGGCATGGTGGCGCATGCCTATACTCCTAGCTGCTCGGGCTGCTCAGGAGGCCAAGGCAGAATCGCTTGAACCCAGGAGGCAGAGGTTGCAGTGAGCCGAGATCACGCCACCACACTCCAGCCTGGTGACAGAGCGAGACTCCGTCTCAAAAAAAAAAAAAAAAAGAAAAAGAAACTATGATGTGTATCCCATTTGAGAGTCACTGCTACTTGCCAGATCACATTGAACAAAATGACACTTTATTTTGGAGACAGGGTTTCACTCTGTTGTCCAGGCCAGAGCACACTGGCACCATCAGCTCACTGCCTCCTCAAACTCCTGGGCTCAGGCAATCCTTCCACCTCAGCCTCCCAAGTAGCTAGGACTACAGGTGGGCACTGCCATGCCTGGCTAATTTTGTTTTTATTTTACTTTTGTAGAGACGAGCTCTTGCTATGTTGCCCAGGTTGGTCTCAAACTCCTGGCCTCAAACAATCCTCCTGCCTCAGCCTTCGAAAGTGCTCAAAGTGCTAGAATTACAGTTGTAAGCCACCACACTGCCTGTTATTCAGATTCAGAATGCACTAGCAATTATTTACATTCTCCCTTTACTAAATCACACCAATAAATTGCCATGTTTCAGCATCACTGATTTACACCTCTTGGTGAACACAGTAACATTTTACTGGGAATTTTGGGAAAGAGCTGTCTCAAAAAGTCTTGTATTGCAGTGATAAAGCTAAAAAAAAAAGGAGCAGTCATTTAAACCGACTTTAATTATATGCCATAGCCCTTGATGTTTCTAATAAATGTGAGACTAAGAAAACAAACAATAAAGTATAAAATAGGTAGAAGGTATATACATTTCTGCAAACATTCTAATGGTAGTAGGTAAGAATAAATACTTTAAGACACACTTTTTCTAAGACAGTAACTGAAAAGAATTTAAATTGCCATGCTGAAGCACTGAAGACAGTTTGAATCACCAGAAAAATAGTGGACTTAGTAACGATGTGGTCACACAGTAAACAGCCCTTAATGAAAAATCTTGTGCAAATTATTGTGCAAAGTAACCACTATTTCTTAAGGTGAGTTAGTCATCGAAATGCAAACTTCCCAACAGAAATGTCACATAGTTAAGAAACCCCTGTTATTATAGCAAACCTGTTTTTAGAAAAGCCTTAATTTTCAGAGACACAAAAATTATATTTCTACATTCTTTACATATCCTACTGCACCTTTTTTTTTTTTTTTTTAAGAAAAAAAGCAAGACAGAGAAGGAGACAGACAGAGTCTCACTCCATTGCCCAGGCTGGAGTGTGGTGACACAATCATAGCTCACTGCACCTGAGCTCAAGCAGTCCTCCCGCCTCAGCCTCCTGAGTGATTATATACTATTTTCAAAGAAATATTTATATTCATTATTACCATCTGATCTTCACAAAAATTCCCATGGGTGACACAGCAAAAACTGCTGGGAACTTGCAGGTAACTTTTTAAAGTGTGCATTTTCTTACATAACTGGACCAATGTCACAGGATTACCCAGTGGCAACGCCAAGATTAAAATGTTTCCCTTTTCAAGGTAATCCACAAAGCCATATTTTTCTAATACCTTCATAGAGTACATACGATAGAAGTTCTCCGTATATTTATACAGCAGGCTACTGCAATGCAACTATTTATGTTTCACCTGACATCCCAACAGGTACCAGCTACCCCTACATTCCAAGGTGAGATTTCTAGGGCCACTTGGAAAAGTTTGTAAGTGTCCTCTTTGCAGGACAGAGTAGACTGACTGGGGTATCTGACTCATCCCTGAAAACTCTAAATGGCAAGAGACTAGCAGGCTCTCTGCTCTCATAAGAAGGAAGAAGGGGTTGCTATTTGGACTGTCCTCTGTCTACAGACATGGTCAAGGCAAAGAATACATGTATGCTTCTCACAGACCAAAGAGAGCTGGCTTGGGTTGTCTTAAATCTCGTCCACAAGGCAACTCATGAAGAAGTCCTTTGCATTTCCATAAGACATTTTAGAATCAGCGAGTCAATTTCAATGAAATAAAGTGCTAGAATTTGATTAGATTTCATTGAATCTGTAGACCAATTTGGGGGCCACTTGACAACTTTACAATATTGAATCTTCCTATTCATGAACATGGTATATCTCTTCATTTAAGTCTTTCTTAAGTTTCTTATAACTATTTTTGTGGTTTTCAGCAAAGTGTTCTTGCACATCTTTCATTAGATTTCTTCTTAGGTGTTTTTTATATTTGTTTATTGCTAATATAGAGAGACTCTGTTGCTACAAAAGTATGTTGAATTTGTTATCTAGTGAGTGGCCTTGCTAAATTCATTTCAGTTATGATAGTCTGCAGATTATTTGTGTATCAAGTCCTCTGTGAATGACAGTTTTATTTCTTCCTTTCTCAATCTTTATGCCCTATTTCTTGCCAAATTACAGGGGCTGGGCAATTGTATTAGTTCGTTCTCACACTGCTAATAAAGACATACCGGAGACTGGGTAATTTATAAAGGAAAGAGGCTTAATTGACTCACAGTTCGGCATGAGTAAATTTCCCTCAGGAAATTTACAATCATGGCAGAAGGGGCAGCAGACACATCCTCTTCACATGATGGCAGGAAGGGGAAGTGCAGAGCAAAAGGGGGAAAAGTCCCTTATAAAACCATCAGATCTTATGAGAACTCATTCACTTTCATGAGAACAGCATGGGGGTAACCACCCCCATGATTAAATTAACTCCCACTGGGTCCCTCCCATGACAAAAATAAGTAAAACTGTATTTTCCCCCGTGATTAAATTACTTCCCACTGGGTCCTTTCCATGACAAAATAAGCAAAACTGTAATTTCCCAATAACATAATCTTGTATATGGAAAATCCTAAAGAATCAACACCAACACAAAAATTATTAGAGCTAATGAACACGTTCAGCAAGGTTGCAAGACAGAAAATTGGTATACAAATTGCACTGGCTAGGCCAGGCACGGTGGCTCATGTCTGTAATCCCAGCTCTTTGGGAGGCGGGTGGATGACTTGAGGTCAGGAAGTTCAAGACCAGCCTGGCAAACATGGTGAAACCCCATCTCTACTAAAAATACAAAAATTAGCTGGACGTGGTGGTGCATGACTGTAACCCCCGCTACTTGGGAGGCTGAGGCAGGAGAATCGCCTAAACCTGGGAGACGGAGGTTGCAGTAAGCTGAGATTGCACTACTACACTCCAGCTTCCTGGGTGACACAGCGAGACTCTGCCTCAAAAAAAAAAAAAAAAAGAAAAAAGCATTGGCTAGGACCTCTAGCAGAATGTTGATTACAAGTAGTAATAGTGGGTATCCTTGTCTCGTTCTCAATCTCAGTGGTGGTGAGGTGTGGGGAGAGCTATCAATATTCACCATAAAGTATGATGGTAGCTATAGGATTCTTGGTGTACTCACCAATACAGATTCCCAAACTGTTTAAAAGGTGCTTTTTCTTTCAGAAATGGTGTTAAATATTTATCAAATATTTCTTCTGCACCTTTGAAATAATATTTTTCTCCTGTAGTCTTTTAATGTGATGACTAATACTGACTTTTGAATGCCAAACCAAATTTACATCCTTATAATAGAAACCAGTGGTGTGTGTATGTGTTTGTGTGTACAAACATAATATGTGGACTTCTTTAAACTTTAGATTCATTTGCTATTATGTTTTTCAGAATTTTTGTAGTTATGTTCATGAGACTTTCCTATAATATTTTTATTGTAATGTTCTTACACTTGGAAGAATGTGTATTCTGTAGCTGTGTCCAAGTGTTATGTGTATTTCAATTGGGTCGTTAACATCTTTACTGTTATTTTTGTCTGTTTTCCTATATATTATTGAAAGACGCTAAAGCCTTCCACTGTAATTATAAATTTGTTATTTCTCCTTTTAGTTCTGTCAATTTTTGTTTTATGTATTTAGAGGCTATGTTATTAGGCTTATACCCATTTAAAATTGATATTTTTTCTGGTAGAGTGAATCCTTTATTTGCGTGGAATGGCTTTCTCTACTACTCACAAAGGTATCTTTTTTTCCACTTTTCCCCTCATTTTTCAACTTTTGTATGTTCTTATAATTATGCCATGTCTCTTGAGTAGAGTTTTTGTTTTCTGTTTTTTTAATTTTGAGATGGAGTCTCACTCTGCCACCCAGGCTAGAGTGCAATGGTGCGATCTTGGCTCACTGCAACCTCCGGGCCCCTGGGTCTAAGTGATTCTCCAGTCTTGGCTTCCCAAGTAGCTAGGATTATAGGTGGCCACCACCACGCTTGGCTAATTTTTATATTTTTAGTAGAGACAAGTTTCACCATGTTGTCCGGGCTGGTCCCAAACTCCTGACCTCAAGTGATCCACCACCTCAGCCTCTCAAAGTTCTGGGATTACAGGCGTGGGCCACCATGCCCAGCCTTGAATAGAGTTTTTTCATCAAAAAAATATGTTTCCTATGAGTTCAGAGAGCTAATAAAAATCTGAGTTTAATAAAAATCTGAATAATAAAAATCTGAGTTTAAGAAAAAGCATAAAGAAAAGTATGACAAACCAAAACCTAACTACATTGAGTTTATATAGTAAATTACAACAATAGGATGATAGTTTTTCTGGGAGCACAGCTGTATCTTATTAAAAAACACACCAGCTGGGCACGGTAGCTCACACCTATAATCCCAGCACTTTGGGAGGCTGAGGCAGGCAGATGGCTTGAGAACAAGAGTTTGAGACAGGCTGGGCAAAATGGTGAAACCCAGTTTCTATTAAAAAAAAATACAAAAATTAGCTGGGCATGATGGCATGCAGCTGTAGTCCTAGCTACTCAGGAGGCTGAGGTGGGAGGATCACCTGAGCCCAGGAGGCAGAGGTTGCAGTGAGCCAAGATCACGTGACTGCACTCCAGCCTGGATGACAGAGCAAGATCCTGTCTCAAAAACAAAAACAAAAACAAAAACAAAACAAAACAAAACAAAACACCACCCTCGGTTGTTAACTACACACTCTCAACCATTCAAATCAAGGTAAAAATATATAAGTAAAGAACTCTGAGGAAAGTTCAAAAAGTCCCAGTACAAAAGTTTAGCAGTGACTCATAAGGAAATCCATGCCAGATGTGGTGGCTCATGCATACAATCTCAACACTCTAGGAGGCCAAGGCAGGAGGACTGCTTGAGCCCACGAGTTTCAGACCAGCCTGGACAACATAGTGAGACCCCATCTCTACAAAAATATAAAAAATAAAAGTTGTAAAAAGTAGTTGGATATAGTGGCACACACCTATAATCCCAGCTATTCAGGAGGCTGAGGCTGCAGTAAGCCATAATCACCATAATCACACCAATGCACTCCAGCCTGGGTGACAGAGCAAGGCTCTGTCTCAAAAAAGCAAAAAAAAAAAAAAAGAAAAGAAAAGGAGAGAAAATCCATTAAGCCTTCACTAAGAACCTATTTATTCTGGTCATCTCACTTCTTACAGTCCTAACAGATGAGCAGCTGCACGACAGTTGATTCTACAGACAGACATGAGTAAGAAATAAGAAGCAACAGTATAAATGAAGAGCAGCTGGGGTCTGACCAATACTGAAGAGGCAATGAACTGCAGCATCTCCCAAGGATATCAAGTGAACATATTGAAAACCCAAGTCATCAAGAAAATTAAACTGCATTCAGTAAAATCTGTTCAAAAAGTCAGAAGCTGGCCGGGCGCAGTGGCTCACGCCTGTAATCCCAGCACTTTGGGAGGCCGAGGCGGGCGGATCACGAGGTCAGGAGATGGAGACCATCCTGGCTAATATGGTGAAACCCCGTCTCTACTAAAAATACAAAAAATTAGCCGGGAGTGGTGGTGGGCGCGTGTAGTCCCAGCTACTCGGGAGGCTGAGGCAGGAGAATGGTATGAACCCGGGAGGCAGAGCTTTCAGTGAGCCAAGATCGTGCCACTGCACTCCAGCCTGGGCGACAGCGACAGAGCGAGACTCCGTCTCAAAAAAAAAAAAAAAAAAAAAAAGTCAGAAGCCAAATAATACACTGAGAAAAGCTGTTTGTCAGAAATATCTTGAGTTATCCTTGGTAGTAGCAGGCCTCACTAACCTTCAAACTTCTCTCATGTTAGATGCACATACATTTAAGTGTTATATATTTATTTTATCCATCTATTTCGCTCAGAATCCCACAAATATATTTAAATGTTTTATTTAAACATGAAATAATGTTTATTTTAAATGTTATTTTTAAAAAAAGAGCTATTACTAGAATTCACTAAGACAGACACTGAGTGATTTGGTTCCATGATACAAACCTACGGCAGCATGAAACTGAGATAAAGCATCAGCTAGCTGTCCAGCTGCAAGTAATTTCTTGCCCAATTCAAGATGTTTCTCAACATCTGCATTTACTCCACATTCAGCACCTAAAAATAAAATTAAAAACAATCAGTTAACTTTCCACGAACTAAGATTTAATTCTAAAAAATATAATATTAAAAATAGTTATCTGTCTCAGTCATCTACTCAGATGAGAAAAGTCACAGAAGCTGAAAAATGATGTAAAGAACGTAACATAAAATACAAACCCTATTTCATTATATGGAGCACAAGACAAAAAATGTACCCATCTTGACCTAATCAGTCAAAAGAATGTAACCAGTCCAGAAAATAAAGGGAAGTTGTGTAATGCAGAAGTAGTAAAAATATTTTGAATAATAAAATGAAAATTGTTTGAAGGTAGAATCTCACCTTTAATGAACATCATAGAGACTGTTACAATATTTAAGTATTTATTAAGCACCTATAATGCACTAGGCACTATTTTAGGTATCTGCAATAAGTGAGCAACATTAAAAAACTCCTGCCCCTCATACCGTCCTGGCGCCTGATGTTATCGTGGGAGGAGACAGACATGATAAATAAGTAAATTATATAGTATGTTGGGTGAAAAGTACTGTGGAAAAAGTCAAGCCATGTGAAGAGGTAAGGAGTTCAGGGGACTTAGAGTAGCAAATAAGCGCGTAAAGGGCAGGCCTTCTTGAGAAACTGACATCTGAGCAAGACTTGAAAAAAATGAGGAACTCACCATGCAGACAGCTAGGAAAATAGCTTCCAGGAAGAGGGACCAGCAAGGGTCCTAAGTCGGGAGCATGCAGATATGTTCCAGAAACAGGAGAAAGGCCTGGATGGCTGCAGCAGAGCCAAGAGGAAGATAGTAGTATGAGGTCAAAGAAGTAGAGGACCTGTCTACAGCTTTGAATATTTACTTGTCTTAAAACAGGGAACTACTGTGGAATCAATAACATGATCTGATGGACTAGGCCAATTATCAATATGTTGCCTCTCCGCTCTGAATTCATCCTTCGGTACCTGCACTGCAATAAAGGCCTGGAGTTTGCAGGCATTTCCTCTTTACAGTGAGTACAATGTTATGCTTTGTCAGTACAGGGCACTGAAGCAACACTGCAGAAAGGACACTTCCTAGTTCTGCTTGGTGCATTTTACTGTCTTCTGGCTCCTGCTGCATGGTCTGTCATGGGGTGGACTTCCTGCTGCATGGTATGGATGAGGAGGACATCCAGGGGTACTTAGCCACAGCTTATGCCCAGGGGTCCAGTTCCTCAGTGATCTGGCAACCTCAGCCCACACACTCCAGATTTCACACCCACAGAAGCACCTGGACTCCCTTCGTAGACAGGCTAACCAGCCTTCGCTCACCTATACATGAAAGGATTGTTTCCTGCTTGCCCAATTACTATGGACCAGCCACACAGCAATCTTCTCCACCAGCAAACCTGGGCTACAGCTATACCTTCTCCAATAAGCTCTAAACCCCAGCCTGGTAGAGGGGACCCCTCTTGCAAGTTGGTCCTTCCTTGAGGCTCTTAGTCCTAGAATATCCGTTAGAGTTCTCTTTACATCTTTAGTTACTCTCCTATCACAACTTAACAGTTCTTAGATTAAACTTCCCCTTTCTAAGTAACTACATGATTTCGGTCTCTCCTCAACGGACCATGAGTGACACACAATTGGTATTGGGAGCAGTCCTAGGAGACAGGCCCACAGAGATGCAATTCGAGGACTGGTTTGGTCATGGCCTTGGGCTTCAGTGCAGTGCTAAGTTCCTCGCCAATGGGAGATGAAATGCTAGTAATCCACAGTAGGTATTGGAGTCACAATTAACTAAGCTATCACTTTGGTTGACTGTAATGAAGTACTGAGGGACATGTCTTAGAAGCCCAAGTGGCTGCTGCAACTGACCATAATGGCAGAAATTATGAAAATAAGGACTTTGATGTGGGGTGGGTTCTTTTGAGAGCACTAGAGCAGGGTCCCCAAGCCCCCAGCCACGGACCAGTACCAGTCCATGGCCTGTTAGGAACTGGGCCACACAGCAGGAAGTGATCGGCAAGCCAGAGAGCATTACCACCTGAGCTCTGCTTCCTGTCAGATCAGTGGAGGCATTAGATTCTCACAGGAGCACAAACCCTATCATCAATTGCGCATGCAAGGGGTCTAGGTTGTGCATTCCTTATGAGAATCTAACTAAAGCCTGATGATCTGAAGTGGAACAGATTCATCCCGAAACTATCCTCCCCCTACCCAACCCAGTCCATGGAAAAACTGTCTTCCACAAAACCAATCCCTGGTGCCAAAAAGGTTGGGGACTGCTGCACTGGGGCACCTACAGGGAGAAAATAACCAGCTCAGATCCAACTTTCAGATCAAGTCATGGTCTTAGAGCTGATTTAGCTGAAAATCAAATATAAAATTTAATTTAATTATGAGGGTTGCTGAATTAAAACAATAGCTGAATTCATGGTCTCACCAAGTTTCTCCTGTGAAAGGGGACAGATTAGTAAAGAATGGAATCCTTAAATTTGGAATGGGAATATTTATTTGGACCCAAATGAAACTGACCAACTTGAACCCCCAAGTCCGTCTGAGTCTCCCTTACCAGAAGTAGTTTTCCCCCCTTGTCTGAGGAGATGACTCTTCCACTGCTTAAAAACCTGAGGACAGCTTTACCCATGGTGGATGCCTTAAAAGAGGATGTTCAGTCCTCCTCAAGACACACCCTAACCACTGCCATTGTCACTAACCCATGTCAAATTTTGACAGGCTCCAGAAGAACAGGTATATACTATGACCCAAAGGAAGTAGCTGAACACACTAAAAGATCTGCTGATAAACTAGCACAATCCCACAGAACATGTATGGCAATGGATTCTAAAGGTGCTAGACCAGGAGGGTGAAATATAACACTACATTGGCTCTAATTCATTTATATGTATATACTTATAAAGCAGAGGTCAACAAACCGTTTTTTGTAACTAAAGTTTTACTAGAATGGGGCCATGCCCATTAATGGATGGGCCATATTGTCTATGGCTGCTTTCACACTATAGCAGCAGAACAGAGTTGTTGTGACAAAACCCATATGGCCTCTAAAACCTAAAATATTTACTATCTGACCCTTTACAGAAAAGGTTTGACTACTTCTGTACTAGAGATCCCACATTTAATGTGTTAACTCACAAAACTGGAAGTGGCTTTAACAGCTTACTTGATTGGCTGACTGAAACTTGAAGTTTAATTTAATTAAGCATTAATTATATTAATTTAACATTTAATAAGGCTGAGGTTCCAAAGTTTCCCTAGCATAATAAGAGAGAGGGATCCAAAGGTTTAGAGAGATAGGAAGGTTGGACTGGATTTATCATGTGTTACCTACACACCAAATTGCCACTTATGTCCATGAGAGGGCCTAGAAAACACTCCTTTTACTAAGACATTTAGAAACCTATTAGTGGCCAGGCACAGTAGCTCAAGTCTGTAATCCCAACACTTTGTGAGGCCAAGGCAGGAGAACTGCTTGAGGCCAGGAGTTCAAGAGCAGCCCGGGCAACATAATGAGACCTCATCTCTAAAAAATATAAAATAATTAGCCAGGCATGGTGGCACACACCTGGAATCCCAGCTATTTAATACTTGGGGGGCTGAGGCAGGAGGAAGGATCCTTTGAGCCCAGGAGTTCAAGTCTGCAGTGAGCTATGATCGTGCCACTATACTCCAGTCTAGGAGACAGAGCAAACCTTGTCTCTGAAACAAAATTAAAAAAAAAAAAAAGAGAGAGAGAGAGAGGGAGAAATGTATTAGTGAGGGACCACCTAACAAGGTTTTCAAAATTCTTGTCACTCCCCTTTGTAGGACAGGTATGACTACAGGAGGAAGTCAATATTGAGATAAGTTGAATTCAGTGCGGATGATGGGATTTTAGAGTTGCACAGAAACTTAAGCAGCAGCACTGAACCATGAGAGACTAGGTGGGCACATCAATGCAGAGGCTCTTAATAATCAGGTAGATAAAATGACATACTCTATGGGTGGCACTCAACCTCCTTCTCCATCATATCTAAGCTTGTGCAATGGACCCATGAACAAAGTGGCCATGGTGGCAGGGATGGAGATTATGAATGGGTTCAAAAACACAGATTAGGCCAGGTGCGGTGGCTCATGCCTGTAATCCCAGCACTTTGGGAGGCCTAGGCGGACAGATCACCTGAGGTCAGGAATTCAAGACTAGCCTGGCCAACGTGGCAAAACCCCATCTCTACTAAAAATACAGAGATTAGCTGGATGTGGTGGTGCATGCCTGTAATCCCAGCTACTGGGGAGGCTGAGGCATGAGAATCACTTGAACCCACGAGGTGGAGGTTGCGGTGAGCTGAGATCATGCCACTGCACTCCAGCCTGGGCGACACTGCGAGACTCTGTCTCAAAAAAAAAAAAAAAAAACACACACACACAGATTAGTCCTTTCTAAAACTGAAAAAACTGATCTGGCTAAAGCTACTGCAGAGCATCTGATCTGCCAATGCTGGAGACCAACACTGAATTCCCAGTATGGCACCATGGGTGGGAAAGAGACAGCTGGCCACCTAGTGGCAGATTGATTTTATTTGGTTCTCTTCCATAATGGATCCGTTTCTCATATTCCAGATATGAATTTGCCTGCAATGCTTCTGCCAACTCCACCATTCATAGACTCACAGAATGTATTACCTATCATTACAGCATTCTATACAGCACTGTATCTCCTTAAGGAATTCACTTCATAGCAAAAGAGGTGGACAATGTGCTCATGACACTAAGATTAACTGGTTTTACCATTACTCCATCACATAGAATGGCTTACTGAAGACTTCAGCAGCAGCACTAGTTAGGAGACAAAAACCTGAAAGGATGGGGCTCTGTTTTACAAGCTGCAGTTTATTATTTCAATCACAGACCATTATATGATGCTATCTTGCCCACAGCCAGAATATGTCAGTCCAGGAATCAAAAAGTAGAAGCAGGCATGGCTCCTCTCATTATTATACCCACATAAGCCACTTGCAAAATTTCTGTTTCTAGTCCTGGCAACTTTGAGCTCTGATGGTTTGGAGATCTTAGTCCTTAAAGGAGAAATGCTTCCAAAGGGGACACAACAATGTTTCCGATTAATTGGAAGATGAGACTCCCATATGGCCATTTTGTACTTCTTATGTCACTGAAACCAACAAGCCAAAAACATTGGTTAATCTACTAGTTGGAAAAATGAATCCGAATTACCAAGGGCAAACAAGTGTGCTATTTTGCAATGGAGGCAAAGTAGGGTAAGTGGAACCCAGAAGATTGCCTAGGGCATGTCATACTACTTCCATGCTCAATACAAGGTTAATGAAACGTTACAGCAACCAAAAAACAGAGCAAATAAGACACAGTCCCTTCAAGAAGGAAAGTTTATGAGTCACTCAATCAGGTTAAAAAAAAAAAAAGCCAGAGTAACTGAAATTCTGGCAGAAGGCAAGAGAGCTATAGAACAGGGAGTAGATGAAGGAAGCCACATATTTCAGCTACCACCTCAGACCAGTTACAGACACAAGCTATGCAGTAGCTTTGCATATTTTCTCTTTGATTATATACATGTTTATTTGTATATACAGTCAATCTTCATAATTTAGATTCTGTATTTGTGAATTTGCCTATGCACTAAAATTCATTCGTAATCCCCAAACTCATATTCACAGCATTTTCAGTCATTCAAGAACACATGCATGTTCAGGGTAGCAAAATACTGAAATCACTCCAAGCATATGTTCCAGCTGAGGCTGAACAAGGTAACACTCCATCTTCCTGTGTCAGCTTTCATAGTATAAACAATTGTCCTTTCCACTGTGCATTTGGTGCCACTTTTTTGTGTATGCTTCCTGTCACTGATTTCACCACTTTGAGTGACTCCCAAGCATAGTACTGAAGTACTGTCAGGTGTTCCTATGCTCATGAAAGCTGGGCTGTACCTTACTGAAAAAATCGTGTTTTAGTTAAGCTTTCTTCAAATATGAAAGACACTGCCATTAGCTGTAAGTTCAATGTTAATAGATCAACCATACATAGTAAGGTGTCTTTAAACAGAAACACACAGAAAACAAGGTTATGTCTTGATCTGTTGACATAAGTTGTGATTTGAGGCTTGCAGAAACTTAACCCTGTATTTCCCCTAAGAGAAATGGTTCAATATTTGCTAATGCAGTGTTCACGATGACTTTACAGAACATAACCACCATGAATAACAAGAATTGACTGTACTAACCATATTTTTCTCCCTAATTCCCAATTTTATTTTATACACAAATTACTGAAGTTAACTTTACAATTTAGTCTTTATATAACTGAATATTGAGTGGGATGGTGATGGAGTAAGAGTAGTAATTTATGTAGCCAGTGATGGATACGTGACTGATGGAACCAGGAGTCTTCTCCATTAGGGTATGGGTAAGAATTTCTTCCCTGCAAGGATAGCTGTATCTTCTTAGAAAATTGTCTCAGTTCTTCTATTCAGGCTGCTATAACAAAAATACCATAAACTGGATGGCTTATAAACAACATTTATTTCTCATAGTTCTAGAGGCTAGCAAGTCCAAGATCAAGGTGTCAGCAGATTCAGTGTCTGATGAGGGCCTAATAGACTGCACTTTCTTGTTGAGTCCCTATGTGGTGAAAGGGGAAAACAAGCTCCTTCAGGCCTCTTTCATATGGCCACTAATCCCAGTCATGAGGGCATCATCTAATCACCTTCTCCTTAAGGCCCTGCCTCTTAATACTGTCACATCAGATTAGGTTTCAACATATGAATTGGGGGCATGAGGGGAACACAAATATTCAGACCATAGCAAAAATAAAGTTGCTTTGTTGTACTGGTATTCAAATATGTGCACAAAGGCACGTACGGAAACTAAGTAGCCAACGCATTTCTCCTTTATGGTGAGCATGATGCTAAGCTCTTTGGGGTGCTGAAGGACATTACAGAAGAAAATCAAAATAATGGTTGCTTGGGAGGGTAAGAGAAAAGACAGACTGGGAAGAGGCAGGAGGGAACTGCTGGTAATGTTCTCATCATGCTTAGAGGTGTGGGTTACACAGTTATATGTGATTATCAAAACTCAGCAAATACACACTTAAAATATGGACGTTTCATTATACATTAATTTTACATGCAAACAAAAGTTGGTTATATGCCTGTTAAAGTATTTAGGGCCATGTATACTGGTGTTATCTTGAAATGTATTTTTTTAAAGGATTAATGGTTGGATACAGAAATGTCCAGATGCATATGTGTTAAAACAAATGTATTAAAATATTAGTGGTAGAATCTAGATGATGGGTATAGGGATGAACACTGTAAAATTCTTTCAACTTTGCGATATGTTTAATAATAAAATGTTGGGAATACATACACTATAGTGTTATAATGGGGGAATGTACACAGGGTACTGTGAGGGCACAAGTTAAAGCACCTAACACAGTTAAAATTAAATAAAATTTAAACTTGTTTCACAGTCACACTAGTAACAGTTTAAGTGCTCAATAACTAGTGGCTGGTATAGGAGAGAAAAAATAATTTTTTATCTTCATAAACTGGGACTCCCTGTAACAAAAGACAGATTAACAAGAGTTGTTTCATATGTATACCTCAAACATACATGCGAGAAAATTCAAGAGAACCGAGTAAATCTCCAGAGTAGATTTCAATGAGAGTTTAAACTTCAGCGGAATACCATCATTTGCTAAAATAAAGGAAGTGGAGGGTGATGGGGAAATCTGTTACAGGGGGATGGCCAGGAAAAAACTGAAAACAAGAGTAAGATTTGTTGTGCAGTTTTTAAGTCAATGCCTTTTCCATTTAGCGGCCCCTCTCCTCCTACTGCAGAGCAGGGAAAAAGATTTCCCTCATAGATGTAAATTTCTCTGACAAAAGGGCAACTTTTCAGAGCTATTCTTGTGTCTACAGTTTCTCAAAATAACCAACTCTAAATAACCAATATGACAAAGAGACATATTTTGCAGTAGCATATTGTGGGCTCCTGAAGTCATATTTTGGGGTAGCGTGACCTAAGCTCCAACACCACTGCATGGGACAATGCAAATGATACCAAATATCTCCCATCATCGCGGAAAGTTCCACTGGACAGCCCTCGGGGGATTCCCCTGAAGGCTCACCTGAAACCTGAAGGAAAAGTAGGAAGGATGCTACCTTTGTCGAAAAGGCTGGAATAGGGAAACTGACCATCCAAAAACAAAGGACATGACATTTAAATGCCTAGATGTCACATGATTAATGAGGCTTTAAAAAAAATGTCTAGTATTTCAGCTAGCTCTCCTTGCCATCATGACATAATTATTCTGGAGCGGAACACTTTAAGTGCTAGGTGACTCTAATAAACATCCAGAGAGGAAGAAGGAAACCAATTCAGTATCTACATGATAATCCAGGCAACATGATGATGACATGACCATGGAGTAGCAGCAGTGAACACAGAAAAAATAAGAGAGAAAAAAGACACACATGACTTATATCAACAGGCTAGATATGGAGGTCAAGTACAGAAAAAGCAGGAGTCCAGGATACCCAAAGCAACTTACTGAGCAACTACCTGCCATTTTAGTCACCAAAAGCACTGAACTCCTTATTTCATCTAATACAGCAAAAAGCTGATTGGAATTCACTTTACCTTGCTCTTTCTCCTTCTAAACACAGTAGCTTTCTCAGCTACTCTGTAGTTTCTCCATAGTGTCTTATTAGGTTGGCACAAAAGTAACTGAATACCTTGGTTGCCTGTTGGACCTCTTGGTATAAGGAATGGAAAGAAAGGAAGAGAGATTTTGGGGCTCAGAACATACCCTCCCAAAAAATGACTGCAGGAGACCAGAATATGCCATCCCAAAACATATTTTTTGGCATATTACTTGAAGCTGGTTAGTTCGAGAAACTACAGACATTAAAAACAGTTCTGAAAACCTCTTTTATGAAAATAATTTATATATAAAGAAAATTTTCATAAGTAAAGGTGCCTGGTAGGTGAGCTCAGTGATGCAGACCTGTAATCCCAGCTATTCAGGTTGCTGAAGTGGGAGGATTGCTTGAGCCCAGGAGTTCGAGACTGGCCTGGACAATACAGTGAGACCCCATATCTTATATAAACAATAAAAGTAGGCCAGTTGCAATGGCTCACATCTATTATCCCAGCACTTTGGGAGGCCAACACAGGAAGATCACTTCAGGCCAGGAGTTCAAGACCAGTCTGGACAAGAAAAACACCATCTCTACAAAAAATTTTAAAAATGAGCCTGGTGTGGTGACACACACCTGTAGTCCCAACTACTCAGGAGGCTGAAGCAGGAGAATCACTTGAGGCCAGGTGCTACAATCATGCCACTGCACTCCAGTCTGGGCAACAGAGCATGATCCTGTCTCAAACAAAAATGTTTAAAAAAGAAAAAGAAAAGAAAAAAGAAACTTTATGAGGAGAAATGTAATACAAACAGACTTAACAATCTACTATGTGCTGGAAATTTCTGTATCTTTATTTCACTAAATCATCAAAACAACCCCAGGAAGTAAACGTCTTTCATAGTTTTATAACTGAGGCTCAAGGTAGTTAACCATTCTGCCCAAGGACTCACAACAACTACCGAAACAAGATCCATTTCCAAAGACCAGTTTTCTTTTCAGCACAGTGAACAATCCTTTTCCCCATGTAAACCAGGGTAAGCTTTCCACAGTTATTAGGCTTTTCATGCTTGACTCACTCAACCTATCATTTAACATAACATTTTAGCTACAATCATTTTCAACCTCACAGGATGAACCTGAAATCTAAAGGGAAGCCAAGAACACATGTGCAAAATTATTTGAACTGCTATGTCAAGCCATGTCATACTCTTACCCCAGAGGGTGAGTTACTCTTCAAACTAAATTTCTCTTGCCTTCTAGGATAAAATGAGTATCCAGCATTTCTTCTTTCCAGAATAAAACTGAGATCTTTATTACATTACAATTTTACCCAACATAATTTCCATTTAATTATATGATAATATCACTTCCTCTACAAAATTTCCATGGTACACTCTAATCATCCAGAGAGAATTAATTATTATTCTTTTGGTGTGCTTTGGTCACATTTCCATAACAGAACTTGCCACAGTCTAAGAGCTGGTGGTGCAGACCCTTCTTTCCCCATAAGAGGCATTGTGCCTCCTCACTGAGATGTTCCCAGCTCTCATCTTACCTTCCTTCAAATCCAGCCCCTATGCTGCTGCCAGGGCAATCCTTCAAAATGCACTTATACTAAAAATTCTGCAGAGTTTTCACATCATTGGCTAGATTAAAACTAAATCCCTTCAGATATAAAAGCAAACAACACCTTTCAGGGTCAGGTTTCATGCCGTGGGTCCAGCCTTATCATCCATCATTCCTCTACCTCTTACTTTATACTCCTATAAAAAACTAAACTTGCTATACTTCTCTGAATAGACCGTGTTCTCATGCTTCATCCCTTTGCATTTGCTATTACATAAAATGGTCTCCCACACTTGCCCACCAGAGAAATTCCTACTCATCCATCAAGACTCTGCCCTCATGTCCTTAAACCAATCCCAGGAGAACTGCATGACAGGCATTTACTGTGACTCTCGGCTACACTGTGGCCTGGAGACAGACAACACTGTGCATCTGCACTGAGAGTCACGAGCCCCAGAACAAGGGTGTGACAGGGAACACATCACATTCCTCCCTGTCCAGGACATGAAGCCAGTGCAGCTCCCTAACATGCAGCAGAGACCTCAACCACCCCTATCAGGACTAGTGCCTATGCTTATCATTGGAGTATTCGTGGGCAAGCTAGACGATCCAGCTCTATCCAGCTATCTCGCCCTGACCCACTGCTAAACAGAAGCTCAGGGGATGGGGGAATTTCCACTGTCTAGCCCATCACCTGAAACAACACAGTGAATCTCACAATAAACAAAGATCAGGTACACATCTGTCTGCTTTTGCTGCTGCTGGCTCATACCAGTAAGTACCACCTACAGGCCTGTAGGTTGAATTGCACAACAAATATAAAACCTGCCAACAAAAGTACACAAGGCTATAAAAGCAAAGCAAAAGACTCTACCCTAGAGCATACTCTATAGGCACAAGGCAGGTTGGGGGAGAGAAAAAAAAAAGCCATTTAAATGAAGTAAATTCAAACAACAACAAGTGTCAGTTTCTCTAGATGAGAAAAAACCAGCATTAAGAATTCAGGTACCATGAAAAATCTGAATGTTGTGACACCACCAAAAAGACTGCACTGGCTTTCTGGCAATGGACTACAACCAAAATGAAAATTCAGAAATGAGAGAAAGAATTCAAAGTGGGAATTGTAAAGAAGCTCAATGAGAACCAAGAGAAGGTTGAAAACCAACACAAAAATAACCAGAAAAGCAATCTAGGAAATGAAGGAAGAGACAGATGTCTTTAAAAAAAAAAAAAAAAAAAAACTTCTTGAAGGCTGGTCTTTTAAATTACCCAGTCAGACAAAAAAAAAGAATTTGTTTTAAAATCTTAAAAGAATTTTTAAAATCAAACAAAGCCTTTGAAAAATATGGGATTATGTAAAACAACCAAACCTACAACTTACAGGCATTGTGAAGGAAAAGAAAAAGTAAGAAATTTTAAAAAAACATATTTGAGGAAATAAAACAGGAAAAATCCCCTGATCTTGCTAGATATGCAGACATCCAGATATTAGAAATTCACAGGGCACCTGGAAGATACTATACAAGACGAACATAACCAAGGAATGTAGTCATCAGACTATCAGCGAATCTTAAAAGCAGTTAGACAGAAGTGTCAAATCATTGACAAAGGGAATCCCATCAGATTAAGAGTGAAATTCTCAGCAGAAACCTTACATGCCAAAAGAGTTTGGGGCCTCTTTTTAGACTCCAAAAACAAACGAACAAAAAAACTATAACCAAGAATTTTATATCCTACCAAACTAAGCTTCATAAACGAAAGAGAAACGAAGTCTTTTACAGACAAGCAAACACTAAAGGAATTCATCACCACTAGACTAGACCTATAAGAAAAGCGCAAAAGAGTTCTAAATGTGGAAACAAAAGGATGATGTTTGCCATGATAAATGCACATGTAAATACAAAGCTCACAGATCCTATAAAGCTATTACTCAATTGTGACTCCAAGGCAACTAGCTAACAACACTATAACAGGAACAAACTTTCACATATCAATATTAACCTTGAAGGTAAATGGCCTAAATGCTCCACCTAACAGATACAACGGCAAACTGGATAAAAAAACAAGACACTGGCTAACTCGGTGAAACCCCATCTCTACTAAAAATTCAAAAAATTAGCCAGGCGCGGTGGTGGGCGCCTGTAGTCCCAGCTACTCAGGAGGCTGAGGCGGGAAAATGGCATGAACCCAGGAGGCAGAGCTTGCAGTGAGCCGAGATCACGCCACTGCACTCCAGTCTGGGCGACAGAGCGAGACTCCGTCTCAAAAAAAAAAAACACAAGACACAACCATCTGCAGCCTACAAGAGCCTCACCTAATGGCTAAAGACACCTATAGACTCAAAGTAAAGGGGTAACAAAAGATGTATCATGCAACTGGGAAAAAAAGCAAGCTGGAGTAAACATTCTTATATCAGATAAAACAGACTTTAAACCAACAACAATTTAAAATTTTTTTTTAAAAAAGGCAAAGAAGGCCTTCCACAATGGTGAGTGACAGCATCCCCAAAAGTTAAAAATACCAAATGCATGACAGTGCTCCCGTAACTGGTTAATAGGGTGGTAGTCACTAGTCCATCAAGACGTCTTATTTAAGTGAAATGTGTGGGCAATCTTAGTTTCAATCTTAGTTTCATGGCCCTGAGGTAAGAACCAGATGCCAGGTACAGTTTCAGTATAGTCACTCCCAAGTGTTATGGGCCCAGAGCGAGGAGAGTAACACGCCCGAGAGGGATGATGATTTCTTGGAGGTTGGTAGATTAACAGACCAAAGCTTGGTAGGGGATATCCATGTTGGCGAGGTTAATCTTGACTGAAATACACTACGTCAGTGAATGAACGTATGCACTATGTAATATCAAGGGTTTCCAGTACTGGTCGATATTCATGTGGATCGAGTTTCGTCATGTGAGTGTAATGTCTGAATGAGTGATAGTTGATTAAGGGATTGTTAGTACATGCTTATATGCATGTGGAATGGCTCTTTAGTGTAAGGTTATGTGTGTATGTACTATGTACAATCAAGCATTTATAGCACATATATCATTCATGGGGATTAACAGTAATGCACAAAGTACATAGGAGTACTAATATATTAGTGTTGGCAGTCAATACTGACATATTAGTTAAAATATGTGCCAAAAAGAATACAGAGAATAGTTTAATTACAACTTCAGCTTTGGGTGTTGATGGTGAAGCGGTATTGATGGTGAAGCAGTGTTGACGGTGAAGCGGGAATGCTTTTTCTCCGAGTTGTCCTGGGGAGAGACTCTCCATTTCTGGTTTAGAAGACCAGAGTATTGAGTTGTACTACAAGGGCAGTTTCATTTAAGTAGCTTATTTTCAATTAGGGCAGTGAGTGGTATAAGGGCAAGGAAAATGGAGAATTACATAATAGATGCTGGCTGTCCGATGGTAACAAAAGGATGTTCAACTGGCTATCATCTGATTCATGTGACTGTAAGCAAGTCCGCCACTAAAATTCAGAACAGGCATTGACTTAATGGGCAGAATATTATGCTTTGTTGTTTGAACGTATGTAGTACAAGAATAACTGCTAGAATAGAATAGAGAATAGAAGGGCCAGTACACCTTCTAGTTTATTAGGGATGGATCGTAAGATTGTGTATGCAAACAAAAAATATCATTCTGGCTTAATGTGGGGTAGGATACTGAGGGGGTTGGCTAAAGTGTAATTGTCTGGATTGCTCGGGAAGTCAGGTCAAAATAATACTAGAGTTATTAGAAGGAGGAGGAGAAATATTAGACCTAGGATATCTTTGGTTGTATAGTAAGGGTGGAAGGTGATTTTGTTGGAATCTGATGAAATTCCTGAAGGGTTACTGGATCCTGTTTCATGCAAGAATAAAAGGTGGAGAATTGCTACGGCTATAATGATGAAGGGTAGGATAAAATGGAAGGTGAAAAGTCATGCAATAGTGGCTTTATCAACTGAGAACCCACCTCAGATTCATTGAACAAGATCCGTTCCAATATATGGAATGGCTGATAATAGATTTGTAATTACTGTAGCGCCTCAGAATGATATTTGGCCTCATGGGAGTATGTAGCCTATAAACGCTGTTGCTATAGTTGTTGAGTAGGAGGATAATACCAGTATTTCAGGTTTCTAGGGACATAAGTGACCCATAATATAAACCTTGGCCAACGTGCAGGAAGAGGCAGATGAAGAATATTGAAGCACCGTTAGCGTGAAAATAGTGGACTATTCTGCCGTAGTTTACAACTCGGTTGATATGGGCAACTGAAGAGAAAGCAGTTAAGGTGTCCGGTGTGTAGTGTATGGCCAGAAATAATCCTGTGATGGTCTGGAGAATTAAGCAGGCACCAAGAAGTGAGCCAAAATTTCATCATGTAGAGATGTTGGATGGTGTGGGGAGATCAATAAATGAATAATTTATAATTTTAATTAGTGGGTGTATTTTATGTATATTAATCATTAGTGTTCTTATAGTTGAAGTACAATGATTATTTTTCCTATCATTAGTCATGGTTACAAGCCATGTGGGAATAATGACATATGCTTTATTCTTATTAAGTATTATTTTGGTTATAGGATTTGTAGGTTTGTCTTCAAAACTTTCTCCTATTTATGGAGGTTTAGGGTTATTAGTGGTGCTGTGGGTTGTGGTATTGTGTTGAATTATGGTGGGGCTTTTACAGGGTTAATAGTCTTTTAGATTTATTTGGGTGGTATGATGGTTGTTTTTGGTTATACTGTGGCAATAGCTATTGAGGAATACCCTGAGACATTAAGGATCAAATATGATATTTGAGGAACTTTATCATTAGGGTTATTAATAGAATTGGTGTTGATTTGATGAATGGTTGAATATGATGGGGTGGTGATTACAATTAATTTTAGTAGTGTAGGAAGTTGAATAATTTTTTAGGGTGAGGGTCCGGGGTTGATTCATGAGGATTCTGTGGGTGCAGGTGCTTTATATAATTATGGGTGTTGATTGGTGGTGGCTGCTGGTTGAACATTGTTGCTGATTATGTTGTAATTGAAATTACTTGGGGTAATAGAGTAGATAATTAAGAGTAGAGTTAGAAAGGAGGGGATAAAAAAGGAATGGAAATAAAATTTAATTAGGCCTTTTTGAGTGGATATGGTAATGGAGGCTGTAACGTGGGTCTGTGAAATTGTCTTTGGTATGGACTTTTCTAATCAAACTAGGTATAGTAGAAGTGAAGCCAGATTTTGGCTTGAGCAAGGGGTTGTACAATGGATTGTGGTTGAGTAAAATTCCAGTATATTGGAGAAGTTGAATGTCTGTAATGGATATTTTAGCTTAAGATTATTAGTTAGAAGACTAATAGTCTTAAGATTATTAGTTAGAAGACTAATAGTCTTAAGATTATTAGTTAGAAGACTGAGCTCCATTGCTAGCAAAATCCCTAGGTTACACTAAGGGCTGTAAGTTTTAGATGAGGTGGTACTGTTGTCTGGGGGGAAGAGGTGGGGATAATACTATTGCTGATAAGAAATCCAGTGAAGATACTGCCTATTATTAGGTGTTTAATTGAATTAGGAAGGGTTTATTTTCATTAATAATTAGAGTTGTGAAGTGGGGTTGTCCTATTAGAACAAAGACAATAATTCTGATACTACAAACAGCTGTTAAGGAGGTGGCAATAAGAGTACTAGAAAGGGCTCAGGTATTGGTATATCACGTTTGTGGTTTCAATAATAAGGTATTTAGAGTAAAAGCCTATTAGGAAAGGCATACCTGTAAGTGCTAAGCTGCCAATAATAAGGGAGGAAGAAGTAAGGGGTAAAGTCTTAAATAGTCCTCCTATTTTTAGAATATCTTGTTCATCGTTGAGGTTGTGGATGATGGATCCCGAACACATAAATAATATAGCTTTAAAAAAGGCATGGGTGCGGTGGGGCGCAGTGGCTCACGCCTGTAATCCTAACACTTTGGGAGGCCGAGGCAGGCAGATCACGAGGTCAGGAGATCGAGACCATCCTGGCTAACATGGTGAAACCCCATCTCTACTAAAAATACAAAAAATTAGCTGGGCCCAGTGGCGGGCGCCTGTAGTCCCAGCTACTTGGGAGGCTGAGGCAGGAGAATGGCATGTATCCGGGAGGCGGAGCTTGCAGTGAGCCGAGATAGTGCCACTGCAGTCCGGCCTGGGCAGAAGATCAAGACTCCGTCTCAAAAAAAAAAAAAAAGGCATGGGTGCAGATGTGTAGAAGTGCTAGGTGTGGTTGATTAATGTCAATTGTGAGTATTGTAAGGTCTAGTTGACTTGAAGTGGAGAGTGCTACCATTGTTTTGATATCATTTTGTGTTAGAGCACAGATTGCTCTAAATATGGTGGTAATAGCACCTAAACAGTGTAAAGGTTTGGATTAATACACTATTTTCTATTAGGGGATAGAAGCAGATGAGCAGAAAAACTCCTGCTACAACTATAGCGCTAGAGTGGAGTAGGGCTGAGATTGGGGTTGGGCCCTGGGGTTATTATTATTTATAAAATAATAAAAGATTCAATACAACAAGAATATTTAACTATGCTAAACATATACACACTCAACACTGGAGCACCAAGATTCATAAAACTCCTACTACTAGACCTAAGAAAACAGATCAATAGCCACACAATAATGAAGGGACGCCAACCCCCCCACTGACAACACAAGACAGATCATCAAGGCAGAAAGTGAACAATGAAACTCCAGACTTAGACTAAACTCTAAACCAAATGGACCTAGTAGACATTTACAGAACATTCTATCCAACAACCACAAAATATACATTTTTCTCATCTGTGTGTGGAACATTCTTAAAATCAACCATATGCTTGGCCATGGAAAGTTTCAATAAACTCAAAAAAAGTCCAAATTGTCCCTCTCCCTCTCCCTCTCCCTCTCCCCACAGTCTCCCTCTCCCTCTCTTTCCACGGTCTCCCTCTCCCTCTCTTTCCACGGTCTCCCTCTCCCTCTCTTTCCATGGTCTCCCTCTGATGCCGAGCTGAAGCTGGATGGTGCTGCTGCCATCTCAGCTCACTGCAACCTCCCTGCCTGATTCTCCTGCCTCAACCTGCCCAGTGCCTGCGATTGCAGGCGCGCGCCGCCACGCCTGACTGGTTTTCGTATTTTTTTGGTGGAGACGGCGTTTCACTGTGTTGGCCGGGCTGGTCTCCAGCTCCTAACCGCGAGTGATCCGCCAGCCTCCGCCTCCCAAGGTGCCGGGATTGCAGAGGGAGTCTCGTTCACTCAGTGCTCAATGGTGCCCAGGCTGGAGTGCAGTGGCGTGATCTCGGCTCGCTACAACCTCCACCTCCCAGCAGCCTGCCTTGGCCTCCCAAAGTGCCGAGATTGCAGCCTCTGCCCGGCCACCACCCCGTCTGGGAAGTGAGGAGCGTCTCCGCCTGGCCGCCCATCGTCTGGGATGTGAGGAGCCCCTCTGCCTGGCTGCCTAGTCTGGAAAGTGAGGAGCGTCTCTGCCCGGCCGCCATCCCATCTAGGAAGTGAGGAGTGCCTCTTCCCGGCCGCCATCACATCTGGGAAGTGAGGAGCATCTCTGCCCGGCCGCCCATCGTCTGAGATGTGAGGAGCACCTCTGCCCTGCCGCCCCGTCCGGGATGTGAGGAGCGTCTCTGCCCGGCCGCCCCGTCTGAGAAGTGAGGAGACCCTCTGCCTGGCAACCGCCCCGTCTGAGAAGTGAGGAGTCCCTCCGCCCGGCAAGTGCCCCGTCTGAGAAGTGAGGAGCCCCTCCGCCCAGCAGCCACCCCGTCTGGGAAGTGAGGAGCGTCTCCGCCCGGCAGCCACCTCGTCCGGGAGGGAGGTGGGGGGGTCAGCCGCCTGCCTGGCCAGCAGCCCCGTCCGGGAGGGAGGTGGGGGGGTCAGCCCCCTGCCCGGCCAGCCGCTCCGTCTGGGAAGTGAGGGGCGCCTCTGCCCGGCCGCCCCTACTGGGAAGTGAGGAGCCCCTCTGCCCGGCCAGCCGCTCCATCCAGGAGGGAGGTGGGGGGGTCAGCCCCCCGCCCGGCCAGCCACCCCATCCGGGAGGGAGGTGGGGGTGTCAGCCCCCCGCCCGGCCAGCCGCCCCGTCCGGGAGGGAGGTGGGGGGGGTCAGCCCCCCGCCCGGCCAGCCGCCCCGTCTGGGAAGTGAGGGGCGCCTCTGCCCGGCCGCCCCTACTGGGAAGTGAGGAGCCCCTCTGCCCGGCCAGCTGCCCCGTCCGGGAGGGAGGTGGGGGGGTCAGCCCCCCGCCCGGCCAGCCACCCCATCCGGAAAGTGAGGGGCGCCTCTGCCCGGCCGCCCCTACTGGGAAGTGAGGAGCCTCTCTGCCCAGCCAGCCGCCCCGTCCGGGAGGGAGGTGGGGGGGTCAGCCCCCCGCCCGGCCAGCCGCCCCGTCCGGGAGGGAGGTGGGGGGGTCAGCCCCCCGCCTGGCCAGTCGCCCCGTCCGGGAGGTGAGGGGCGCCTCTGCCCGGCCGCCCCTACTGGGAAGTGAGGAGCCCCTCTGCCCGGCCACCACCCCGTCTGGGAGGTGTACCCAACAGCTCATTGAGAACGGGCCATGATGACAATGGCGGTTTTGTGGAATAGAAAGGGGGGAAAGGTGGGGAAAAGATTGAGAAATCGGATGGTTGCCGTGTCTGTGTAGAAAGAAGTAGACATGGGAGACTTTTCATTTTGTTCTGTACTAAGAAAAATTCTTCTGCCTTGGGATCCTGTTGATCTGTGACCTTACCCCCAACCCTGTGCTCTCTGAAACATGTGCTGTATCCACTCAGGGTTGAATGGATTAGGGGCGGTGCAAGATGTGCTTTGTTAAACAGATGCTTGAAGGCAGCATGCTCCTTAAGAGTCATCACCACTCCCTAATCTCAAGTACCCAGGGACACAAACACTGTGGAAGGCCGCAGGGTCCTCTGCCTAGGAAAACCAGAGACCTTTGTTCACTTGTTTATCTGCTGACCTTCCCTCCACTATTGTCCTGTGACCCTGCCAAATCCCCCTCTGCGAGAAACACCCAAGAATGATCAATAAAAAAAAGAAAAAGAAAAAGAAAAAAAAAAGTCCAAATCATATCAAGTATTTCTTGAACCACAATGGAATAAAATTAGAAGTCAATACCAAAAGGAACTCTGAAAACAACACAAGTACATGAAAAGTAAACAACCGGAATTACTTTTGGGCGAGCAATGAAATTAAAGCAGAAATCAAAATAATTTCTGATACAAATGAAAACAGAAACATAGCATACCAAAACCTCTGGGATACCACAAAAGCTGTGCTATGAAGCATGTTTACAGCATTAAATGCCTACATCAAAAAGATAGAAAGATCGCAAATGAACAACCACACACCACACCTCAAGGAACTAGAAAAATAAGAATAAAACAAACCCAAAACTAGCTGGGAGAAAAGAAATAAAAAGATCAGAATGAACTAAATGAGATTGTGACCAAAAAGAAAAAAAAAGAAAAAGGATCTACAAAACAAAAACTTCTTTGAAAGGATAAACAAAATTGACAGACCACTAGCTAGACTAACCAAGAAAAAAAGAGAGAAGATTCAAATAAGCACAACCAGAAATGAGAAAGGTGACAACTCATACCACAGAAAATACAAAACATCATCAGAGACTACTATGAACATCTTTATGCAAACTAGATAGAAAACTTAGAGGAAATGGATAAATTCCCAGAAACATACAACCTCCCAAGATTTAACCAAGAAGAAACAGAAATCCTGAATAGACCAATAATGAGCAATAAAATCAAATTAGTCCTGACAAAATCTTCCAGGAAAAAAAAAAAAGCCCAGGACAGATTTTTTACAGCCAATTTTTACCAGACATACAAAGAGCTGGTTACCAATCTTACTGAAAGTATTCCCCCCCGAAAAAAAAAAAAATCAAAGAGGAAGGATTCCTCCCTAACTCATTCTATGAAACCAGTATCAACCTGATACCAAAATGAGGCAAGACAACCAAAAAAAGGAAACCACAGGCCAATATCCCTGATGAAAATAGATGTAAACATATGCAACAAAATACTAGCAAACTAAATCCAACAGCGCGCACACACACACACACACACACACACACACACACACACACCCACACAATCAAATGGGCTTTGTCTCTGGGATGCAAGGATGGTTCAACATATGCAAACATATGTGGTCCACCACATAAACAGAATTAAAAACAAAACCCGTATGATCATCTTAATAGATACAGAAAGGCTGAGCACAGTGGCTCACACCTGTAATCCCAGCACCTTGGGAGGCTGAGGTGGGAGGATCACTTGAAGCCAGTTCAAGACCAGCCCGGCCAACATGGCAAAACCCCATCTCTGCAAAAAAGTAGCCAGGCATGGTGATGCATGCCTGTAACCCCAGCCCCAGGAGGCTGAGGCACAAGAATCACTTGAAGTGGGAGGCGTAGGTTGCAGTGAGCCGAGATAGAGCCACTGCACTCCAGCCTGGGGGACAATGTAACACTCTGTCTCAAAAAAAAAAAAAACTGTAGAAAAAGCAGTCTATGAAATCCAACACCCCTGTATGATAAAAATCCCTCAAGAAACTAGACATCGAAGAAGCATACCTGAAAACAATAAAAGCCATCTATAACAAACCCACAGCCAACACCATACTAAACAGGCAGCAGCTGAAAGCATTTCCCTTGAAAACTAGAAAAGACAAGGATGCCCATTCTCACCACTCCTATTTGCCACAGTACTGGAAGTCTTAACCAGAGCAATCAGGCAAGAGAAAGAAATAAAAGGCATCCAAATAGGAAAAGAAGTCAAATACCTCTCTTCAGTGATTATATGATTCTATACCTAAAAAACCCTAAGGACTCCACCAAAAGGCTCCTGGAACTGATAAGCAACTTCAGTAAAGTTTCAGGATATAAAATTAATGTACAAGCAGCAGTAACATTTATATACACTGACAACATTCAAGCTGAGAGCCAAATCAATAACAAAATCCCATTTTTAATAGCCACACACAAAAAGTAAAATACCTAGGAATACAGCTAACCAAGGAGGTGAAACATTGCTAAAGGGAGAACTATTAAACACTGCTCAAAGTAGTCATACATGACACAAGCAAATGGAAAAACATTCCATGCTCACAGGTTGGAAGAATCAATATCATTAAAATGGCCATACTGCCCAAAGCAATCTACAGATTCAACACTATTCCTACCAAATTACCAATGTCATTTTTCACAGAATTAAAAATATATATATTCTAAAATTCATATAAAACCAAAAAAGAACCTGAATAGCCAAAGCAATCCTTAGCAAAAAGAACTAAGCTGGAGGTATCACATTACCCAACTTCACACTATACTATAAGGCTACAGTAACCAAGACAGTATGCTTTGGGTGGTATGTGGATTGCTTTAGGTAGTGTTGTCTTTTTAACGATATTATATTCTCCAAATCCATGAGCAAAATTGATAAACTGCTAGCTAGATTAACTAGGCATACAGGAAACATACCTCAACATAATAAAGGCCACATATGACAAACCCACAGCCAATATACTGAATGGGGAAAAGCTGAAAGCATTCACCCTAAGAATTGGAACAGGACAATGATGTTCACTCTTACTATTCCAATTCAACATAGTACTGGAAGTCCTGGCTAAAGTTATCAGGCAAGAAAAAGAAATAAAAGATATCCAAAAGGGACAAGAGGAGGTCAAATTATGTCTCTTCACAAATATGATTTTTTTACCTAGAAAACCCTAAAGATTCTACTAAAGGACTCCAAGACCGATAAACAACTTGAGTAAAGTCTCAGTATACAAAACCATGGTATAAAAATCTGTAGCATTTCTATACACCAACAATATTCAAGCCAAAAACCAAATCAAGAATTCAATCCCATTTACAAAAGCCATATGCAAAAAAATAAAATACCTAGGAAAACACTGACCAAGGAGGTGAAAGATCTCCATGAGAACTACAAAACACTTATGAAACAAATCATATATGTCATAAATAAACACAAAAACATCCCAGGCTCATGGATTTGGAGACTATCATTAAAATAACCATACTGCCCATAGTAATCTGTAGATTCAACACAATTCCTATCAAATCACCAATGTCATTTTTCAGAGAACTAGGAAAAACAATTCTAAAGTCCATACAGCACCAAAAAAGGGCATGAATAGCCAAAGTAATCCTAACCAAAAAGAACAAATCCAGAGGCATCACATTACTTGACTTCAAATTATACTACAAGGCTATAGTAACTAAAATGGCATGGTACTGGTACAAAAATACGCACACAGATCAATGGACTACAATAGAGAACCCCAGAAATAAAACCACATACTTACATCCAACAGATTGATCTTTGACAAAGCTGACAAATATAAACAACAGGGAAAGGACACCCTAATTCAATAAATGGTGCTGGGAAAATTGGCTAGCCATATGCAGAAGAAACTGGATCTCTGTCTCCCAGCATATACAAAAACTACCTCAAGATAGATTAAACATTTTGGACATTGGCCTAGGCAAACAACTTATGACGAAGACCCCAAACACAAATGCAACAAAACCAAAAATAAACAAATGGGACTTAACTAAAAAGCTTCTGCACATCAAAAGATAATCAACAGGGCAAAGAGACAAACTACAGAATGAGAGAAAACATTTGCAAATTATGCCTCCGACAAAGGACTAATATCCAGAATCTACAAGACACTCAAACAACTCAACAAGAAGAAAACAAAGAACCCCATTAAAAAGTGGGCAAAGGGCCAGGCGCACTGGCTCACGCCTGTAATCCCAGCACTTTGGGAGGCCAAGGCGGGTGGCTCACAAGGTCGGGAGATCAAGACCATTCTGGCTAGCACAGTGAAACCCTGTCTCTACTAAAAATACAAAAAATTAGCCGGGCATGGTGGCAGGCACCTGTAGTCCCAGCTGCTTAGGAGGCTGAGGCAGGAGAATGGCGTGAACCTGGGAGGCGGAGCTTGCAGTGAGCCAAGATCGTGCCACTGCATTCCAGCCTGGGCGACAGAGCAAGACTCTGTCTCAAAAAAAAAAAAAGTGGGCAAAGGACATTAAGAGACATTTCTCAAAAGAAGACATACAAGCAGCCAACAAACATGAAAAAATGTTCATCACTAATCATCAGAGAAATGCAAATTAAAACCACAATGAAATATCAATCATCTTACACAAGTCTGAGTGGCTATTACTAAAAAGCTTAAAAAAAAATAGATGTTAGCATGGAGGTGAAGAAATTGTAACACATATATGGGTGGCAGCAATGTAAATTAGTTCAACCACTATGGAAAACAATATGGAGATTTCTAAAAAAAAACAAAAAACCTACCACCAAGCCCCAACTCCAACATTAGGGATTACAATTCAACATAAGATTTGGGTGGGGCACAGATCCAAACCATATCATTCCGCCCCAGCTCCTCCAAAATATCATGTTCTCACATTACAAAATACAATCATCCCTTCTCAACAGCCCCCAAAGTCTTAACTCATTCCAGCATTAACTCAAAAGTCCAAAGTCTCATCTGGGACAAGCCAAGTCCCTTCCACCTATAAGCCTATAAAATCAAAAACAAGTTAATTACTTCCAAGATACAATGGGATTATAGGCATTGGGTAAATAGTCCCATTCCAAAAGGGTAAAACCGGCCAAAAGAAAAAGGCTACGGGCCCCATGCACGTGCTAAAACCCAGCAGGGCAGTTATTAAATCTTAAAGCTCCAAAATAATCTCCTTTGACTCCATGTCTCACATCCAGGGCATATTGCAGCAAGGGGTGAGCTCCCAAGGCCTTGGGCAGTGCCACTCCTGTGACTTTGCAGGGCTCAGCCCACGCGGCTGCTGTCAAGGGCTGGCAATGAGTGGCTGCAGCTTTTCCAGGTGCATGGTGCAAGCTGTCAGCGGATCTACCATTCTGGGGTCTGAAAGATGGTGGTCTTTCTCACAGCTCCACTAGGCAGTGCCCCAGTGGGGACTCTGTTGGGGGCTCCAACCCCACATTTCCCCTCTGCACTGCCCTAGTAGAGATTTTTCCATGAGGGCTCTGCCCCTGCAGCAACCTTCTGCCTGAACATCCAGGCTTTTCCATATATCTGAAATCTAGGCTGAGGCTCCCAAGCCTCAATTCTTGGCTTTCAGCACCTGCAGGCTTAACAGCATGTGGAATCTTCCAAGGGTTTGGGCTGGCACCGTCTGAAGGCCTGAGCTATATCTGGGCCCCTTTCAGCCATGGCTGGAGCTGGAGTAACTAGGATGCAGGCAGCAGTGTCCTGAGGCTGGCAGGGCCCTGGCCCAGGAAACTGTTCTTCCCTCCTAGGTCTCTGGGCCTATGATAGAAGGAGCTGCCTTAAAGGTCGCTGAGATGCCTTGGAGCCCTTTTTCCCATTGTCTTGGCTATCAGCACTTGGCTCCTCTTTACTTATGCAAATTCATGCAGTCTGCTTGAATTACTCCCCTATAAATGGGTTTTTCTTTTCTACCACATGGTCAGACTGAAAATTTTCCAACTCTTCTGCTCTGTTTCCCTTTTAAATGTAAGTTCCAATTTTACATCATTTCTTTGTTCATGAATATGAGCACTGGCTGCTAGAGGCCAGGTCACATCTTGAACACTTTGCTGCTTAGAAGTTTCTTCCACCAGATACCCTAAATCACCTCTCTCAAGTTCAAAGTTCCACAGATCCATAGACCAGGGGTACAATGCCACCAGTCTCTTTACTAAAGCATAGCAAGAGTGGCCTTTACTCCAGTTCCCAATAAGTTCCTCATCTGCGGTCATTCTGAGCCCTCCTCAGCCTGAACTTCACTGTCTATACCACTATCAGCATTTTGGTCACAACCATTCAACAAGTCTCTAGGAGGTTTCAAACTTTCGTTCCTCTTCCTGTCTTCCTCTGAGTCCTCCAAACTGTCCCAACCTCTGCCCATTACCCCATTCCAAAGTTGCTTCCTTCTACAATTTCAGGTATCTTTATAGCAATGCCCCACTCCCAGTACCAATTTTCTGTATTAGTCCATTCTCACATTGCTATAAAGAAATACCCGGAACTGGGTAATTTTTTTTTTTTTTTTTTTGAGATGGAGTTTTGCTCTGTCACCCAGGCTGGAGTGCAGTGGTGCAATCTCGGCTCACTTCATCCTCTGCCTCCCAGGTTTAAGCAATTCTCTGCCTCAGCCTCCCAAGTAGCTGGGATTTCAGGCGCCCACCTCCACAACAGGCTAAGTTTTTTTTTTTTTGTATTTTTAGTAGAGACGGGGTTTCACCATCTTGCCCAGGCTGATCTTGAACTCCTGACCTCGTGATCCATCCACCTCGGCCTCCCAAAGTGCTGGGATTACAGGCGTGAGCCACAGTGCCCAGCCGGAACTGGGTAATTTATAAAGAAAAGAGGTTTAATTGGCTGACGGTTCTGTAGGTTGTACATGAAGCATGGCTGGGGAGGCCTCAGGAAATTTACAATCATGGCAAAAGGTAAAGGAGAAGTAGGCACATCTTCACATGGCCAGAGCCGGAGGAAGACAGAGAGGGGGGAGATACTGCACACTTTTAAACAACCAGATCTTGTGAGAATTCTATCACAATAACAGCTCTGGGGGATGGTGCTAAACCATTAGAAACCACCCCCATGATCCAATCACTTCCCACCAGGCCCCAGATCCAACACTGGGGATTACAGCTGAACATGAGATTTGGGTGGGGCACAGATCTAAATCATACCACCCCACCATTACACAATATACCCATGTAACCTGCACATGTATATCTTGAATCTAAAATAAAATAAAGTTAAACAAAAAAAAAGATTCTGCCCTCAAATGCTGGCTCCTTTGTGAAACCTTCCCTCACACTGTATTGTTTTGAGAGAGGGAAAAAAAGCTCCTTCAATCTTCCTATATTTTGCATTTCCACACTCAGAAGTACATGACTTCACTTTGCAATATCACTCTCTCTATATATTGCTTTTCACAATTTGCCTGCTTCTCAAAGTCCCAACTCCACAAAACTTATCAAAAGCAAGTTTGAGAGGAGGAGCTGTCTTTTCTTCTTTGTATCACCTAATTCAGTATCCCGCACATAGTGGGTATGCAATATTTGTTGAATGAATTTAACTATTTGCCTTTTTACTTAAACGTATTATAATTCATCAGAATAAAATCTAAAATACATAACAATTATCAAGTCAAACATATGATCAATGATTCATAAAGACACATCTGAAAAATCAAATTATTTGCGAATTATTGGCTGTTTTTGCAATCCACTCTCTTTTGAGCCACAGGTAATTTTTATTCCTTTGCCACATGGTCTGTAAACATTATTTTCAGAGAGGTAAGACAACCAAACATCATGCCATTTCCTAATCAGCATTAGACAATAGGTTTCTCCTTAGACAAGCAGTGATCATAAGTCAGCAAAATAAGCAGCAAGGGCAGGGAAAAAGGTAGAGTAGCCAACTATGTCTTTCACTGAAATTAGTATTAGAATATCTTATATTTTGGAGAGCAGAAAATAAGGATTTTTTTAAACTTAAAGGTGGGGGGTTAAAGGTATGACGTGAGTTACAATCAAGACTGGAAGAACCAGACTAAAGGAGGCAAGAACTCATAGTCAAAGATACTAAAGTTCAAGCAAAGGCGGTGGCAGACCCAGACCAGAGAGCAATCCCAGAGAGAGAGATGGTTATTCAGGTTGGAGCACTTAGAATATGAGGAATGAGGAAAGCCCTAAGTTTCTTCTCTAAAAAAGAACAGAAGGCTAAGCCAAGACTCTAGCAAGGTGGGGTAGAGTCTAAAAGAAGTCTTGTAGCAGAAACACAGAAGACAGTGGAATCTAGCCAAAGAAAGATAGTACAGGAAGTTCAGCATCTACTATTATCTGAATGTTCTCTCCAAAATTCAGGTTGAAATTTTTTTTATAAATTACTCAGTCTGTGGTATTTTGTTATAGCAGCACAAAGATACAACTGTAGGAGCAACATTTTCAGAAGGTGAGAGGAAATGGAATCCAGGGTGTAAGTACACAGATTAGATTTATCTGGGAATAGAGACATTTAATGTATTTCAATATGAGAAAAAGTAGCAGAATAGGTACAAATGTAGATAAGCTAGTGAATTTTGAGGTAGAAAGAAGAACTTGCCTTGTGATGGCTTTCATTTTCTCAGTAAAGACAAGGTCTAAAAGAATGAGGTAGGGGAGAGAGGAAAGGAGAGTTTAAATTAGAGGCTTCAGAAAGGAGGAAAATGTTTGAAATATTGATTTTCAAGAATAGACATAGTAAAGAATTGTGGGAGTGTTAGCAGTATTTAATGTGCATTTGCGACTGAGATTGTTTCTTTAAAATGAGACTAATCAGGGCCAGGTGCATTGGCTCGTGCCTGTAATCTCAACACTTTGGGAGGCCAAGGGATGAGGATTGCTTGAGCCCAGGAGT
Source organism: Homo sapiens (assembly GCF_000001405.40). Lineage (NCBI taxonomy): Eukaryota > Metazoa > Chordata > Mammalia > Primates > Hominidae > Homo > Homo sapiens. The sequence continues at coordinate 95,681,575 of NC_000013.11, read as the reverse complement.
TCAAGACCAGCCTGGGCAACATAGAAGACCCTGTCCCTACAAAAAATTTTAAAAACTTAGTAGGGGATGCAGTGGTGCATACCTGTGGTCCCAGCTATTCAGGAGGCTGAGATGGGAGGACTGCTTGAGCCCAGGAGGTCAAGCCTACATTGAGCTAGGATCATGCCACTGCACTCCAGCCTGGGTGACAGGGCAAGACCTTGTCTCGAAAAAAAATTGAAAATAAAAATAAAGATAAATGAGACTAATCAGCAAAGTTGTCTCCATTTTCCTCCGTCCGTGTTTACCTATAAGGTATAAAAACAGTTGGCCAAGTTGAATTTAACCAGTGTTGGGTTTTGGCAGGTGAGTAAAACAGAAGATTACAGGGGCCAGAAAATAAATGGGCATTTGCAGTACACTAACTACAATAATGGACCACTCAGTCTAAAGCGGGAAAGGAGAAAAAGAGGACGTGAATGCTTCACAAATGCATGTCTTAAACCCTAAGTGGTCTGTAAACTCAAAAGCAAAAGCCATGAGTTCTATGCTACGTATATATACCTCACCAAAGAGCAATATAGTTAGTAAAAGCCTTTGCTGACTGATTAAATGAGTCTTCTCCATATTCCAGAACTCCAAATGATACAAACTCATCAGATTTAATTTTTTTAAGTAGCTTTCTAAAGATATGGAAAGAAAAATAAATCTATGGTTGAAATGTTTGCGTTCTGAAGAGCAGGTGAATGGGTTCCCATGATACTTCCATATAAACAAAGATTAACTGCAGGACACTAATCAAAAGAGACCACAGCAGTAGAAATTAAACTTAACAACAATTAATTAACTTCATATGGGAAAATAAAACCTAATTACTACAGTGCATCCCCTCCCAGAACAACTTCCCCTACCTCACAGAATGAAAACCACTGCATTTCCAGGCAGTTTCTCAGCAAATACTAACTATGTCAAGAGAACTGGAACTTTGATACTACTGCTAACTACAGCCTATCTTATTAAAGAATTTAAAATAATTCTAGAAAATATGTGACCACCTTTTATGATACTTAATTTATTTAAATTACTTAAAGTCACTCATTTTTGCTACTTTATTCTTTCCCTATTTAGATAATGTCAAGAAAATCCTAGAAAAGACAAAACATACCTTTAATAGGTTAGGTTCAAATAAAACTTATCATGGTTCAAATAAAACTTATCACAATATTTTATACGTATAGATTTTCAACTATATATTTTCAACTATTCTTTTCCCCATGGCCAAAATATATGGTTTAATCAGCTCAATGAAATAAAGAAAAATTGGGTCCAGATAGCATGTTAAGGAAGAAAAAGAGATAAAACTATGATAAGAGAAAAAAGGTTTCGTTCCCAGGCTGTGTTGCTACTCAAGTCACCAAGAGGACAAACCATTAGCAAAGAAATGAAATAACTTCCTTATCTGTAACATGAGAATACTAAAGCAGATACTACTAAAGTTTTCTTTCTATTCCAAAAATTCGATCTCATCTAGTGCTTTAGACTTCACTCTTTCAAACGCCTTTGAGAAGGGAGGGTGCCAAAAGACTCAAACTTTCAATTCATGATATATACTTTCTGTCTCTGGATGACAATTAACAGAAAAATCTAGAAGAAAACAAAGGCAAATATTTCAAAATCAGAAAAACACTAGGTTATCTCTTCCCCATCCTGTGCCACTCTTAGTTCCACATTCACTTCTCTCATAACCATTCTCCTTCATTTCTTTTTTTAAAAGTGAATTGTATTGTATATATTTGATGTTTACAACATAGTATTATGAGATATACACACATAAAATGGTTACAATAGTGAAGCAGATTAATAAGAGTGAAGCAGATTAATATATCTATCATCTCACATAATTACTTTTTGTGTGACAAGAGCAGCTAAAACCTACCTATTTAACAAAAATCCTTAATACAACACAATTTTATTAAGCCTCAGGCCTAGCAGTAGCACCATTTGCCTTTCAGAGAACTATGAGATTAGTGAATCCAGACACAATTTATTTGGGAAAACAGGGGCTAACGGTTTGCTAATTCAAGTCAGAGTTCTTACCTTTATATCCCTATCACCAAATCCAGTGTCAAATACATAGCAGACACCTAATTTAACTCCTCTATATAATTTATTACACCAGTGGTTCTCAAGTGTGGTCATCCAGGGTCTTTCTAGAAACGCAAAATTTCAGGTCCCATCAAGACCTAATGAATCAAACTCTGTAAGTGGGGTACAGCACTCTGTTTTAAAAAGCCCTCCATGTGCGATTCTGATGCACACTCAAGTTTGAGAACCACTGTATTAAACCTCCCAGGAAATAACCTTCTTGTTAATTACAAAAAAAAAAAAAAAAAAAAAGTGCTGATTTTTTTTCTCAGCTGCCATCACTTAAAAGTGCTTGGACTCACATGATGTTGTCAACTACTTAACTTCTGTCTCCAGCGTGCACACAAAATGAACTTTAGTAAAACCTTTGGAGCCTCAGTTCCCTGGTCTGTAAAGTAGGAATGAATACCACACGCTTTCGTGAATAAGATATGGCTTACAGAAAGGCTCCTTTCTTTCCTTTTTCTGTTACCTGTACTAAGTCCCTGCTATTTTACACAGACAATGGTCCTAAAGAAGACACTCTGGCACTCCTCTGAGAAATGTCACCAGTGCCTCCTACACAGAAAAGCTCTCAAATGTGGTTTTCTTATGGAAAATACCACAGGAGGGAAATGAAGAGTTAAGAGTCCTTACAGACTCATATACAGAACAGCAATTCTAAAAAGTAGTGGGAAAAGCAATCATTCAAAATTGTGCATCTCTGTAACTTAAAAAAAAAAATCACCATTAAACAGAACATAGGCAACTTTCTCTTAAGTGTCCAAAATAAATTATTAATGATAACTGGAGATAAATACTACAGATGAGGGATGGTGGGGTGCGGGGGCAGGAGGAATGAAGCTTTTGAAAATGCAAAAGAACTAGAATATATGACCCATATTAAAGTGGTACAGACCTTCAAATTCCAATCCCCTAGATTTTTCTGGGGGCAGCCTCACTGTCAAATTCTTTGTCCCAATGTTGCCACACTACGTGTTCTGATTTGGGGTTCAAAAAATATGGTTACCAGGGGAAGCAAAAGCAAAAGCCCATTGCTATGGGTGACACCTAAAAACTGGGGAGTACTACTTTAAAAAAAAAAGTTGAGAACTTTCAGAAGAATTCACTATAAACAATTCCCAATTTTTAGTTCCTCGCTCCCTTTGAATGGAATACTCAAAGGTTTAATTTGACCTCCTTGACAACTAGCCCTTTTTATGGGGATGAAAATAGATCAGTGCATGTGATGTGTCATTACACTCGAATATTTCGCACAGTAACCGCGCCAGAAGCATTCGTTAAATCGGCACTATCAACTTTAATTCTTACTCCTCCCCGCTGCCATCTAAGATAGGACAGCCCTCTATTTTCGCTATTCTGGAGTAGCCAACATTCCAGTCTGCAGGACTGAAGTGAAATTTAATCGTTCGTATCTTTTTAAGGGAACCTTTTTACAGCGAACTTGGAAAAGTAATGCCAGCCATACGTTGAATGACACCATGTTGGGAGTTGTAAAACCACAAACTCAGTGCCTGGCCGTCCGGGAGATGGAATTCCAACAGCGGCTCCTCATTGCACCAAACTAACAATTTCTCTACACGACAGTGCATCTTAATGGGGATGGTTACACACTTTTTAAATAGTCAACACTGTCCCCTCCAACTCCCAGCCGGACATGACACTCCTTCCCCACCCAAGAACTCCAGAGCGAAGGAAGTCTTTTGGCCACCTTAGTGCCTCCTCCCAGCCAGCACCAATGACTGACAGTGTCCCCAGGCGCCCAGCGAGGGTCCCAAGCGAGGCCAGGACCCAAAGGCTGCCCAAGTCTCCGCGTCCCAGGACTTCCTGAAGTCGTAGCCCGGTGCCCCCGCACCCCGCCTCCTCCGACTCCTGCGGCCCGGTTCCTTAGTCCAAACCCGCTGTCCCGGCCCCGCGGCCCGCCAGTCCCCTCGATTCTTCCCCAGACAAACCCGGAACCGGGCGCGGGCTCAGGCCCAAGCCAGGCCGCGGGCTCCCCCAGCGCTCGCCCCACCTCCCGAGCCGCTCCGGGACAGGCGCCCGGGCGCAGACGGGAAAGCGCGGGGGGCCTGGTCCGGGAGCCCACTTCCTGGCCGGGGCAGGGCAGGACTCACCTTCGTACTGCAGATCCACCAGGACTAGCAGGAAGGGGAATACCGAGCCCAGCCGGCTGGTCACGGAGCCGGGGGCCACCATGTCCGAGGGCTCGCGAGTGAAGAGGAGGAAAGGTGTGTGGCCCACCAGCACGCGCCGGCGCTCCGGCAGCAGCTGCGCCCGCCCGCCGTCGGCTCTCGCTCAGGCCTCAGTGGCTCTGGAGCCCAGCAGAGGAAGGCAGCGGTGGGCGGGGCCCGGGCGACGCTACGCCCCAGAGCGCCGCCGCCATCCAATCGCCTTCTTTCTGGCGGCTTTCCTCCCGGGCTCGCCGGGGTCGTGGTTCGCGCTGATAGGCTGCGGAGGCCGCCGCCCCGCCCCGTCCCTGATAGGATAACGTGGAAGCACGAGACGAGGCTGCGCCCGCCGGTCGCAGAGCTGTCAGCAAGCTCCAAACCGCGGCTGCCGCCCGGAGGGAAGCAGACGGGGAGTCGGTGGCGGCCGCCGAGTCCGCATGCGCAGGCTGCAAAGGCCCTTTTGGGCCGGTCCCGCCGCGCTAGGTTGGCGAGTGGGACTATTTGATCCTTTCCAGGTTCGCCAGCGTGGTGTTACGAGAGGAAAGCGCAGCCGCAGCGTACGAATGGGAAGGCCAAACACGGTCCCGGGGAGTCTGAGGGAAGCTGCAGGGCGCCTGGAATTGGGGTCTCGAGTGAGCCGGTAAAAACCGCCTCCCGCTGAGCGTCCCGGAACAAATACTGTCTGAACTGAGCCGTAAGCAAGAAACGGTCAGGAGAAGCTGGGGCGATCTGATGATTAGAACATTTCAGGGACTACCAGAGAGAAGTGCGTAATTGCTCTAAGGCAGGTAGGTAATTGGCCTGGAAACTTGGGAACGCCCCGCCCCCCACCCCGACTTTCAGCAAACCACCGTGCCCAGGAAAAAGAGCGATTGTGGAAGACCCTGTGAAGAAGAGACCAGGAAGGCACTGTGGCTTAAGAGAGCAAGGCGTTCCTGAATGCAGCCAACATCAACTGGTAAACAAAAAACTGTGAGAACGGATCCTGAATCTTGCGCTTACCAGGGGAAATTCAGGAGAGATATGAACCTGAGCAAGATGAGGTTGAAGTTACTCAATGCGGCATTAAGCCTGTTCACGGCCACTTCCTCCGGCGTCACCAACACACACACTGTACACCAGCAGTATTTTTACACGGGGTATGTGTGTTAAGTACTATCAGGTGGATAATTATTACTTCACCTGTATTTGCTGCCTTGATACCATTAGAGAAACTCATGAATTATAAATAGCATAGTGAATTTGTGATTCCCTGAAGATATACTAAGGTGGACTTTTAAAAAGGCTTCTATTCCAAAGGGAACTAATATGGAGGAAATGGTTTCGAGAAAGAAAAAAGAAAAAACGGAGTCCTTGATTAGTTGTGGGGAAGGCAACATAATGTAATGTGAAGAATAAAGGAGTCAGATCCAGGAAACCCCATAACTATTATGTAAGTTATCTTCATCTGTAAAGTGGTTAGGATCCTGATAGTCTCAAAGGTTTGTTTTGAGGTTTCATGAAGCAGATAAATATTCTTGTAAATTGTAGAATGTTATACCAGTGTTACTCATTATTCTAACAAGAGCAGAGTAGTGAAGAGAGGCTCCTTCAGAAATTCCTTGGGATTTTTTTTTTTTTGGCTTCTGTTTTTTTATATCACAAGGTAGTGTCTCTGAAAAATGGTAGATGATTTCAATGTCCACAAATATGCAGGTGTAGACATTCAATTGAGGTACTGTACCCAAGGCAGCCAGCAAAATGCTGAACATAGAAAATAACTTTGTAAACAAAATGCAATATTTCTAGACAGTGAGTTATCACCAGTGTGCTGCCTATGACCCTGGCCTTAAGGAAAAAGTAGCAGAGCTGAAGAAGTTCTAAGGATGGAAATTAAAAATTATTAAGGAGATAATAGACTTCGTGTTATAGGAAATAAAAATAGCAAGGGTCTTCAATGGTGAGTGATTTTGAGATTAATTACATAACTATGAATTCTGTAATATTAGAACTAAGCTTTACAAAGCATTCCTTAAAAAAAGATAATTTTACAACAAAGGTAACATTAGACAGAAAAAAATGTACAAAACTAAAATTAAGTGATTAATGCTTGGGAATGTTTCCTCCAATGTTCATCTAGTCATGGTTTTCACGAATCACTCTTGCCAATAAAACCGAAAATCAAAGTAATCTAGTGAGTGTAAGAAAAGTTACTGTAAATATGTTTGCATTCGTCAGACTCTATGGAGTCTTTTTGAAGTTAAACATTAAATCTCCACTGTAATTCATACTGTTAATTATAGTAGCAAAAGACTTAAAAAACAATGGTAGCATATTTATGATATATCCAAAATTAAGAGTATTATGCAATTTTTATTAGGTTGATCTATGTTTATTGACTAGGAAAAACAATGTTGGTAGAGAGGAGTGAACAGATCTAGAACATATTTTGTAGGTAAAGGGAATAAGATTTGTTTAGGAATTAACTATGAGGAGAAATAAATGTTCAGAAACAAGTAGAGCACTTATAAACACCTTTTTGTGCCAAATTAAGAACAAAAAAGTCAGCATTAAGTTAATGCCACCATATACATCCTTCCACATTTATGTTTACAAACTTGTGCTTTTATTTCTAGGAAACATTTCTAGGCTGGGCGCAGTGGCTCACACCTGTAATGCTAGCGCTTTGGGAAGCCAAGATGGGAGGATTATTTGAGGCCGGGAGTTTGCGACCAGCCTGAGCAACATAGCAGGATCCTGTCTCTGCAAAAAAATTTAAAACTAGCCAGGTGCGGTGGCTCGTGCCTGTTGCCCTAGCTACTCAGGGAGACTGAGGCAGAGGATTGCTTCAACCCAGGAGTTTGAGGTTGCAGTGAGCTAAGATCATGTCACTGCACTCCAGACTGAGCAACAGAGTGACACTTTATAAAAAAAAAAAAAAAAAAAACTAGGTTTTTGAACTTGCTTAATCAAAGAATTTGTTTAAACTTTTAAGATGCGTTGTCAGATTATCTTTCCCTAAAGGAATAATTTCTATTCCTATCAGCTGTTTATATTCCTGCCTAGTCACCATCACTAGATATAATTGATTTTCAGTTTTTGCCAATCTGAGGAACAAAAAATGACCCTTATATGTCAAATTTACAGTTTATTTTCAAGGATTTTGGGATTCTGATCAAATTTTGGTACCTTCATATAAAATTTGGCTTTTATATCACATCTTGTCTTCTCTGCTTTCCACCCTCTTTTATGTTGTTTTTTGGCTTCTGGCCGCATGACTATAATCTCCGCTTTTGTATTCACATCACCTTCTGTCATTTTTGACCTTGCCTCCGTCTTACAAGGATCCTTGTAATTAATTATATTGGGCCTGCTGAGATAATCCAGGATATTCTTCCTACTCAAGTTCCTCAATTTAATCACATCTGCAAAAACTGCCTTTTGCTATAGAACAATGACAGGAGATTAGAATGTAAACATATTTGGGGGACCGTTATTCAGCTTAACACAATACGTCCCCCTTCATCAGGTGGAGCTTATTTTCCCTCCTTCCTTGAGTGTGGGCTGGACTTAGTGACTAACTTCCAAAGAACAGAGTATGGAAAGGGAGGAGGAGAGTAACTTCATAGTACAGAAACCTGGAAACACTGTCTTGGCCAGGTGGTCAAAGTTAATATCATCAAGTCATGTTGATAGCATATACTCCCAATATACTGTGATGAGAAGGGCAATTCACCTCTGTGGTATTCTCAAAACCTATAACCCAATCTAGTCTAAACATGAAAAAAAAAAAATCAAACTAAAATTGAAGGACATTCTATAAAACACCTGATCAGTATTCCTCAAAACTATCAACGTCGTGGGGAACAAGGAAAGATTGAAATACTGTAACAGACCAGAGGAAACTAAGGAAACTTAATTGATGACTGAATGCAGTGTGCTGTGTTGAACTGGATCCTAGAGAAAATAGACATTAGTGGAAAAACTACTGAAATATGAATAGTCTCAAGTTTAATAGTAGTGTACCATTATTACTTTCTTAGTTTTGACAAATGTACCATGGTTATGCAAGATGCTAACAATACAGAAAAATAAGGGGTATTTGGGACCTCCCTGTATTATCCTTATGCCCTTACTTGAAAGTTGTTTCAGCAATAGAAGTTTATTTAAAATATTGTGAAGGGCCTGAGTATTTTTAAATCAACTGCAGTGACTCTCTTTTGTGTATTTGTGTACAGATGAGTTTTTCTGCATCGAATTTTATCTCCTTTCCTTGCAGAAGAAAGAGAATTAGCCCTTTACAGAGATAACAGTTGCCTAAGCCAGCTCTTTTCTCCTCTTTTTGATGTTCTTCTTTTTCTCTCAGTTTGAAAATTGTAGGTTATTTGAGTTTTTAAAATGTCTATTGCTACATACACATTCTAGTTATATTCTAGTCCAAACAATCTAGTAAAATATCTAAAAGAAAAATGCTGTTCACTGTATTTTTTATTTTTAAAATGTGAGTGAGTGCATTTAAATAATAGGTTGTGTTATTATAATTATGAGCTAAAAGTTTTGAAGTGTGATTTAAAGAGTCTTTAACATTACAATTCTGGACTACAAAGTGTAAAAATTGTATTTTAAAAGATTCATGTACTGTTTCCGATAAATAGATGAATCTTTGATCACTGGAATGTGTTAATACTAATTTAAAGGCAGCTATATATCTTCTGATTTTATAAGAAATTAACTAAGTACAATATTATATTTTATATACAATGGGTAAACTCTTCAAAATTTAAGCTTTCTAATTTCTAAATTAAGTGACATAATGACATGTCTTTAAATAGGTTTGATCTTATAAAATTTTTGTAATAACACAAATATAAGAACTTATTATTTTCCAGATTCTCACATCTAAATCCAAACATATAAACACAATTGCATTAAATATAAATGTTATAAACACAATAATTAAACGACATAATCAAAATGGATTTTGAAAATAACATGAGGAAGACAGAGCAAGATAGCCAAATAGAAGCCTCCACCGATCATCATCCCCACAGGAACACCAACTTTGACAACTATTTACACAAAAAAAGCACCTTCATAAGAACCAAAAATCAGGCGAACAATCACAGTACCTGGTTTTAACTGCATATTGCTGACAGAGGCGTTGAAGAGAGTAGGAAAGGCAGTCTTGAATTGCCAACATCACCCCTCCCCTATCCCCTGGCAGTGACTGTGTGGCACTGAGAGAGAATTTGTACATTTGTGGAAGGAGAAAGGACAGTAATTATGGGCCTTTGCCTTGAAACTTAGTGCTGCCAACACCCATGGAGGGAGCATTTAGATCAGCTTTAGCCAGAGGGGAATCGTCCGTTCCAGCAGTCAGAACTTCAGTTTTGGCAAACCTCACCACCGTGGGCTAAAGAGCTCTGAGGTTTAAAATAAACTTGAAAGGTAACCTAGGCCACAAGCACTGCAACTCCTAGGCAAGTCCTCTTGCTGTGCTGGGCTTAGAGCCAATGGACTTGGGGGCTATGTGACCTAGTGAGACACTAGGCAGGGTGGCCAATGCGGCGTGCTTGTATCACCTCTCCCCCAACTTCAGGCAATACAGCTAGCAGCTCCAAAAGGGACAACACCACCCCCACCTTCCACTTGAGGAAAGGAGAGGGAATAGTAAAGACTTGTTTTGCAACTTGGATACCAGCTCAGCCACAATAGGATAGAGTATTGAGCAGGGTCATGAGGCCCCCATTGCAGGCCCTAGCTCCCAGACAACATACCTAGACATACCCTGGGCCAGAGGGGAACCCACTATCTTAAAGGGAAGTACCCAGTCCTGGCAGGATTCATCACCTGCTGATTAAAGGGCCCTTGGGTCCTGAATAATCAGCAGCGGTAACCAGGTAATACATGCTGTGGGCCTTGGGTGAGACTCTGAGGTATACTGGCTGCAGGTGTGACCCAGCATATTCACAGCTATGGGTGGCTATGAGGAAAGACTCCATCTGTTTAAGAAAAGGAGAGGGAAGAATAAAGGAGACTTTGTCTTATAGCTGAGGTGCCAGCTCAACTACAGTGGGGAAGTGAACCAAGTGGGCTCTTCGGGTCCCTGATTCCAGAGTTGGCTCTTGGATGGCATTTCTGGCCCTGGGCCAGAGGGGAGCCCACTGCCCTGAAAGGTGAATTCCAGGCATGGCAGCATTGACCACAAGCTGACTACAAAGCCCTTAGGTCTTAAGTGAACATCAGCAGAATCATGGCAATACTCCCAGTGTCTTGTGATGTTGATGGACATGGGGAGAGACTCCTCTGCCTGGTGAAAGAGGAGGGAAGACTAGAAAGGACTTCGTCTTATGGTTTCAGTGCTAGCTTACCCTCAGTAGAATAGAGCACCGGGTAGATTTCTAAGGTTTCTGACTCCAGGTTCTGGAGTTACTGCTGCTGACTCCTAAACAGCATCTCTGAACCCACCCGGGGCTCTGAGGAACTCGCCATCCTGAAGAGAAAGACAGAAAGCTAGCTGGCTTCACTGCCTGCTAATTGTAGAGCCCTAGGAACTTCAGCTAACATAGGTAGTAGCAGGTAGTGGTTACAGTGGGCCTTTGGCATAACCCATAGCTGTGCTGGCTTCAGGTCTGACCATCCACAGTCCCAGTGATGGTGGCCACGGAGGTACTTGTGTCACCCCTCCCCCGGCTACAGGTAGTGTTGCTGGACGTCAGGGACCCCGAATGGAGGGACCAGCTGGAGCTGCAGCAGAGGAATATAAATTGTGAAGATTTCATGGACATTTATCAGTTCCCAAATAATACTTTTATAATTTCTTATGCCTGTCTTTAATCTCTTAATCCTGTTATCTTCGTAAACTGAGGATGTACATCACCTCAGGACCATTGTGACAATTGTGTACAAATTGATTGTAAAACGTGTGTTTGAACAATATGAAATCAGTGCACCTTGAAAAAGAACAGAATAACCACGATTTTTAGGGAACAAGGGAAGACAACAGTAAGGGCTGACTGCCTGCAGGGTTGGGCAAAAAGAGCCATATTTTTCTTCTTGCAGAGAGCCTATAAATGGACGTGCAAGTAGGAGAGATATCACTAAATTCTTTTCCTAGCAAAGAATATTAATATTAATACCCTGGGAAAGGAATGCATTCCTGGGGGAAGGTCTATAAACGGCCGCTCTGGGAATGTCTGTCCTATGCAGTTGAGGTAAGGACTGAGATACGCCCTGGTCTCCTGCAGTACCCTGAGGCTTACTAGGATGGGGAAAGACCCAGGCCTGGTAAGACCGGTTCTCTGCTCTCGAACCCTGTTTTCTGTTATTTAAGATGTTTATCAAGACAATACATGCACCACTGAACATAGACCCTTATCAGTAGTTCTCCTTTTTGCCCTTTGAAGCATGTGATCTACTCCCTGTTCTTACACCCCCTCGCCTTTTAAAACACTTAATAAAAAACTTGACGGTTTGAGGCCCAGCGGGGCATCACGGTCCTACCAATATGTGATGTCACCCCCAGCAGCCAAGCTGTAAAATTCCTCTCTTTGTAATCTTTCTCTATTTCTCAGCTGGCCGACACTTAGGGAAAATAGAAAGAACCTACATTGAAATATTGGGGGCGGTTCCCCCGATAAGGTAGCTCAACAGAGAGAGATAGAGAGAGAGAGACAGACTGATTCTGTTTGGGCAAAAACAAGGAAAAAGAACAAGAGTCTCTGCCCAGTAATCCAGATAATTCTTTCGGGTATTATCCAAGACCACCAAAGCAGTACCTCTATGTGTATGAAAGAACTACAATATTACTGCATTTAGGGGCCCACTAATGCAGATATGGCTGCAGTGACCAAAAACTTAGATCACAACATCCAAGCCCATTTGAATACCTGGAATGCCTTCCCAAGAAGGATGACTACAAACAAGCCCTACTGTGAAGACTACAATAAATACCTAACTCTTCAATGCCCAGACACCAACAAACATCCACAAGCACCAAGTCATCCAGGAAAGCATGACCTCAGCAAACAAACTAAACAAGGTACCAGGGGCGAATCCCAGAGAGACAGAGATATGTTACCTTTCAGACAGAGAATTCAAAATAGCTGTTTGGAGGAAACTCAAAGAAATACAAGATAATGGAGAGAAGGAACTTAGAATCCTATCACATAAATTTAACAACGAAATTGAAATAAGTGAAAAGCAGAAATTCTGGAGTTGAAAAATGCAATCAACATACTGAAGGCATCAGAGTCTCTTAATAGCAGAATTGATCAAGCAGAAGAAAATAATAGCTTGAAGACAGGCTGTTTGAAAATATACACTCAGAAGAGACAAAAGAAAAAAAGAATAAAAAAGAATGAAGCACACCTACAGGATCTAGATAATAGTTTCAAGGGGGAAAATCTAAGAGTTATTGGCCCTAAAGAGATGGTGGTGGGGGGCGGGTAGAAAGTTTGTTCAAAGGGATAAAAACAGAGAACTTCCCAAAACCTCCCAAACCTAGACAAAAATATCAATACTCAAGTATAAAAAGATTATAGATCACCAAGCAGATTTAACCCAAAGACTACCTCAAGGCATTTAACAGTCAAACTCCCAATGGTCAAGGATAAACAAAGGATCCTAAAAACAGCAAGGGAAAAGAAACAAATAACATACAATGGAGCTTTAATATGTCTGGCAGCAGATTTCTCAGTGGAAACCTTACAGGCAAGGAGAGAGTGGCATGACACATTTAAAGTGCTAAAGGAAAAAAAATGACCTTAGAATAATATATCCAGTGAAACTATCCTTGAACCATGAGGAGAAATAAAGACTTTCCTGGGAAAATAAAATCCATGGGATTTCATGAACACCATACCAGTCCTACAAGAAATGCTAAAGGGGGTACTTTAATCAGAAAGAAAATGATGTTGATGAGCAAAAGAAATCATCTGAAGGTACAAAACTCACTGGTAATAGTAAGTACACAGAAAAACACAGACTATTATAATACTGTAACTGGCATGTGTAAACTACTCAAGTAGAAAGACTAAATGATGAACCAATAAAAATAATGACTACAACAACTTTTCAAGACATAGTACAGTAAGATATAAATAGAAACAACAAAAAGTTAAAAAGCTGGGGGATGAAGTTAAGGTGTAGAGTTTTTATTAGTTTTTGCCTAAATGTTTGTTTATGTAAACAGTGTTATTATCAGCTTAAAGTAATGGGTTATAAGATAGTAGTTACAAGCCTCATAGTAACCTCAAATCAAAAAGCATATAACAGATATACAAAAAATAAGCAAGAAATTAAACCTGCCACCAGAGGAAATTATCTTCACTGAAAGAAAGAAAGGAAGGAAAGAAAGGAGGAATAAAAGGCCACAAAACAACCAGGAAACAAATAAAATGGCAGGAGTAAGTTATTGCATATCAATAATAACACTGAATGTGAATGGACTAAACTCTTCAATCAAAAGGTATTGAGTGGCTGAATGGATTAAAAAAAATAAAAACAAGACACAATGATCTGTTGCCTACAAGAAAAACACTTCACCTATAAAGCCACATATAGACTGAAAATAAAGGGATGGAAAAAGATATTTCATGCAAATGAAAACCAAAAAAGAGCAGGAATTGCATTACTTATATCAGATAAAATAGATCTGAAGACAAAAGCCATAAGAGACAAAGAAGGTCACTATATAATGATAAAGGAGTCAATTCAGCAAGAAGATATAACACTTGTAAATATGCATGCACCTAACACTGGAGGACCCAGATGTATAAAGCAAATATTATTGGAGCTAAGGAGAGAGACAGACCCCAATACAATAATAGCTGGAGACTTCAACACCTCACTTTCAGCACTGGACAGATCTTCCACACAGAAAATCAACAAAGATATATCAGACTTAATCTGCATCATAGACCAAATAAATGGTCCTAATAGATACTTACAGAACATTTCATCCAGTGGCTGCAGAATACACATTCTATTCCTCAGCACATGGATCATTCTCAAGGATAGACCATAAGTTAGGTATAAAACAAGTCTTAAAACATTCAAAAAATTGAAATCATATCAAGCATTTTCTCTGACCACAATGGAATAAAATTAGAAATCAATAATGAGGAATTTTGGAAGCTATACAAACACATGGAAGTTAAACAATATGCTCCTGAATGACCAGTGGGTCAATGAAGAGATTAAGAAGAACACTGAAAATTTTCTTGAAACAGACAATAATGAAAACACAACATATTAAAACCTATGGGGTACAGTGATACTAAGAAGGAAGTGTATAGCTATAAGTACCTATATCAGAAAAGAAGAAAAGCTTCAAATAAACCAACGTAACAATGCATCTTCAAGAACTGGAGCAGTAAGAGCAAACTGAACCCAAAGTTAGTAGAAGAAATAATAAATATTAGAGCAGAAATAAATTGAAATGAAGAAAGCAACACAAAATATCAACAAAATGAAAAGTTAGTTTCTTTGAAAAGATAAAATTGACAAACCTTTAGCCAGACTAGGAAAAAAGGAGCAAAGACCCAAATAAATAAAACCAGAGATGAAACAGGAGATGTTATAAGCATATACTGGGGAAATTCAAAGGATCATTAGAGGGTACCATGAACAACTATGTGCCAATAAATTAGAAAACCTAAAAGAAATGAAATTTCTACACACATACAACCTACCAAGATTGAACCATGAAGAAAACTAAAACCTGAACAGACCAATAATAAGTTACAAGATCAAAGCCACAATAAAAAGCCTCCCAGCCAAGAAAAGCCTGGGGCCTGATGACTTGACTGCTGAATTCTATCAAACATGAAAAGAAGAACTAATACCAATCCTAGTCAAACTGTTTCAAAAAATAGAAGAGGAGGGAATATTTTCAAACTCATTCTGCAAGGCTAGTATTACCCTGATACCAAAGCCAGACAAAAACACATTAAAAAAAGAAAACCACAGGCCAATATCTCTGATTAGTTTCAATGCAAAAATCCTCCACAAAATACTGGCAAACTGAATTCAACAATACATTATAAAGATCATTCATCATGACCAAGTGGGATTTATCCCAGGGATGCAAGGATGGTTCAACATATGCAAATCAATGAGTGTGATACAGCATATCAACAGAATAAAGGACAAAAACCATATGATCATTTCAATGGATGCTGAAAAAGCATTTTATAAAGTTCGACATCCCTTCATGATAAAAACCCTCAAAATACTAAGTATAGAAGGAACATAGCTCAAAATAATAAAAGCCATATGACAGACCCAAACTAGTATCATACTGAATGTGGAAATACTGAAAGCCTTTCCTCTAAGAACTGGAACACAAGGATGCCCACCATTATTCAACATACTACTGAAAGTTCTAGCTACAGTAATCAGACAAGAGAAAGAAAGAAAGGGCATCCAAACTGGAAAAGAAGTGAAATTATCCTTGTTTTCAGATGATATCCTATATTTTAAAAAACCTAAGGACTCCACCAAAAAACCATTAGAATTGATAAATTCAGTAAAGTAGCAGAATATAAAATCAACATACAAAAATAAGTAGCATTTCTAAATGCCAATAGCAAACAATCTGAAAAAGAAATTTTAAAAAATCTCATTTACAATAGCCACAAACAAAATTAAATACCTAGGAATTAGAAGTCAAAGATCTCTACAATAAAAACTATGAAACACTGATGAAATAAATTGAAGAGGAGACACAAAAAATGAAAAGATATTTCATGTTCATGGACTGGAAAAATCAATATTGTAAAAATGTCCATACTACCCAAAGCAATTTGCAGATTCAGTGCAATCTGTATCAAAATACCAATGACATCCTTCACAGAAATAGAAAAAAAAAATCTAAGATTTATATGGAATCACAAAGGAACAGAATAGCCAAAGCTATCCTAAGCAAAAACAATGACACTGGAGGAATCACATTACCTGACTTCAAATTATACTACAGAGCTATAGGAACCAAAAGAGCAGGGCATTGGCATAAAAACACGACGCCTAGACCAATGGAACAGAATAGAGAGGCCAGAAACAAATCCACGCATGTATAGTGAACTCGTTTTTGACAAAAGTGCCAAGAACTTACACTGGGGAAAAGACAATCTCTTCAATAAATGATGCTGAGAAAACCAGATATCCTTTGCAGAAGAATGAAACTTGACTATTATCTCTTGCCTTATAAAAAAACCAAATAAAAATGGATTAAATACTTAAATGTAAGACCTTAAACTATTAAACTACTACAAGAAAACACAGGGGAAACTCTTCAGGACACTGATCTGGGCAAAAATTTATTAAGTAATACCCTACAAGCACAGGCAACCAAAACAACAATGGACAAATTGGATCATATCAAGTTAAAAAAAACTTATGCACAGCAGAGGAAACAATCAACAAAGTGAAGATACAACCACAGAATGGGAGAAAATATTTACAAACTATTCATCTGACAAGGAATTAAAAACCAGAATATATAAGGAGCTACTCAATAGGGAAAAATCTAATAATCCAATTTAAAAATGGGCAGAAGATTTGAATAGACATTTCTCAAAAGAAGACATACAAATGGCAAACAGGCATATGAAAATGTGCTCAACAGCACTGAATATCAGAGAAATGCAAATCAAAACTACAATGATATATCATCTCATCCCAGTTAAAATGGCTTTTACCCAAAAGTCAGGCAATAATAAATGCCGGCAAGGATGTAAAGAAAAGGGGACCCTCCTACACTGTTGGTGGGAATGTAAATTAGTACAACCACTACCGAGAACTGTGCATACAATGGATCTAGGTTGTACACTACTTATGAAAATCTAATTAATGCCTGATGATCTGAGGTGGAACGGTTTCATCCCCAAACCATGCCCTCCCCTTGGAAAAATTGTCTTCCACGAAACTGATTCCTGGTGCCAAAAAGGTTGGAGACCTAAATCACAAATGCAAAGTCTTTGAAATAGAAACAAACTTAAGTGTGGTTTAGGAATAGAGTTTTACAATGTAATCTGGGGACAGTTGTGTAACATGATGTCAGGAGGTAGGCAGCAACCAGATCGTGTAGTGCCTTTAAAGCTGTTAAAAGGGGGTTTTAATCTTATTCTATTGAAAATGGGAAGCCACCAGAGAGTTTTAAGCAAAGGGCTAACAGATTTAGGGTTGTTTTTTTTTTCCTTTTTTTCCTAACAAAGAAAACTGCAGGCCCAGTTTATTGCAATGGAAAATTCTAACATTTTTATTTAGGAAGAATTAATACAAATCCAACATATACTTTTAAGGAAGAATGGATACAAATCCTACATAAACTTTTCCATAAGCAGAAGATAAATTGTTTGCCAACTTATTTTATGAGTTCAGTATTACCTCAATACTAAAACCAGTCAAGGACATTACAAGAAAACTACAGATCACTATACCTCATGAACCTATTTTCAAAAATCCTTAACAAATATTATCAAATCAAACCCAGCAATACATTAAAATGATAACACCTCAGGATCAAGTGGGATTTATCACAGGAATATAAGGCCAGGTTTTTTTAATTTTAAGTTTTTGTGGGTATATCAGATTTAGTTTTAAAGGTATCATTCTGGCTGCTGTATGAAAAATGGATTGTAGAAGGATAAGCAGTGTGCCCAGTTAGGAGTTAGGGGGCTATTGCAGTGTGCCCAGTTAGGAGTTAGGGTAAAAGATGATGATGTCTCAAATTATGTGGTGGTAACAGCAGAGATGGAAGTGGAGAGAAGCAAACAGATTTGGTATGTATTATGATGGTAATAAATGGGATAGATGGGGGTGGGAACAAGTGAGGAATCAGAAATAATTCCTAGATTTGGTCCAAGTAACTAACTGGTGTCATTTCCTGACATGAGGAGGTGTAAAGAAGGACAGAGGAGCTCTTTTGGAGGATGAAAATTAAGTTCCTTTTTAGTCATGTTATACTTGAAATGCCTCTTGGATATCAAAGTAGATATGTCAAAAAGACAACTGGATTTTTTTGTCTTTCTTTCTTTCTCTTTCTTCTTTTTCATCTTTTTTTTTTTTTTTTAATGGAGATGAGTCTCGCTCTGTCACCCAGGCTGGAGTGCAGGGGCGCAATCTCAGCTCACTGCAACCTCTGCCAGGGTTCCAGCAATTCTCTTACCTCAGCCTCCCCAATAGCTGGGATTACAGGTGCACACCACCACGCCTGGCTAATTTTTTGTATTTTAGTAGAGGCGGGGTTTCACTATGTTGCCCAGGCTGGTCTCAAACTCCTGAGTTCAGGCAATCCACCCACCTCGGCCTCCCAAAGTGCTAGGATTACAGGTGTGAGACACCGCACCCGGCTGACAACTGGATTTTTGAGTGTGGAGTTCAGAGAACAGAATGGGCTGGAACTATGAAGTTGGGAGTCATGTGATTGGATGAGATTGCTGGAAGAGAATGTGTGAAGAATGCCCAGGACAGAGCCCTGAGATATCACACATTTGAAAGTATACTGAGGGAGGAGGAGACTGCAGAGTTGGCCAAAATGTAGCAGGGAAACCAGGAGAGTGCAGCACCATAGAATATAAGAAGAAAGCAGTTCAAGAAGGAGGAGTGAATGAGTGTGTTAGTCCGTTCTTGCATAGCTATAAAGAAATACCTTAGACTGGCTAATTTATGTACAAAACAAGTTTAATTGACTCATGGTGTATTAGTCCATTTTCACACTGCTGATAAAGACATACTCAAGACTGGGCAATTTACAAAAGAAGACTTACAGTTTCACGTGGCTGGGGAGGCCTCACAATCATGACAGAAGGTGAAAGGCAAGGAGGAGCAAGTCACATCTTATGTGGATGGCGGCAGGCAAGAAGAGAGGTTGTGCTGAGAAACTCCCATTTTTAAAACCATCAGATCTCCTGAGACCCTTTCACTATCACAGGGACGGCACCGAAAAGACCCGCCTCCATGATTCAGTCATCTCCCACTGGGTCCCTCCCACAACATGTGGGAATTATGGGAGCTATAAGATGAGATTTGGTTGGGACACAGAGCCAAACCATATCACATGGCTTCACAGGCTGTACAGGAAGCATGATGCTGGCATCTTCTCGGCTTTTGGGGAGATCTCAGGAAACTTGCAATCATGGTGGAAGGCAAAGGGGGAGCCAGCACTTCACATGGTCAGAGCAGGAGGAATAGGGAGGGGGGGAAGTGCTACACACTTTTAAACAACCAGATCTTGTGAGAACTCTATCATGAGTACAGCGCTAGGAGGATGGTGCTAAACTACTTCCTATGGGAGAAACCCACTCCCATGATCCAATCACCTCCCACCAGAGCCTGCTTCCAACACTGGGGATTACAATTCGACGTGAGATTTGGGTGGGGACACAGATCCAAACCATATCACTGAGTAAGACTGAGTAAGATGAGAATTAAGCATTGACCTCTGGGTCGGTGACCTCGATAGAGCAGTTTTAGGGGAGGACTGAGAAGAAAAGTCAAATAAGAGTTGATAGAAGACTAAATGAGAGGTGATAAATTGCACACAGCAAATACAACTCAAGAAGTATTTTTAACAACTGTACATTCAAAATTGGTTAATATAGTAAATTTTTTCTATTTTTACCATAAAATTTTAAAAATTGTAGTAGAAAATAGCAAAATAGTGATAACTGTGTGTTGGCAAATTTTCATAATAAAGTAATAAAGTTGTGTTGTTGTTGTTGTTTGTTATTTAAAAGAGTATTGCCTGAAAGGCAGCAAGCAGTGGGGCTCTACTCAGGGAAGGGTGAAGGTCAAGAAAAGGTTTTTTTTTTAAATTTTTTAATGGTAAGAGATTAGATAGTATATTTGACAATGGCAATGATCAATAGGGAACCTTAGTGTTGCAGTATGAAGACAATAACTTTGAGAAAAGTCTTTGAGAAGTGGAAATGCAATATAATCCAGAGAATATTGGAGCTCACTTTTAAGGATTATCCATCTAGTCCCAGCCAGAGCAATGACTCCAGACCTCTTGTTCAAGCTATTTCTATAGCTACAGCACAAAAGTAAAAAAAAAAAAAAAAAAAAAAAAAGAACATAGACAATGCAAAATGCATATCTATAACCACCAGGGGTCACTGAAGGCCAATTCTGCTTTTGGATTAGGAGAAACCTAAACAGATAGTTTTAAAAATAGGAATGTCATAGTTAATTTCATGAAATTACTGAATCATGTAATTCAAATGCTATAGATTTTGTTTCCTTGTTCTTAAAATAATAATACCATAATGAAATGCATAGTTTTGAGAACATAGAAAATATACAAAAAATAAATTTTAATAGAAAAGACCACTTTGTTGTAAATTGCTAAACAGCTAGAAGCTAATCCAGAAATCAGAAAACAAAATTTATTTCACTACCATACCACTTAACCTAACTTTAGCACGTAAATTTTCTCTTAAATTGGTGACTCCATTTCTTCATGTTTTAAGTGTAACAAACCATACTGAAAACAGATACTAAAACTAGAGGAAAATATCATTAAAGTTTTATATGCTGTTATGGAAAAAACTAAATAAAGGATACTGATAAATCAGATTTCTCCAGGGATTATGCTGCTTTTCCTAGTGGAGTAAATAATGCTTTATTTTATCAGCTTATCTTCATTCAGTTAATTATAAAAGTATAGCCTAAAATATTTTTGACAGCTATTTAGGCTCTGGAAGGATCAACTGGCAAGAGGGCACAAAAGATTCGCTTGTTGGACCTCTATTACAAATTCATAGCAATATGTCAACTAAAATGAGAAAACAAACAAAAGGACCTAGCTAGAGTCTAAGCCAAGATAAATATTTCTATAGACTAGAAACAGAAACAAACAAACAACAACAACAACAACAACAAAACACGTTAGTCTCGTGCAAGCAGAAGCCCCGGGAAAGCTGGCCTATGACTTAGATCTAGAAAGGCACCAAAAGTAATTATGTTCTCCTTTCTGCTTGACACCATCACCAGCACAGCCGTATTATGGCTGCTTGTTTACATGGAATTGTAGAAACCTAGGAAGGGGGAATCAACCTGCTCTTGACTGGTTCTGTAGTATCAGCCTGGAAGCACCATTATAAGATAGGAAAGAGTGAGTACAGAGAGAAAGAAAAGTGGGAAAACAAAAATGAAAATAAACAAAAACATACCTTTCAACTCAAAATGATACTGCAAAATAACATTTCAAAACATATCAAGAATGCTAATGCTAAGAAAGACAGGCAGCAAACCAGTTGAACCTGAACTCACTAAGATGAAATTAATTATATAGACTAAGGATGCTGACAGACATAGATAAAGAAATAACATCTGTAAATACAAGAAAGAAGTATGGAACAAAGCCTGTATAAACACACTAAGAACAGGTAGATGTAAAAAATAATTAACATCCTAGGGCTGCCATAGTAAATTACCACAAACAGAGTTTAGATAAATTTATTGTCTCATAGTTCTGGAAACTAGAAGTCCAAAATCAAGATACTGATAGGCTCTGGAAAAAGAAAACCCTTCATTGTCTCTTCCTAGTTTCAGGTGGTTCCTGACAATCCTTGGCATTCTTTAGCTTGTAGCTGCATCACTCTAATCTCTTTTTCCATCTTTGCATGATGTTCTTCCTAATGTGTCTGTCTGTGTGTTCTCTCTTTTTCTGATAAGAATACCAGTCACTAGATTTAGGGCCTACCTAATGCAGTATGATCTCCTCACAGTCCTTAACTGAGTACATCTACAAAGGCCCTATTTCCAGATAAAGCCACATACTGATGTTCTGGGTGGACATGAATGAGAGAAGGGGAAAATACTATTCTACCCACTGCAATAATTAGTAAATAATCTTGGAAATTTAAAAAGTTAGTCCCTAAAATTCAGAAAAAATATTTAAAAGAACCTAATTGTTGGGATAAATGCTAAAACACAAAGTGAGAGAATAATTGGAAGACATTTGTTTTTAACATACCACTATTAAA
Source organism: Homo sapiens (assembly GCF_000001405.40). Classification (NCBI taxonomy): domain Eukaryota; kingdom Metazoa; phylum Chordata; class Mammalia; order Primates; family Hominidae; genus Homo; species Homo sapiens. The sequence goes on along the minus strand of NC_000013.11, from coordinate 95,659,311 downwards.
AACTCTTTAGACCAAGTTCATACAAAAATGTTAGTAAGAATTAGAATATCCTTAGAGAGTCCTAGAAAATTTGAACCAAAATTTAATAAGTTTCTCTAATACTTTATCTAACAGTTATATGTGTAGATAAGGAAAGAGAGATGATAATCATCTGCCTAGGAAATAGGAAACATTTTTTTTTCCAGTACTTATGGAACACTTACAAAATCTACCAAATACTAGTTCACAGAGAATTTTTACAAAATTCTAAGAATGGTTATTATATGTTCTATCTTCTTTGACCATAATGCATAAATTGGAAGTCAACAATAATCAAATTCTTCCAAGACAAAGTATGGAAAGTAAAAATGTATTTCTGGCCAAGTGTGGCAGCTCAAGCCTGTAATCCCAGCACTTTGGGAGGCCGAGGTGGGTGGATCACCTGAGGTCAGGAGTTTGAGACAAGCCTGGCCAAGATGACGAAATCCTGTCTCTACTAAAAATACAAAAATTAGCTGGGCATAGTGGCACATGCCTGTAATTCCAGCTACTCAGGAGACTGAGGCAGGAGAATCACTTGAACCTGGGAGGCAGAGGTTGTAGTGAGCCGATGTCATGTCACTGCACTCCAGCCTGGGTGACAGAGTGAGACTGTCTCAAATAAATAATGTATTTCTAAATTACTCATAACAAAGACATAATTCTCCCAAAAATCCCAAATTATGCAAAACTAGATGATAATGAAGATGCTGCATTATCATAATTTGTAGAATGCATCCAAAGCAGTACATAGAGGAAAACTCAGAGCCTTAAATGCTTTCATTTAAAAACCAAAATAAGGAAGAAGGAGGAAAACAAACAAATTATGAATTCATCTCAAGATGCTAGAAACACTACAGAACAAGAGTGAAAAAGCAGAAGGGAATAAATAATAAAAAACGAGCAGAAATTACTGATTGGGGGTAGGAAGATATGAAGCATCTAAACCATGAAAGCTAGATATGAAGCAACTAAACCAAAAAGCTAGTTACTGACAGAAATTATAAAATAGACAAAAATGGCCAGGTGCAGTGATTCACGCCTGTAATCCCAGCACTTTGGGAGGCTGAAGCGGGCAGATACCTGAGGCCAAGAGTTCGAGACCAGCCTGGCCAACATGGTGAGACCGTGTCTTTACTAAAAATAGAAAAATTTAGCAGGGCTTGGTGGCACCCGCCTGTAGTCCCAGCTACTTGGGAGGCTGAGGCAGGAGAATCCCTTGAACCCTGGAGGTGGAGGTTGCAGTGAGCCAAGATATTGCCACTGTACTCCAGCCTGGATGACAGAACGAGACTATTGCCACTGCACTCCAGCCTGGACGACAGAACGAGACTCTGTCTCAAAAAATAAAATAAAATAGACAAAAATGTAGCAAGCTTAAAAAAGAGAAAAGGCATATATTAGAATTTAAAAGGGGTATACAGCTACAAATATGGTAGAGATGTTTTAATTTATAAGACATTAAATGTCTTTATGCCGATAAATTTTAAAATGGAGAGGAAAAGAAAAATAGAGTGCCTGGATAAACCAATAGCTATTTTAAAAAATGAGTAATTATACATATTATTTAAAAAACCACTTGGCCCAGACGGATTTGTAAGCCCTATCTTATATAATGTATTTCAGAGAATTTTAAAAAAGAGGAAAATCTCACCAACTCATGTTATAAAGTTTGATGCTACAACTGAAAAAAAAGAAAAATTTTCACCAAATTATGCGAATAAAGTAATCTTAAATAGAATATTTCCAAATCAAACTCAGCAGCGAAAAAGAGGATGAAGATAACCAAGAAGACGTTATCCAGGAATACAAGGATAGATTGATATCAAAACACCTTTTAATGAAACATATCAAATTAACAAGTAGATGAAAAAATAATCATTCCAACAGATTCGATACAGCCTTAGATCAAATACAGCACTCATTCATGTTTAAAAGAAAGAAATCTCAGCAAAAGGTGGAAGGAAACTACTTTAACTTGGTAAATGGTATTTATCCAAATTTCTATTTTGAGGATGGCTGTGTCAAGTTGTCACTGCCCACAGGTTCATAAACTGTCATTTAATAGAAACTAGCATGAGGCTGAGAAAGTTTCCCTGACAAGGCTTTATTGGGGCTTATGCTCCAGCACAAGAGATACAGTACAGGAAGAAGAAATTCTCCGAGGGGCTCCCCGAGGGCAGGTCTTTTTGGTGCTTTAAGAAGGGTGACATGAATAAGCATGAGGTATGTGAACGTCATTGCATGTGCAGGGTTAAGCATGCAGGGTGTGCAGGCACAGTGAGAAATCATGTTAGTACATACATTGCATGATCAAAAAAATGGTGGATAAGCCCCTCCTTGGGCAGAGATTTTAGTATTATAATGAGGATCAGTCATTTTTCTGGTCTTGTGTGCATGCCATGGATAGGGTTAAGTGTCTTGAGTAAGATTTATGGTGGAATGCTGCTTATCTTAGTTTCTTCAAGATCTCCCAGTCAGAGGTTATAATGCCAGTGGAGGTGGTGGTGCAAAGTCTGGTAGTCGGCAGATATGGAAAAGAAAAATGTGTTAGTGGGGATGTGGGCTGAGCCTCATCCTATTCTGTCTCAAAGTCAGCATTTCTCACTTTCTTTCTTGGAAATTACCCAAAGCAACAATATAATGAAAAGGGGGAAAGCAAATTACAAAATATAGGAAAGTGTTGAAACTCAAATCCCAAAGTAAATAGGAGGGATGACAAACAGTAGAGGAATCAGAAGAGAATGCCTGCTACTGCACACCTCAAAAAAATGTGGCAAGATACTCCTCCAAGATTAGAGACATATCCTGTGGTGCAAAACCCAAATACCGTGTTTGCAACAAGAACGATGATATGTGCTGGTTGGTGACAGAAGCTACTCAGACACTTTGGTTCCAAGAGGCAAAAGATATGGGCCTGTGATAAAGTTTGGCTGTGTCCCCACCCAAATCTCATCTCGAATTGTAATCCTCATAATCAAGGGAGGGACCTTGTGAGAGGTGATTAGATCATGGGTCCAGGTTCCCCCATGCTGTTCTCATGATAGTGAATGAATGAATTCTCAAGAGATCTGGCTGTTCGATGAGTGTGGGGCTCTTCCCCCTTCTTGCACTCCTTCTCTCTCCTGCCACCTTGTGAAAAAGGTGCTTGCTTCCTCTTTGCCTTCCACCATGATTGTAAGTTTCCTGAGGCCTCCCCAGCCACATGGAACTGTGAGTCAATTAAACCTCTTTCCTTTATAAATTACCCAGTCTCATGGAAGTTCTTAATAACAGTGTGAGAATGGTCTAATACAGCCTGAAAGGCAATACATTTATTATTTCCAGCAAGCAATTTATCCCTTTGGCAGAGGGAAGAGAAACTTTACGTGGGGAACAGCCTTACAGCTACTTGTCTCCTTTTGTACAGAAGAAATAAAAATAAAAGAATTCATTAAAAAATATGGGCCTTAAGAAAAGTTATAGCTGATGTGGAACACAGGACACAGCCCCAGTCTCTTCCACAATACTGTTAAAATCATTAACTGGGGCCGGGCTTGGTGGCTCACGCCTGTAACCCCAGGACTTTGGGAGGCCAAGGCAGGTGGATTATTTGAGGTCAGGAGTTCTCCTGGTGAGACCCTGTCTCTACTAAAAATACAAAAATTAGCTGGGCATGGTGGGTGCGCACCTGTAATCCCAGCTACTTGAAAGGCTGAGATAGGAGAATTGCTTGAACCTGGGAGGCAGGAGGTGGAGGTTGCAGTTAGCCAAGATTGTGCCACTGAACACCCGTCTCGGTGACAGAGCAAGACTCTGTCTCAAAAAAAAAGAAAAATCATTAATTGGAAGGCCATTAGAAGGAGGAGGTTCCAGCACTACCTACAGAAACTGAAACTCAACTCAGTGGAAGCAGTAAAATGAAATAAGTTTAACCAATCAGAAACCACCAATTAACCTCTAATTTGGGACTTCCCGCTAGAATGATCCAAATAAGGCTACTACTCGTCTTAAACCAACCGATATTTTTCTTTGCCTTGCTTCTACTTTCCCCTTATAACATCCTTCTCCACCTACCCTTCTTTGGAGCACCCCAAACTACTTGCCTCTGGAGCTCCCCAATTCATGAATCACTATCTATTCAAATAAACACTTTAAAATTATAATTTGCCTATGTTTATCTTTAAACAATGCAAACTTCCTCCAAAAGCAGTTTTAAGAAAAATGCACTCATTCAAATATAAGTAATCATAAAGGAATGGGTTGAACGGGCAATAAACAGATGAAAATGTGCTCAATATTATTTGTCATCAGGGGAATGCAAATTAACCCATAGAGATACCATTACCTACCCACCAGAATGTCTTATAATGAAAAAAATTGACAACATCAGGTGTCGTAAGCGTGTGAAGCAAATGGAATTCTCATACATTGCTGGTGAGAGTATAAAATGGTGCAACCACTTTGAAAAACTGGTAATATATTAAAATGTTAAACACATATCTACTCTATGACCTAGTTACTCCACTCCTAGGTATTATTAATCTTGGAGAAATAAAATCAAATGTCCACAAAAAGCCTTGTACAGTAATGTTCATAGCAGCCTTAATAGCTATGAACTGAAAACACCTCATGTGTCCATCAACAGAGTGGATTAAAAAAATGAAAAATCTGTGATGTATTCATTTATATGATTACTAAAGGGCAAACACAAAAGACTGGGTACCGTATAATTCCATTTACATGAAGTTCAAGAATAAGCAAGACAAATCTGTAGTGAATAGCACTTACCTCTGTGTAAGGGGATAAGGGAGAATAAGGGAAGTTTCATATTTGAAATGTTTTATATATATAACATATTATATATATATGTGTATATATATATAAATATTTTTTTTGAGATAGAGTCTCACTTTGTCACCCAGGCTGGGGTGCAATGGTGCAATCTCGGCTTCGCTGCAACCTCCTCCTCCTGGGTTCAAGCAATTCTTGTGCCTTAGCCTCCCAAGTAGCTGGGATCACAGGCGGGCCACCACTCCCAGGTTTTTTTTTTTTTTTTTTTTTTTTTTTTAGAGACGGGGAGTTTCACCACGTTAGCTAGGCTGGTCTCGAATTCCTGACCTCAGGTGATCCACCCACCTCGGCCTCCCGAAGTGCTGGGATTACGGACGTGAGCCACTGCGCCTGGTCTTTCTAAGTCTTTCTGATGAAAAAGTTGGAGAACTAATCAGAACACAGTGGATCCTGACAGAAGTGGAAATGGCAACATCTAAGAGAGTCAGGAAAACTTAGTGCAGTGAGTCTTCAAGTGTGATCCCCAGAACAATGGCATAGCATTTCCTGGGAATTTGTTAGAAATGCAGATTTTCTGACCTCATCCCAAACCTACTAAATCAGAGACTTTAAGGGTGAGAACATCTTTCTGTGTTTTAACAAGTCTTAAGTTTTATAACAACTGACATAGAGGATCTGAAGTCCTCAAACTATCCTCAAGTTTATCCTCCACCTTCTTTGGTTAAGGAAGCTTTGCCACCTTTGCACGTGAGAACTAATATTTTCTCTTTGAAGAGCCAAGCCACACTGTCAGTACAGCAACCAGAATGCAAAATTAGCATGGCCTGGTGAGGTTTGGTGGGGTGATGTTAAATATTGCTACAGAAGAGTTAGAAATCTAGAAGTTCTGGGAACTTCCTAATTTATATCCTCAAACCTTGAGAGAATATTTGTGGGAATAGATTTTAAGGCTATTAGGTCAAGGAACATGGTCCATATTTTGAATCAGATCAAATGTACAGATATGGGCACCTCCCAGAAATTAGGTATTCAGGGTGCTAACAAGTTGGAGAAAGACTATTCAATGCAAAGATACACTGAACTTTGTCCCACAAAGTCAGAAATCCCCCAAATCGGAAATCCCTTAACAAGTATAAAGGAAGTAATATTAAAATTTCAGGAAAAGGGAATAAAAAATTAGATAGATTATGCTCATCCAGTCTAGACCCCTCCTCACCACATCTTTGATAGAAACTTTTATCTTAGTTATAAAAAATATAGGTTGGTAAGGGGTATCAGTATGGTTTTAGTGTAGGAAATGGAAACCCCTCTGGGTATTGTAAGCAGCAAGGAACCTGCATAGAATTAGATGCTTGCACAGTCTTCTAAAGGGCTAGAGAAGCTGGAACGTGGGGTGGGGAGGGCAGCATTGGAAGTGTTACATTCAGGAGTTCTACCCTCCAATAAAAAAAGTCAGTGCAGCCACTTCTGTCTCAGCAGCCACTTGACACCCTTGAAAGTTGTGACCAGACACGCTGAGTTCAGCTGCTGCCTTTGCCTATGATACTCATCCTCGTAACCCAGCATACCAGCCAACCCAGCAGGAAAATAGCCTCTTTCTCACTTCTGCCTTTCAAATCATTCAAGAGTAGATCTAATTGGCAGAAACCAATTTGTTTCCAGAATATGAGCTGGAAAGGAGTCCAGAAGCATGGTTTTTACCTTTCTAAACTCTGCAGAGCAGGAAGGCACATCAGAGGAAAGCAGCATGGAAGCGTAGTGAACTAATTCTGTATCTACCCCAGAGGGAGCAGACAGCTCTTTACAAAAAGCCTCCTCTGGACTTGAAATGCTGGCTGCAGGAGCTGCCACTGAAATGGGCTCCCAGATCTCAAAGGGATGGGAGGAGTTCAGAGTGCCTGTGCCCATTTGGAAGTTATTAACCATCAAAGATAAACTGATCTTGGTTATGCTAACAGATAGGAACATGGCCATTGTAATCAGATTCCAAAACCTAGTCTGACTTTCATGAATATCTGGCTGTGACAAATTAATCACAGGACTCCAAAATGTGATATTTAATCAAACTGTAGGTTATCTAATATTTGACCCTCCCATCCCACCCCACCGCAAATGCCAGGACTGAGCCAACTTCCTTGAAAGGTAAGTTTGGTTGTTGTTGTTTTTTTAACCTATTTTCCAGCCCTGAGCCAGTTCAAGGGAAGACATTAATGATTCAATTGGACTGGAAGTTGAGACTGCCACCTGGCCATTTTTGCCAATTTCCCTCTAAGCCCTGCTTATGTTGCATTGCACAAATTTTGATAAGTTGTATTTTCATTTAGTTCAAAATATTTGCAAATTCTTCTTGAGATTTCTTCTTTGATCTATGTATTATATAGAAGTATATTGTTTAATTTCCAAATATCTGGGGATTTACCAGTTATTTTTCTGCTATTGATTTCTAGTTTAATTCCATTGTAGTCTGACAACATACTTTGTATGATTTCTATTCTTTTACTTTTGTTAAGATGTGTTCGATGGCCCATAATGTCTATCATGGTGAACATTCCATGTGAATTTGCAAAGAATATGTGATCTGCTGTTATTAGATGGAATATCCTATAAACATCAATTAGATCAAGTTGGTCGATAGTGCCTTTCAGGTCAATTATGACATTACTGATTTTCTTCCTGCTTGATTTATCAGTTGTTAAAAGGAAGGTGTTGAAGTCTCCAACTATAGCAGTGATTTTGTCTATTTCTCTTGCAATTCTAACCATCCTCAGGTATTTGACATTCTGTTCTCATATACATAGATATTAAGATTGTTATGTCTTTTACAAATATTGATCCCTTTATTATTATGTGGTACCCCTCTTTATCCCTGATAATTTTCCTTGTTCTGAAGTCTGCTTTCTCTGAAATTAATGTATCCACTCCAGATTTCTTTTTATTAGTGTTAGCACAGTATATCTGTTTCCATCCCTTAGCTTTTAATCTATCTGAGTCTTCATATATGAAGTGGATTTCTTATACATAACATTTTGTTGGATCTTGTATTTAATCTGTCTTTTAATTGGTTTATGTATTGGACCATTCATATTTAAAATGATTATTGATATAGCTGTGTTAATATTTTCCATGTTTGTAAGTGTTTCTTATTCCTCAGATTGGATTAAACAATAAAGTAGTTTATTATCTCACTTCACTGGAAGTCCATACGTAGGACAGACTTCAGGCACAATATGATCTTCTGCTCAATAATGTCATTAATTACCTAGGTTCTTTCCATTTTTCTTCTCTGTCATTGTTGTTAGTTTCATAATTTAACATATGTCAATGATGAATGCCATCCCCTTAGATGTGGTGATTTTATGCAATGCATTATCTGAGTATATGCAGGACCCTCTTTTATGGCCATCTGAATTACTGCAACTGCCTTGATTTCTTAATGGGCCACGAAATGTAAAAAATGTTTTTTTCCATCTTTTCCTTTTTGCTTTTCTATTGCTTGTAGGGTGTGTTAACGTGGCTTCATTTACCACCGAGGCTATAGATTTAAGAAACAAGACATAATTAAAAAGGAACTAGAGGTAAAAATAGACGTAATCCAGAAATTGCCATTTCACAAGTCTTCCTGGCATTGTGTCATGATAGTGGGAGGTGCTGCTGGGTAACCTCTCAGTGTAGCATAGGGCAAGTCTGCATAAGTTATTTACTTTTTATTAACAGGATATTTTTTGAATTGTTTGTTACTATGATTTGAATAGGCCGCCTCCAAAATTCAGGTGTTACCAATGTAATAGTATTAAGAGATGGGGCCTGTAAGAGGTGATTTGGCCATAAGGGCTCCTCCTTTTATGAATGGGATTAAGGCCCTTATAAGGAGGCTTCACAAAGCATTTGGTTCTCTTGTCCTTCCAGCTTTTCTACCATGGGAAGATGCAGTGTTTTTCCCCTACAAGGATTCAGCATCAAGGCTTCATCTTGGAAGCAGAGATTGGACCTTCACCAGAAAATGGAACACGGCGGCACCTTGATCTTGAACTTCCCAGCCTCCAGAACTGAGAGAAAATAAATTTTATATCATAGCAGCACAAACAAAGACAGGCTCCTTCAGCAGCTTCACAGAACCTTGGATGCCTCCTGGCCCAGGAGCCAGTGGGGACACCTGGCCATTCCTGGGAGGTGGAGAAAGGATGCATGGAGGAAGAGAGGCATCCACCTGGCTCAGAGAACACTAAGCAGCAAAATATTGAAAGAGTTGTAGTGCTTCTCTTAACTGCTTCTATTAAAATGCAAGAGGAGAGAAATGACTTAAAGATAAAATTTATAATTAAAAGAGAAGCAGAATGTAAAGATTTGGAAAATTCACAGCCTGGGCATATAAAGATTTAAAAAATGTGTTGGGGAGAAAACCGAGAGTGGCCAAATGACTGTTGATATGGAGATTACTATGGATACAAGGAAGCCAGGTGATATTCATCAAGACAATGGGAGAGTGACCCCAAAGGCAATTCAGAGATCTTTGAGGCTGCCATGCCCATTTCAGGCCCAGAGTGCCAGGGCCTTGAGAGAAGAGTAGTTTTGCATGGCTCAGGGGTTCATGGAACCTTGGGGCTCACTGCCCAGGGCTGCCTTGGGTCTCTGCATTCCGCATTTTGGGGTAGCACGCCTCAGCTTTCCCAGCTGTAGCTCAAGCAGGCCCAGGTGTGGCTCAGGCCACCATCTTGGAAGGCATAGCCATACACACCTTGGCTGCATCCAGGTGGTGCTAATTCTGCAGGCTTGCAGAGTGCAAGAGCTGTGGAAGCATTATTGGCCTCCACCTAGAATTCAAAGGATATCTCAGACACTGTTGGGGCCCAAGCAGAGACTTGCTCTGGGGGCAGGGACACTGCAGAGAATCCCCACTAGAGCAGGCCTTAGTGAAGCCATGGGGGTAGGGTCTCTGCCCCAGAGACCCCAGACCTATAGAAATGCCAGCATGCAATGCCAACCTGTGAGAGCCACAGGTACCCAACACCAACCTGTGACAGCTGCTCCATGGGCTGTGCCCAGCAAAGCTGCAGGGGTGGGGTACCTTGGGGCCTTGGGGACCTTAACCTCTGCCCCAGTGTGTTCAGAAGGCAGGACATGAAGTAAGGGAAGGTTGTTCTTAGGCCTCAAGATTTGGTGGTGTTTGCCTTGTCGAGTTTTGGAGTTGCTTGGAATCTGTCACTCCTTTCTGCTTCCCTATTTCTCTCTTTTGAAATGGGAATGTTCATCCCATGCCTAAATACACCATTGTACTTTTAAAGCCCTTAGCTTGTTTGATTTCTTAGATTCAAAGCTGGAGGGAATTTGTCTCAGGATGAATCATACACTGACTCTTACCCATATCTGATTTAAATGAGACTCTGAATTTTAGACTTTTGAGCTGATACTGGAATAAGTTAAGACTTTCGGGGCTACTGGGAAGGAAGACATGTATTTTGTATGTGAGAAGGATATGAATTTTGGGGGCCACAGCAGAATGCTGTGGTTCGAATGTGTCCCTTCCAAAATTCAGGTGTTGGCAATGTGATGGTATTAAGAGGTGGGGCCTTTAAGAGGCAATTAGGCCATCAAGATGCCTCCCTCATTAATGGGAGTAAAGCCCTTATAAAAGAGGCTTCATAAAGCGTTCTGCTCACTTGCTCTTTCACTCTCTCTTGCCCTTCAGCTTTCTGCCATGTGAGGACGCTACCAGAAGGCCCTCATCAGAAACTCAAACCTGCAAGAGCCTTGATCTTGGACTTCCCAGCCCCCAGAAGTATGAGAAAATAAATTTCCATTTTTATAAATTACCCGGTCTCAGGTACTTTGTTGTAGTGCCACAAAACAGACTAAGACATATCAATAGAAAGAAGAATATGAGTGTGTGTGGGTGCTAAGCAGCGAAGGAGTTGGATTTAATGGACATTGCATTTGTCTTGTTTTCATATTTCTCTATATAGGTACCTTCCTTTGAGGATTGCTACAGTCTTTTTCAAGTAATTATGGTGGAGCTGTCATTTACACCCTGCGTTTAGCCAAACCACTGGTTGGGCATGTGACTAAGTCAATTAGAATCTTTCTCACAGGAATTTATTTACCTATTTATTTTTGAGATGGAGTCTCACTCTGTCACCCAGGCTGGAATGCAGTGTTACAATCTTGGCTCACTGCAATCTCTGTCTCCTGAGTCCAAGTGATTCTCCTCCCTCAGCCTCCTGAGTAGCTGGGACTACAGGCATGGGACACCATGCCTGGCTAATTTTTGTGTTTTTAGTAGAGATGAGGTTTCACCATGTTGACCAGGCTGGTCTCAAACTCCACACCGCAGGTGATCCGCCTGTCTCGACCTCCCAAAGTGCTGGCATTACAGGCGTGAATCACTGTGCCCAACCCTCCCAGGAATTTAATTGTTATAGTGGCAGTGAATGCAATTGAAGTTGAATTATCACAAGAACAGTTCCCTGTAATCCACAGAACAATCATGAGATGTGGGAGGTTCTAATGGCAGTTAAAATTCGATTTTTCTGCATAAAAGAGAATATCCAGATAAATGTCTTGAAAAGGTTTCTCACCTGGAAGAGATGTCTAGATGCAGGTGGTTCAAGACTGATATGACCCCTTTACAACATCATTCTGCCTTCCCATCCTTAGTATGTGGGTCTGACTTTCAGGTTCCAAGTGTGAAAGAAAATAAAATCTTGGGACCCCAAACTCACTATGCCAAAGGAGATTTGAGCTTGGCAACTGAGTTGGGGCAATACTGCCTACCATTTTGTTTCCAAACAGATGGTTGTAATTTCACAATTCCATGCCAGAGCCTTATATATAAGTCAGATTCCCACAATAATAGAAGGCCATACACCTTCCCAGATGGCCTCCCTCACAAATTACAAAGAAATTCCCTGCAAGCCCCTAAATACATTTCTCCCTATAAACCAGCCCTAAAATCTGTTAAATCTCACAGTGACTGGTATGAGATGGTTTCTCATTGTTTTGATTTGCATTTTTTTGATGATTCGTGGTGTTGAGCATTTTTTCATACGTATGTTGGCCGCTTGTATGTGTTCCTTTGAGAAGTGTCTGTTAATGTCGTTTTCCATCAGTCAGAATGGCAATTAGTAAAAAGTCAAAAAACAACAGATGTTGGCGAGGCTTCAGAGAAAAGGGAATGCTTATACGTTGTTGGTGGAAATACAAACTAGTTCAGCCACTGTGGAAAGCAGTTTGGAGATTTCTCAAATAACTTAAAACAGAGCTACCATTCAACCCAGCAATCCCACTACCTGGTATATACCCAAATGAAAATAATTCATTCTATCAAATAGACACATATACCCATATGTTCATCACAGCACTATTCACTATAGCAAGGGCGTGGAATCAATCAAAGTGCCTGTCAACAGTGGATTGGATTTAAAAAATGTGGTACAGGCTGTTCTGCCTATGGAGTACATTTTTTTTTTATTCCTTCACTTTCTTAATAAACTTGCTTCCTTTTTTTTTCTTTTTTTTTTCTTTTTCAAGACAGAGTCTCCCTCTGTTGCCCAAGCTGGAGTGCAGTGGTATGATCTCAGCTCACTGCAGTCTCTGCCTCCCAGGTTC